>NW_025791821.1:300000-600000 GCF_000001405.40 Homo sapiens | reverse complement strand
GTTGCTGAAAGATACAAGCATATATAGAATTCTTCGTTTCAGTGAATCTTTAGGAACAGACAAGTAACCTGAGAGATAATTACGGTATGAATGTAAGCAAGCAGTTTATCATAGAGGTACAATAAGGGTGAAAATAAATTTAAAAATACATGCCTCATCCAAAACATGAGGTAGTAAAAATGAAAAATTTAAGTTGGCATAAAGAACACTTTAAAAGTTCTGATTCTTTCTGGTGAGAGCAAGGAGCTCAGAAACCATGAGAAAGTCCTTCAAAGCTGCATGTTGGATTTGCAGGTCAGGATGGAAAGCCTGGGTCTGGGGGAGGGTGCTAAGGTCCTGGTCAGGTTGAGGTCCTTCTGGGGCTCAGGTGTGTCTCAGCGGGAAAGCTGGGAAGGGGAAACGCATGCTTCACCCCGGCTAGAGTGCCACCTCAGCCCACCTAGATGAAATTGCCCCTTCACAGCCCTGTTTCTCCTTCTTGGACAGGCAGGTGGAGGAACTCGGCCACCCTGAATACAAGGGGTAGGAAGAAGTTTGCCTTTCATCACAACATTTACTTCGGAAACAAAGTGATGACTAAGGAGTATTGCGTTGGCATCCTCCCTGAGGAGTAGAGGGGGTAGTACCTCGGGAGCTGGGCCTGGCGTGCGCCTTCCTGACTCGTCTCCCTCCAGGATACAGGGCGACTGGCTCCACTGCAGTCCAGTGGTTCTAGGGTCATGCAGGTGAAAGCCCGAGTTTCCCGCAGGTCACTGCCTGAGCTTCTTCAGCTGGTTGTCTGACTGTGAGGGCCCAGGTTACGGCACGATTGCTGAGGTGGGACAGCTATGGGACATCATGGCAAAGGACCTTCTTCGACATTCCTTGGCATCGGAGGAATTGGCTTTGAACCAGAACCTGACCTGTCACGACCAATTTGCCCAGTCCACCAGATCATCAGCCAGGGCCTGTGGCTCTATATTCTGCAGCACTACCCAAGGGAGTTAGGCCCTCAGAGAGGGAACAGAGAAGAGGCCAGGGAAGCAGCCCAGGGCTGGGGGTTGACAGGCCTGTGGGTCCTGGAGTTAGGACACACATAGAGAAGCCAAGGCTCAGGGAGGAGACTGCAGTAAGGAAACTCAGGCCATCATGGGCTGGTGGAGAAATGCCCATCAGGGAACTGTGGTACCCACATTTCACGATGGGGGAACCGTAATCTGCTTAATAGGCATAAGTAGCTAAGGTCAATGGGTGGGAAGCCAGGGTCAAGAGATAGCTGCCTCATCATCCCTTGCTAGCTACTTCCCTGTCCTGAGGCTTGCTTCTACCTGGGGTTCAGTTTGGGCTCAACCAGGGATCTCTCACCCTCCACACAGATGCCCACCTGAGGCCTCTCTAGGTCTGCGTCCTCCCAGAATGACTCTCCCAGGCCTGCTAAGTACCGTTTGGATGACACCACGCTCCACTGACATGCTTGGTTCCCTCCGCCATCCTCATTCACCCAGCAACTCCCCACCCCAAAAAAGGCAGGCCACCGCACAGGGAATCTGGAGGACCACACAGGGCTCACAGGGGAGGAAATGTGAAGAGATGGCAAAACAGAACAGGACATTCCGTGTGTTTCCAGAAGGCAATCTGGCTGGATATTAAGGCCCACCTCAGTATTGGTGAGGACACCCAGTGTCTCTTGGCCCTGAGCATGTGCACACAAACACGCACATTGTCTAAACGGCATTGACATCACTACTACCTGAGTCATCCTCAGATTCTATACAACCCCAGTAAAAATATCAATGACACATTCTTCTTAGAAAACAATCTGGGAATCCCAAATTTGCTATGAAATGGCAGAAGATCCTGAAAACCCAGAGCAATCCAGTAAAAAGCACAAAGCTGGAGCCACCCCACTACCTAACTTCATGATATACTACTACAAAACTTTTTGTACCAAAATACAATAGCGCTGGCAGAAAAGCAGAGACTAGAGCTTAGGAAAAACAACAGGAGCCCAGAACTAAGTCACTGCATTTGCAGCTCACAGCCTTTTCCCAAAGAAGCAAGAACGCCCAATGCAAAATCAAGTATCTTCTATAAACTAGGTTGGGGAAATCTGAATAGCCACACAAAGGATTTTACAAGTGGATTATTTATCACCAAACTCCAGTGTCAGATGTGAAACGATAAAAATAGCAGAAGAGATCACAAGGAAGCAGCTCCATGGCGTCCGTGTGTGCAATGATGGTCTCAAAGTGACTGCAAGAACACAGTAAACACCATCAAAAATAGAGAATGGAATCATATCAAACTAAAGTGCTTCACCACACCATAGAAAACTCAACATACAGAAGGGGCATCCTACAGGATGGGAGCAATGATTGGATCACCATACATCTGTTCATGGGGGAATAGTCACAGTACATAAGGAACTCCCAACAACTCAATAGCATGAAAACAAATGGGCGAAGGCTGCGAAGACTCATTTGTGAAACTGAGACATACAGTTGCCCAGAAGACACACTAAAAATTCCTCATTATCCCCAATCCATCACGAAAATGCAAATCAAAAACACAATGAGATTTCTTCTCACTTCAGTCAGAATGCATATTATCCGAAAGACAAACAAACAAAAAAAAAAAAAGAAAGAAAAGAAAACCCTAATCTCTGGTGAGGAGGCAGAGAAAACGAATTCCCTGCTCACTTTTGGGGAGAATGTAAATTAGTGCTGGCATTAAAGAAGCTTTATGGCTCTTATTTAAGTATAAACAGCCTTCAGAAATCTACAAGTAGAACCACCCACTATATGATCCAGCAAATCAGAATACCCGGGCACGCCCGCCAGTACACAGATCAGTATGTTGAAGCGGTGCGCGCACCCATGCAATTATTGCTGCACTCATTACATTTTTGCTGTAGCCAAAATGCGGAAGCAACCTGAGTGTCCCTCCATTGATAAGTGGATTAAAAAATGGGGCAAAAACGCATATGCGCAACGGAAATATGCGCTGCAATAAGAAATCAGGAAATCCTGCCAGTTGTGAGAATGTGTGGGAATCTGCTGAATGTGTGCATGCCATTCTGTTAAGTGACATAAGCCAGGTATCAGAAAGGAAAATAGCACATGATCTCATTCTTATATGAAATCAAAAAAGCGGACTTCACAGAAGTAGTGACTCCAATGACTGCGGTGAAGAGGGTGCACTGACGAGATGCTGGATGAAGAACTCATACTTCTAGTTATAAAGGAGGAATAGGTTAAAAATATTTTCTTCAGCATGCTCACTATAACTAGTGGTAACATATTCTTTCTCTAAAAATATTCGAATACAGTGCAGGTCAAGTTTTTTCACAACAAAAATGACAACTATGTGAGGTCACACATATGTTGATTGGCTGGATGTATCCAATGCATAATGTATATGACCTGTTGAACATCACGCCTTAAGTTGTAAATATGTATCATTTCATATGACATTTTTTAAACAAACATACAATTTTTAAAATGCCTTAACAAAATAAATGCAAATAAAATATTTTATTATAAAGCAGTGCTTTTCTTTTCTAGCAAAGTCTTTTTCATGACACAGGAAAGAATGCAAGCCGTTTCGTAACTTGAGAAATAAATACATATGTGTACATGTATATATATACGTATATACATGTATATACGTATATAAATGTGCATATATACGTATATACATGTATATACGTATATATGTGTGTACATAGGTATTCTTATATAGGTGTATATATA
This sequence comes from Homo sapiens, assembly GCF_000001405.40. NCBI lineage: Eukaryota > Metazoa > Chordata > Mammalia > Primates > Hominidae > Homo > Homo sapiens. The sequence goes on along the minus strand of NW_025791821.1, from coordinate 596,269 downwards.
TATGAAAATCCCAATGAATGCTGATGATGAGTTGAAAGATAGAAATTCCAGGCACAGAGACTATAGTCCATGAATTGAAACCTTCAGTGCATGTTTCAAAACAAGACGTGAGGAGGAGGAAGAAAAAAGCAAAAAACACAAAGCCATGGCAGGGCCATGGGTCACACCTGTCATCCCAGCACTTTGATAAGCTGAGGTGGGAGGATTGCCTGCACTCAGGAGTTCCAGATGAGCCTGGGGCAACATGGACCCACATTCAAAAAGTAAGTATTTAGTTAATTAATACATAGCTTGGAGGGGTGGCATGCACCTGTACTGCCAGGTGTGTGAGAGTCTGAGTTGACAGGATCACATGGGTGTGTGGTGCCTGGGCTGCAGTGGGCTGAGATCGTGGGGCTGCTGTCCAACCTAGAAGACAGAGTAAGACCCATTCTCGGAAAACAAACAAAAAAACAGTCACATTAGGTAAATTAAAACTATGTAGTGTGAGGAGAATCAAAATAAACGAAACATCATTAGAGCCTACGCGATGTGATGAAGGAAACCAGCTTTCACATAATAACAGCCCCGGCTGGGGAGAACAATGAGAAAGGGCAGAGAGAACCCTGTAAATAATACCACGCCAAATTCCCCAAATGAGTTAAAACACATAAAAGTACGAAGAGTGCTTCTTTTCAATTCAATGCCCTTGAATTCAGAATTAGAAAGTAAACCCAGATAGAGAATAGAAAGATAGACGATACAGATGGAGAGAGTGTGGTGGGGAAGCAAGGGAAGGATGAAAGGAGGGGTGTAAAGGAAGGAAAAGAAAAAAGGAAGGGAGAGAGAGTGACAGATGTTCAAAGACACAGATACAAAGTCTACAATGGTTGTAGAGATAGGCATGTGCAAATTGTCGCAGGGAGTGTGGAAAAATATCGGAACCACGGAGACACAGGTGGAGTCAGAGAAAATATACAAACCCGCACAGAGAAATAAACATACGCAACCACAAACACACACGTGCTACTTTAAACACGAAAAGACACCAAGTCCCTGTCGGTACAAATCACAGATGTGCTTCCGAGTTACTGAGGCACGGTGCAAATTTGTCAGTGCCCTTAGCATCTGTGGCCCACGTGCACGGATATTCAGTGGAAGAAGCATTACACAGCCTGTATAATTCAGCACGATCTGTGATAATACCAGAAGAAGGGATCTCATGTGAAATCACTAGACTGAATTGCACGTAGGATTCAAGGAAGAAGCCCAGTCTGCTGCATTCAGTCGGTGGGGTGGCAATATGGCTGAGCCACCAACCCGTGGCACGCCCATCCATCGTAGACAGTTCCTGGTTTGCTACCTGCCTTGGAAAAAGCTCCTCCCCTACCACCACTTTAAAACAGGCTAGCTCCAAAACTAGCCCTGGCATCTATTTACGGTCATTTTCTTATCTATTTACCTCCTAGAAAAATCATTGCAAGACCCTTTCCTCAACATTTTCCTATGCCTTAAATTTGGGGCAACACGTTTTAAGACGACCTCGTTATAGGCAAGTCCCCAGACGTTTCCTAATCTGAGTTGCCCAGAGTGCACACACCAATCTGTTGCCCCATTGCCGCTATAGGGATACCGTACTGGACCACAGTGTCTTTGACATGCACACAGTAGGATACAGGGCAGCTTGAGGGGGCCAAAGGGTTCCGACTGTTTTCAGAATAATTTGCTTAGAACACCTGTTTCTCCTGTGTTTGTGGGTCAGGGGGACGGTAGTCAGAGGAGGACAAGACTCCCGCTCCAGAGCTTCAGAGGTCTGCATAGGAGCAGGGACAAAACCGGGCGATAGATTTTCAAAGCTCAACTGCTTTGACACCGAGCAGGAGGGGTAGAATGCATATTGCAGGCACCACAACAGATTCAGGAACTTTGACTGTCAAACCCTCTTCCCTGAAACAACATAGCTCTTCTCACAGAAGCTGTGCTGACCAGAGTCTATACGGGACAGCAATGTTAGCACTCTAGTAGCGTGTGGTCAACATGGATGCTCGTGTTGGAACTGTTTCATCTGGGAACAGGAAAGAAAGTTCTGCCTCCGACACTGAAATCCTCCTGCCCCATCCTTGACAGAGGCAACCCCTTGTCTTGTGCAGACACACGTGTTCCTGGGAAGCAGCCTCCCACTCGCGAATGAAAGCTGTATGTTTTGTCCTCCTGTGTGAGGCTTGCAAAACATATTCCGCAACTATATTCGCTTTACGTTCTAAACCTTAGGCAAACTATGCTGAAGAGGCCACAGAAAATTTAGGGGCCCTGGGCTCCAGATACAATCTGCAGTGCCAATCACGAGGGAGAATAGAGCCTCACTAGACTTTGCAAGAGCACAAAATGCACTCGTACTGTTGTTAGCTACATACGTTATTGGCTCCTCACCTAACACAGAATCTTGGAGAAAAGCTTAAAACAACTAAAGATGTAAACATCAACAAGAGTGTCCATATCCTGGGTCATCAAGTGACAAGAGAGTCCATGGATGGATTCTCCAACAATCTTATATTCCACTAATCCACCCCCTTTCCCCTCACTTCTGTAAGTTTCTGTTTTCCCTTAGTCATCTATGCCAAAAGCGTATCCTGAATGCCTTCCCACATGCCTCTGTCACCTTTCCCACAGTCCCTCCATACACCTTACATGCCCATTTCTTCTCACGTTGATGTTTCAGAAGTCCTGAGAGGCTGATTGTCCCAGAAAAGGATCATGCATTCACCTTTAAAAGAACATGTGGATTCAACACGAAAGCGAACTTTAAGATTTCCATCATCCTGTGCTTAGCTACTGTGTATGATGATACCCAAAATGAAGGATTTTGGAGGTCCCAGCAAACTGGGCCCTGGAAACCCAGTAACCCCTTTCCTTGAACTATCTCTGCTTCCACAGGACGAAGTCAGCCTCCAACTAAGCTGTCTTTTGCTTTTACCTCTCCCACTCTGTCCTGTAGGAAGAATCCCAACACATCCCACACCCATTCACTCTACAACTTTAGAGGCCCAGCTCCAACGCAGACTGGTTATTTCCATGAAGAGAATAAAGCACGTGGATTGATCAATTCATTATGACACCCGAATAAAGTGGATAAACATACACACACACACACACACAAACACAAAGACACACACACACACACACAGACACAGAGTCACACATCCTTGAGAATGTTTATTTTTCATTCCATACAATCCACATTTACCCCCTCTTCCTGAATTTTTGTGACTCGATCTCTTTTTCCTTTAGTTCCTGTGCATAAGACCATGCTGAGTACTGCCGTCCTGCATATGGCTGTAACTTTTTAGGAGTTCTGCTGTATTAGGTAAAATCTGATGCTCCATCATATTCAACTCAACAACTGGGAGTCCCCTAGAGAAACACAAACTCATGTTAAAACGCATTTTCTCTGAGCCATACTTTGAAATGTTTCAATTGTGGGGCCCGCTGAGAAAAGGATATCCCTTCCCCATTTGTGATCCCTTAAACTTCCTCCTACCACGTGTTACAAACTGTTCTGCGCAATCCCTGCCCCATTCCCAGTATTGTCTGTGAGGGGAGTCAGCTAACAAGATGCACTGGGCCCTAAAAGCACACACAAGTCTGATGGGGCAACAGCTTAAGGAAATCCATCAATCTAAACAGTCCTTTGTGGTTTGGGGCAAGGATGACCAGGACGCACATTCAGGGAGCCCAATCTCATGGGGTTGGTGGGATGACTGCCGGTGGGGTTGACAGCCGTGGAATCAAGTGCCACAGACTGAACTGAATGATTTTCAGCTTTACTTCTCATTGATTCTGGAAATGGACGATTCTTCACTGGGCTTAAGACTCCACAGCTATCACCCGCTTTGCAGTGCAGTCTCTAACGTGCCTTTTCAGCCCAATGCCATGAACGTCCTGGATTCTGTCACTCTCTGTCTTCCTCTCAAGGAATTTCTACATGTACGAAAGGAGCCTCAATTTCTACATTTCTGAAATGAGCACCCAGGCTCCCTGAATAGGCAGGTGTGTCAACCCCCTTATACTGGGCATCAAACAGCTCCAGTGCCAACTAACGGCTCACCTGACGTCTCTGTTCCCTCTTCAGGTGGCTTCATCCTCTTGTAGTATTGCAGGGGATTGCGCCACAGGTCCTTACATAGGATCTGTCAGGGGACTCAATCGGGAAAGGCCTCATCAGGGCTCAGAAAGGTGACCCAAGCAGCTGGGAACACACGGGGTCATTCCTCATGTTTCCCAGTGAGGACTCACCTCAGCAATCTTGTTAGATCCTGCGAAGTTGTGGTCAGAGAACCAGTTGAAGAAGTTAAGGCTGCTGTTGTGGTGTCTGCGGCAATAGGCCTCCACTTCATAATCCGGATACCACTCAATTGGAGTGGAATGAGAAGCCCTGTATTCTACAGAGACAGGAGTTTTTGTGGGAAGGGGGCTGGATCCCGTTGGCAATGATCCACCCACCATCTTCCTTCCACTACCCATCCTGGGAGCCACCTGTCACCTGTGATGTTCACCAGATATTCCTTGGTAATCACTTTATTCTGGAAGTAGGGGTTACTCCGAAAGAACAACATGATCTTGCAGAGATGAACAGGATGCTTCTCTTCTTCCACCTGTCAGGACAAGGTGGAGAAAGCTTAGATAGGTTTTCGGGTGAGGTGCTCACTCTTGCTTACAGGAATGAATTATTTCCCTTACCCTCCCCCGCTAAACCCTCTAGCCCCAGTCTTCCTGGCCTCACCTCCAGGCTGACCATGTAGCTCAGCATGTCTTCATCTTCGTCAGTGATCAGGGCTGACATCTGGGGGTGGTTTGCAATCTGATTTAGGTCAAAGAGACTTTACACACGATGGAAGGGAAAGCGAGGAGCAACAGGGAAGAAGGCCTAAGAGCACCCAGAGGCTGGGGTAGGGGATTTCTCAGATCTGCTTCCATGTATGATCTCCTTTCGCCTCCCCGTCCCCGTAAACTAAGGCCTCCTGTGTTCACAGAGGGTGTATGATTCTGAGGCTGACTGCACTGACATGGGGAGGCGCGATTTGCAGAGACTTGCTGGTGTCTGAGGAGTGGCAGAATCTGCTTATAGCCGAAGACGCCCAGTCCCAGATCGGACTAGCAAGGGGCAGCAATCACACTCCCTTAAAAATAGCTTCATTCACTGAAAAACCTCTTCCGCTCTGAACTCGCTTCTGCTCTTCAAAAAGATGCCCCAAACGTCTGCTGCTCGGCATCACCAAGGGTTTCTCTGCCGCATGCAGGACAATAGTACCCACGCCTGCTCCGGCTTTCCACAGCCACACTGGTCCGTGGCAACTCCCCTTTGTTCCCCAAAGAGTCACATCGACGCCGAGCTGCCCATCGGTCACTTACACTTCCCCGAGAGCACCTCTCCACTAGAAAGGCCGAAGAAACACTGAGAAGGATACAACATTGGCCCAGAAGCCAGGGACGCTCTGGATGACGGCGCCTCTGCGGTCTAGGTGGGGCTTGCGCCTCCGCTCCATCTTTTCCCGCTGCCGAGAAAAGGCCTTCCTGGCTTGGGCATTAACCGGCTCCAGCTCCACCTGAACGGCCAGCAGCTCCTCCAGTGCAGACTCTGGGGTCATGGGCCCAGGGCCAGGCACAGCCTGCTGTGCCCGCTGGGCCTCCTCCCGCCGCTCCACGAGGCCCTCCTCCTCCGCCACCACCTCCACCTCCGCCATTATGTCATCCAACAGCAGCACCGCCTCCTCCCCCAAAGCCGCCTGCTCACTCTCCACCCCGGCCGCCCCCTCCTGCACAGCCTCCATCCTGAAGGCGGTGCCCTCCTTGGCACTCGCACACACCAAGGCCTGTGCTGCCCGACCCACGCCACAGAAACCCTGCCGCAGCCTCTCTGGCACCCGATAGGTCAGCGAGCCCTCAGGGCGCATGCGCCGGGCTTCCAGGCGCCCCCTAAGGGACTGCGCGCGAAGGGCCGGGGGGCCGCACCCAGGCCGACTTCCTCCGGTCGTGGCCAATCAATGGGAGGGCGGTGGGCGTCTCCCTGGGCGGCACAGCCACTGGCGGGCCTGCATCTCCAGCCCCCCCACCCCCCGCCTTCCCTGCCCAAGCCTCCTCCGAGAAGCCCTTGGAGCTTGTGCCGGGTAGCTAGGCATCCGGGCACACGCGGGCTGCGTGGCCTTTGGAATTGTGGGCATGGCAGCCCTGTGCCCTGACATCCTCAGTGTGGCAAGCCATGAACATCTCTATGTGTCATGAACACAGGAAACATCTCTCTTCGTTAGGCAGGCCAGGTAGATGGTACGGAGGTAATACAGCAGATGCAGAGAACTCTCTCTGGTTGCTGGGGCTAGGGCGGCAGGGGTGTCCTGGGGGAAGTGATCGGGGCGGGCACGTGGGAGGAAAGTCGCCTGCCGGTGCTGAGGTGGAATTGATCTGCTGTAGAGGCCAGAGCCCCGGCACACACTCTCACAGGTCGAGGCAAATAGAGGCTCCGAGTACCATGCTTCCTCCCTGAGGATGCTGTACTCCAAGGAGCATTCCAAAGGGCCTCTTGTCCTATGCCCTGGGCACACCAGAGGCCAGCCGCCAGGGTTGGCCATTGTCGGCCTGCGCGCACGCTGTTGTGCGCTGCCTTGACGACCCAGAGGCTCCCGCACCCGCAGCAGCGGTTGCGGTGCCTGTTGGTGGGGCTCTGCAAGCCCAGGGCCGGGGCCTCTGGCTCCCGAGCTCCTGTGCGCAGTTGAGCCTGCTGGGGACCGGAGCCCTTTGGCCAGTGCGGGATCTGCGGGTCCAGCGGAGCTCCTCAGGAAACCTGGGTCCACGTAGGTGTGGGACCAGGTTCACAGCAGGGCGACGCCCGTGGGTCTTGCAGGGAGCGGGTCTGCTGGGGAGCGGGCCCCCAGAGCCTACGGGTGCGGGGCATGGGCTGGGCTGGGCTGGGCTGCGCAGGCCCAGGGTCTGTGGGAGCACCCAGGAGAAAACCGTGTTCAGGCTGGAGGCAATGCTGGAGAGGACGGCCGGGGTACAGAGCAAGGAGGCGGCCTTGGAAGAGGAGGCGGTGCTGAAGGTGGAAGACATCATGGCTGAGGTGGAGGTGGTGGTTGAGGTGGAGCCCGACGTGGGGTGGCAGAAGGAGGGCCAGCGGGCACAGCCTGGCCCTGGACCGAGCACACCGGGGCCGTCAATGGACTCGCTGGAGGTCCTTCACTTGGAGCTGGGCTCCGTGAATGCCCTAGGCCACAGAGCATCTCCGCCTTGTGAGCCAGAGCCATATCCTTGCGGCTGCCGATTTGGGATGGCGGGCAGCAGGGGATAGTCATCGGGCCTCGGGGGGTATGGGGGCTGTTTGCGGGGAGCAGCCAGGTGGGAGGCACGTGGGGTCAGCCAGGAGGCAGGGGATGGGGGACAGCGTGGGAGCCGAGGCCACGTTCCCGCAGCTGTGAGGGCAGCTCGCTTGTAGCAGCCCTGGGAGCACGTGGTAGGGAAGGGGAGCCAGGGCCAGCACTGACAAGGGAGAATCGCGGCGCCAAGGTCCCTTTGCGCACAGCCCAAATTCGAAGGACGCGTTTCCCTGGGAACGTCCCTGGAGGACGGGGAATCTGTATGCCATTACCAGCCATTGAACCACCCCTGCTCTCGGTGCCTGTTTCCAGCAGGCTCACCCCAGAAACACAAGGTGCTTAAGACGGGTTCGCGGCGCATGGGGCTGCCGACCACCTGACGGCGGGCACCAGCTCCGCAGATGCGCATTCATCCAACTGCAGGCGCTGCACTCAAAGGCGTGTAGGCCCTGAGCCTGTATAACTTCCTCTGGACCCACGCAATTCCCTTGGAGAGCGCCAGGCACGACCCTGCTGTGGCTTCTAACTACAAGGCTTCCCTCAGGTGGACAGGCCCACCCCTCAGGGAGACTAGGATAAGAGGACACCACACACCCGGACATCAGCGGAGCATGTCCAGCACCCAGCACACAAAGGCCTCCTGCATCTCAGAAACCCAGAGAAGCAGCCGCCTCACACCACCCCCGGTCCCTCCCGTCCCTCAGCTGCAACCACCTGCCCACTTTTTCTGCCTCCCGTCTCTGGTCAGCCCAGGCCGTCTTGGCCGGGGTCCACCCACTCCAAAAACCACCACAGTTGTGGCGTTGCCTCCTCGCCAGACAGAGATAGAGGGCCAACAATGAAGGGTGACTGGCCAAATGTCTGGGAGATGGCCCTGTTCCACATTGTCTGTGTTCTTGCGAAATTGCAAGGCGTCACGAGGCTTGCCCACCCAATCCTCTGGAGAGTTCTTGCGCAGAGGTAGATTGTTTGGCACACGAGATGTCGGCGTGGGTCGGAAAGCATGCGGAAGTCCTGCTTTGCTACGTGATGGATTTGCAGGTCAGGCTGGGGAGCCTGGGTCTGTGGGAGGAGTCCAGTGTCTGAGTCAGTTTGAGGTCCCCCTGGGGACCAGGGTTGTCTCAGTGGGAGAGCTGGGAAGGGGAAACTCATGGTTCACTACAGCTAGTAGGCCACCTCAGCCCGGCTAGTTGAGATGGTCCCATTGAATCCATCCTCTTTCTCCTTGATCCGGCAGGTGGAGGAACTCAGCCATCCCGGTTACCGGTGGCAGGATGATTTCCTTTCATCCCAACCTTTATTTCCACAGTGAAATCATCATGAAGGAGCACTGTGTTGGCATCCTCGGTAAGGAATGCCTCCCAGCATGGTAGGGGAGCTGGTGTGTGGGAGGGTGGGACTGGCATGAACCTTCCTGACTCCTCTCCCTGCAGGCTACAGGGTGTCTCATTCCACTGCAGTCCAGCGGTTCTGGGATCACGAAGGTCAAGCCTCCAGCTGCAGGCAGTACACCTCCTACCTGAGCTCATTCAGCTGTTTGGCTGAACATGACTGCCCGGGTTTTGGCAGGATTGCTGAGGTGGGGTTCGCCGTGGGGCATCATGGGAAAGGACCTAGCTGGTCATTCCTTGGTCTCTGGGGAATTGGCTTTGAACTGTCACCTGAACTGTCCTGGACCCACTTCTGCAGTCCCCTAGATCATCAGCCAGGGCCTATGGCTCAATCCATTGCAGTTCTATCCCATGGAGAGAGGGTCAGCCCTAGAGGCGGAACAGAGAGGAGGCCAGGCGAGCAGCCTAGGGCTGGGAAGGGCTGGGAACTGAGAGGCCTTTTGACCTGGATCTGGGCCCCACATGGAGAACCCAAGGATCCGGGAGGAGACTGCAGTGAGCAATCCCAGGCAATCCGTGGGTTGGGGGAGAGAGGCCCATCAGGGACATGTAACACCCACATTTCAGGATCGGGGCACCTTAAGCCACTATGATGCATATGTGGCTAAAGTCAGTGGGTGACAAGCAGGGCTTAAGGGATAGCTGTCTCATCATTACTCGCCAGCTCCCTGCCCTGCGGTAAGACCTGCTACCACCTGGGGCTCATTTTGAGATCAACCAGGGCCCCCTTTTTCTCCACGAGGATGTCCACCTGAGGCCCACCTAGGTCTGTGTCCTTTCACAGTGTTTCTCCCAGGCCAGTCATGTTTTGTTTCCATGACCCCGGCTGCCTTGACATGTGTAATCCTCTCTGCCATCCTCACTCCCGCTGCCCTGCCTTCCCATATAAGTTAGTCCACCTCACACGGAATCTGGAGGACCACACTGGGCTCCAGTGTGAGGCAATGTTTTATTTTCTTCAGGTACATGTATTTTAGGGCTACCTCCAGGGCTGGGAATGTGAAGAGATTGCCAAATGGCTGGGGACCTTCAGTGTGTGTCCAGGGAGGGAACCCGGCTGGGAATTAAGGCCCACCTGAGTAATGGTATGGACATCCAGTGTCAGTTATCTTGATAAAGGCCTGCTTTCTTACATCACCTACTATTAATATAAAAGTTAATTCCTTAGAATATTGAAAAAACAAATCTATGTATGAAGAAATATAATTTGTTCATAATTGTATGGAAAAAGCTGCCGACCGATCCATTTTCCATTACAATTCTTATGGGAGACTTGAAGGGTTTAGCAAGTTTTAAGATGCATTTCTATTCGTCTACTCCTGCCAGTTTTTATGATCATTTTTGTAATACAAGGACATGGCCTCTGGAAAGTTTTTGAGGGACTTTCAGCTTCTTTTAGGGTAGATACTTGTAAATTTTGAATTGTTTTCCCCTGCGGTTCTTTTGAGGTTACTCTTCGTACTTTCTTTGGGGGGTGTTAAATTTGTTTTCTTGTTTTGCCCTTGTGGAACTTTCGTTTTCAAGGAATTGTGTGTGTGTGTGTGTGTGTGTGTGTGTGTGTGTGTGTGTTAGATATGGGAGTTAGCCTGTGAGCATGTTTTCGAATATGGATTTTTTTTTTACTTATCAATTTTGGGGGTGTGTGTGTGTGTGTGTGTGTGTGTGTGTGTGTGTGTTTGTTTCTTTTCAGTTGGAGTCTCACTGTGTCATCCAGGCTGCAGTCAAGTGGCAAACTCTCAGATCACTGCAACCTCTCCCTCCAGCTTCAAAGGATTCCTCTGCCTGCTGATGCTGTTTTTCCCCCACATGAGGAGAACATGCAGACAGTTATAAAAAATTCTGTGCCTGGGTAGGTATGAAAATATAATTTCAATGAATGGTAAATTTCACAAATACAGTTTCACATTTGTATTTTGCAACATTTTGAAAATTTTAGTTGCTGACACATGAAATTCTGTGTTGACTTTCATGTTAAATGTACACTTTTGAATCAATTTCAACAGTGACAACTAGCGAAGGCCAAGCGTTAGTTCAGGAAGCTGAAAGCAGTCGATCTGTAAAAAAAACCATATTTATTGAAGGTATATTTAGAGAGATTTTAGAAGGCTTCAGTCAATATTTTTGTTTCTGTTGCTCTGGTGTTTTATCATACAGGGACCAGACTGTAGCATCAGTAGCTATAGTTACAAGGCTACCAAAGACTCAGTGCTATAGAAATTATTATTGTGGAAATTGGCAGCCTGGCTGTCTGTTTGAGGAGACTAGAGGACTTAGGAGTTTCCACCCAAAGTACAAGGGCCTGGTTTAGTGGGTGGCCTTCTTTTGCTGAAGTAGATAAGATCCAGGAGAAGGGTGGATTCACTGTAGTAGCCAGGGCTTTGAGACTGGTAAAGCTTATTTGTCTCCTAGTGCCATTGCCAGATATTGGTCTGTGCATAAAGGCACTTCCCGGACTCGCTGACTCCTGTAAATTCAAATGTAGAATTTAGATTTAAATCCCTATTCCAACTTCTTAAACTTAGATCTAATAGGTGGTTAATAAAATATGTATTCAGAAGAAAGGGAGACGTCAGGTAGGTATATAAGCAAATCATCCTGGTCAAATACCTTCAAAAATATTACTACAAAAAATTACTGAAGATTAAACCTTAAAAAAGTTATTTTAATTGGAGAAACAGAAAAAGGTTGGAGTCATTTTAAACCCTGAGGTGTAAAGGTACTGTTATTAGATTACAGGAATTATATACAATGAATAATTTGTGGGAAGAGCAGCATACTATCTCTTTAGTATGGCTAGAGATTCATAAGCCGTGTAAGAAAACTCAGAGATTGAGAAGAAAATGTTTTCAGGGATTTTGTTCTGTTATGAAAGACTTTTAAAATGGTTTCCTACTGATCAATGATTCACTTATATTTATCACTGAGGCATATGCTATATACCCTTCTATATAGGGATGAAGTTATAGTTTCTATCATGTAGATACAAAAACATGTGACTCTCTACCACATTTGCATTAGAGCCTTTGGCATGATTAATGAAGCAAACGGTGGAACTGTCTACGTCAGGTTACAGGTGGGCACAGCTGGAAGCTTCCGTCCCTTGCACTTTAACATTTCTGCATTCTCATCTGTCTCTCCTGGAAAGAAAACGGACTATAACTATCCTAAAGGACATATGTTACATGAAGACACTAAGTATTGAGATAAGACCATGAGTTGTCTTATCAGTGTCTTGGCATTACATTTATATGTATAACTTATACAAAAAATCCAGTTTATTTTATCACGATTACATATTACATCCCACATTTATGTATTTTATTATCTTTCCAGTGACTGTTTTGTTTTGTTTTGTTTTGTTTTGTTTTGAAATCTCGTTCCACTCTGTCACTCAGTCTGGAATGCAGTGGCCTGATCTCAGCTCACTGCAACCTCCATCTCTTGGGTTCAAGGATTTTAAAAATTAGTAAAGAATTTTCAATTGAGTTAGCAGAAGTAAAAATAAACTTAAGTGGAAATAGAACAACAAAATTGTAAACACTATTTCTCAGCAATTCATAGATTATCATACTAGGAATTGAAATGTACTTAGAACTCAATGATACCGCCAATATTAAAGATTAAATCTGTGAGTAGCAAGAAAAGTGATATTACAATAGGAGTTTACAGACAAATATTTCTCTAATAACTTGAAAATTAATGTACTAGATATTTCAATAAAGAATTAGAAAAGAAACAACAGAATCAATTCTGAAAAACTAAAGTGTGGGAATAATGATGTAGACAAAATTAGTAAAACATACAAAGCTAACCTTTGCTTGTTGGAGAAATATAATAAATGATGCAACCGTCAGTCAAGTTTAGAAAAAAAGGGAGAAAACATAGATAAAACTAAGAATTTAAAAGGTACACAACCATAGATACAGCATAGATTAAGAAGCTAATAAGGAAATATCGTTAACACCTTAACCTACAAATTTGAAAACTTAGATCAAATAGACAGATATTTATAATCTGTCTATATATATAGACATATATATCGCTTTCTATATATATTTTCATATTTATACATAATTTTTATATTTGTATCTTACATTTATATATATAATATATAAACATAAGCTATGTATATAGCTTAGTAAAATTGATACAAGAAGACATATATAATCTGTATAGTCTCATAAATGTTCAAGGAAATAAAGGATTCTTCCTAGAGATAAAACGCTAGGCTCAGATTTTTTTCCCCAGGCAGAGCATTTCAATATATATGAAGAATTCTATAGAATAAAAAAGGGAAAATCCTAAACTCATTGTGTGAAGCAAGCAGAACTTTGACGCCAACAAGCCATAAACTGAGTGTAGAAAAAGATATGAAAATTAAGGCCATTCTCATTCCTGAAGCAAATCGTAAAATCCCAAATGTAACAAGATTTATGTGGATTCTTTGAGGGTTAGAAGGAAATTTCCTTCTGCCAGATCCTGCTACTCTGGGACAACCCACACACAAATTTATGTTTTGAGGTTTTCTGTAATACCCATGCAATATGGAACTGGCTTGACAATCTGTGTGATAGCCAGCCTGTGGCCATGACTTCTCAGGGACACAAATCTTTTCTGTTTGCCTCCTTGTTCTGCTCAGCTCCAAGAGAACTTTGACCAAAGTTCCTTGAGCTTGGAAATAGGAATGGGTTTGCTTCTGTTTCACCCTTACTGTGAAGATACAGTCCGGTGGAATCCAGATCCACTGGGAGAGAGTCGGCTATTAAACTCTTTTCATGAGTAGTCCCTAGGCCTTGACTGGAGTCTTTCTTGAGATATGAGGCTAATAGTTCCTTCTTGGTCCACCACTTTTTGATATAATTAATGCTTCTTCTATTGGGAATTTTTAATTGTTTGGGAAGTGACATGGTTTGGTGTGTCTCCATTCAAATCTCAGCTTCAATTGTATCTCCCAGAATTCCCTCGTGTTGCGGGTGGGACCCAGGGGGAGGTAATTGAATCATGGGGGTCGGTCTTTCTCATGCTATTCTTGTGACAGTGAAGAAGTCTCACGGGATCTGATGGGTTTTTCAGGGGTTTCTGCCTCAGGTTCTTCCTCATTCTCTCTTGGCATTGCCATGTAAGAAGTGCCTTTATTCGTATACCATGATTCTGAGGCCTCCACAGCCATGTGGAACTGTCAGTCCAATTAAACCTCCTTTTATTCCCAGTTTCAGGTATCTCTTCTTCAGCAGCGTGAAAATGAACTAAGACAGGAGGTTTGGTCCAAATAACCTTGGCTTCCATGATAGAAGATAGAAGTTGCTGAAATGTTTAATCTTTTCTGTGGCAACCTTTTGCAGTGGGTCTTATTTTTCTCATTTTTTTTTCTTGTTCTCTTCACCTTTGTTTCTCACAGGGTACTCTCGCTCTGTAGACCAGGCTGGAGCGCAGTGGCAGGATCTCAGCTCAACACATCCTCCGCCTCCCAGGTTCAGCCTCTGCAGTAGCTGGGATTACAAGCATGCATCACCACGCTCAGCTAATGTTTTGTATTTTTAGTAGAAGCCAGGCTTCACCATGTTGGCCAGGCTGCTCTCCTACTACAGATCTCAGGTGACCCGCCCGACTCAGCTTCCCAAAATCCAAAGTGCTGGGAATACAGGTGTGAGCCACCGAGCCCAGCCAACTCCAGTATTTTTTACCTAAGCCAGTGGACGAGTGGAGTTGCCTTTATTTTTTTTTTCATGGTCTCGCTGTGTCATCCAGGCTGGAAGGCAGTAGTCTGATCTTGGCTTACTATACAATCTCTGCCACCCATGTTCAGGTGGTTCTCCTACCTCAGCCTCCCAAGTAGCTGGGACCACAGGAAAGTGCCACTAGGTCTGGCTAATTTTTGTATTTTTGGTAGAGACAGCTTTTTGCCATGTTGCCCATGCTGGTCTCCAACTCCTGACCTCAAGTGACCCACCAACCTCGGCCTCCCAAAATGTAGAAATTACAACAAGAGCCACGAAGCCTGGCCTGGAGTTGTGGCTTTTTGACATAAGAAATCTGTGGAGGGAAAAGCTTGGTTTGTGGGAGCACCTGAGCTCAGTTTGGCTCAAAGGTTTGGGATACCTATTATTGAGTGGCAGTGATGGTATGTTGTTAATGTACAATATCTTCCTGTATATAGCATACGTCTATGCTCATCAGATATTTTCAGGTAAAAAAAAGATAGTCTTTCCAGTAGTTTGAGCCATTATAGCAATTTCCACCAGGGGATTTCAAAGTCCAATTCCAGTTGTGGGCAACAGTGATTAACATAATGGTAATTAATGAGAAGAGATTTTGAGACGTCCAGCCACGTTTCCATGTCAGTGCCTTGTTTGCAGTATTATGAAGAAAGAGTGCATTGGACTAGATACTAAGAAAAACATTGAATTATTTTTCTTGCCTCTATAACATCAAAGGACAATTAGAGATATAGAAACTATGGAACATTTCACAGCATGGCTTGACATTTCACTGAACTTTTATCCTTTTAACCATGTACAAAGTTTGTTACCTATGCAAAGGTAGGACTGCAAAAGGAAGACAGAGGTGGAGTCAGAGGTCACAATCCACAGCAAGGTGACACTCTTGTTGATCGCACCTTGAAAGCCAAATTAGAGCGAGAATTAACTTTCCGGTTGCCGTAAGAGAACAAGGAGAATGAAGCTACCAGCAGTTAACAGTATTGGATTAATTGAAATGAAGGTGGACAGAGTTTTTTGGCTTTCCATCAAGTTGAGTAAAGAAAAGGTAACCGCTTATCTAATTTCACACACATACAATTATGGATTAATTAAAAGATTACACAACCCATATATTATGGGTTTCTCATATAAGTGTATATATACATGGGCAAACTCACAGTGTGCCAGTATGTGTCTATATCCAAATATATACAAATCCATGTCCAACAGTTAGCAAGTGAGAAATTCTCTTCCATTTCACCATTCCCTTTCCTAGAATTTTTTCATAAATATAATTTTTCCATATATTTGAAGCCTACTCTCTGGAGGCATGTAATGCATGCATGCAGTAAACCTGTGCGATATCACAATGTTGGTGTCAGAGAAAACTATAACACCGATGTTATAAAAGATTAATTGTGAGGAGAAAGTTATGCTTCGCATTACTACAAATACACAAGTATGATTTCATCCAAAGCTGAAATCAGTCAATATAATTTGTTTTTAATGTTTTATTTAAAATCCTTAATTTCAACAGGATTACTCAAGAAAAATAACGTTATTGGTATTAAATAATGTTGATGTATTCCCTTTAATTGTTGATTATTTAAAATGTCAGTAAAATAGTAAATGGCACTGTACAATGTAGTTTCATGAAGCATTCTTTATAGTTTTCATAAAATTGATAGTCTCCATGGAATATTTTAAGACTGAGGAAGTTCCATATATCATTTGATTGTACTTTCACTTTATTACTTGCTTGCATGTCATAACTGATGGAAATAAAACTATGTATATTTACAAATATGAAAAACATGGACTTTTGTTTACGTTTTCTAGTGAGACACAGTTACCAATAATTTTATCTATATAGGAAAATTTTTACAAACCCAAAGTTCTAATGTTTCTTTTCTTTGAAGTTTCGTATTTCAGTCTAGGTATGTAATGGAATTGGCTGTGATCATTCTTTGATTTCACTGTTATTTGTGAGTTTCTGATATGCTTTTAGGAATGTATAGAGCTTAACGCTTGCTTTCTTCTTCTTCCTCTACCTTTGGACCTGTATATGCGATGTCTGCAGTAATGTGCAGTGCTATCTGACATACGGTTGCTGAAAGATACAAGCATATATAGAATTCTTCGTTTCAGTGAATCTTTAGGAACAGACAAGTAACCTGAGAGATAATTACGGTATGAATGTAAGCAAGCAGTTTATCATAGAGGTACAATAAGGGTGAAAATAAATTTAAAAATACATGCCTCATCCAAAACATGAGGTAGTAAAAATGAAAAATTTAAGTTGGCATAAAGAACACTTTAAAAGTTCTGATTCTTTCTGGTGAGAGCAAGGAGCTCAGAAACCATGAGAAAGTCCTTCAAAGCTGCATGTTGGATTTGCAGGTCAGGATGGAAAGCCTGGGTCTGGGGGAGGGTGCTAAGGTCCTGGTCAGGTTGAGGTCCTTCTGGGGCTCAGGTGTGTCTCAGCGGGAAAGCTGGGAAGGGGAAACGCATGCTTCACCCCGGCTAGAATGCCACCTCAGCCCACCTAGATGAAATTGCCCCTTCACAGCCCTGTTTCTCCTTCTTGGACAGGCAGGTGGAGGAACTCGGCCACCCTGAATACAAGGGGTAGGAAGAAGTTTGCCTTTCATCACAACATTTACTTCGGAAACAAAGTGACGACTAAGGAGTATTGCGTTGGCATCCTCCCTGAGGAGTAGAGGGGGTAGTACCTCGGAAGCTGGGCCTGGCGTGCGCCTTCCTGACTCGTCTCCCTCCAGGATACAGGGCGACTGGCTCCACTGCAGTCCAGTGGTTCTAGGGTCATGCAGGTGAAAGCCCGAGTTTCCCGCAGGTCACTGCCTGAGCTTCTTCAGCTGGTTGTCTGACTGTGAGGGCCCAGGTTACGGCACGATTGCTGAGGTGGGGCAGCTATGGGGCATCATGGCAAAGGACCTTCTTCGACATTCCTTGGCATCGGAGGAATTGGCTTTGAACCAGAACCTGACCTGTCACGACCAATTTGCCCAGTCCACCAGATCATCAGCCAGGGCCTGTGGCTCTATATTCTGCAGCACTACCCAAGGGAGTTAGGCCCTCAGAGAGGGAACAGAGAAGAGGCCAGGGAAGCAGCCCAGGGCTGGGGGTTGACAGGCCTGTGGGTCCTGGAGTTAGGACACACATAGAGAAGCCAAGGCTCAGGGAGGAGACTGCAGTAAGGAAACTCAGGCCATCATGGGCTGGTGGAGAAATGCCCATCAGGGAACTGTGGTACCCACATTTCACGATGGGGGAACCGTAATCTGCTTAATAGGCACAAGTAGCTAAGGTCAATGGGTGGGAAGCCAGGGTCAAGAGATAGCTCCCTCATCATCCCTTGCTAGCTACTTCCCTGTCCTGAGGCTTGCTTCTACCTGGGGTTCAGTTTGGGCTCAACCAGGGATCTCTCACCCTCCACACAGATGCCCACCTGAGGCCTCTCTAGGTCTGCGTCCTCCCAGAATGACTCTCCCAGGCCTGCTAAGTACCGTTTGGATGACACCACGCTCCACTGACATACTTGGTTCCCTCCGCCATCCTCATTCACCCAGCAACTCCCCACCCCAAAAAAGGCAGGCCACCGCACAGGGAATCTGGAGGACCACACAGGGCTCACAGGGGAGGAAATGTGAAGAGATGGCAAAACAGAACAGGACATTCCGTGTGTTTCCAGAAGGCAATCTGGCTGGATATTAAGGCCCACCTCAGTATTGGTGAGGACACCCAGTGTCTCTTGGCCCTGAGCTTGTGCACACAAACACGCACATTGTCTAAACGGCATTGACATCACTACTACCTGAGTCATCCTCAGATTCTATACAACCCCTGTAAAAATATCAATGACACATTCTTCTTAGAAAACAATCTGGGAATCCCAAATTTGCTATGAAATGGCAGAAGATCCTGAAAACCCAGAGCAATCCAGTAAAAAGCACAAAGCTGGAGCCACCCCACTACCTAACTTCATGATATACTACTACAAAACTTTTTGTACCAAAATACAATAGCACTGGCAGAAAAGCAGAGACTAGAGCTTAGGAAAAACAACAGGAGCCCAGAACTAAGTCACTGCATTTGCAGCTCACAGCCTTTTCCCAAAGAAGCAAGAACGCCCAATGCAAAATCAAGTATCTTCTATAAACTAGGTTGGGGAAATCTGAATAGCCACACAAAGGATTTTACAAGTGGATTATTTATCACCAAACTCCAGTGTCAGATGTGAAACGATAAAAATAGCAGAAGAGATCACAAGGAAGAAGCTCCATGGCGTCCGTGTGTGCAATGATGGTCTCAAAGTGACTGCAAGAACACAGTAAACACCATCAAAAATAGAGAATGGAATCATATCAAACTAAAGTGCTTCACCACACCATAGAAAACTCAACATACAGAAGGGGCATCCTACAGGATGGGAGCAATGATTGGATCACCATACATCTGTTCATGGGGGAATAGTCACAGTACATAAGGAACTCCCAACAACTCAATAGCATGAAAACAAATGGGCGAAGGCTGCGAAGACTCATTTGTGAAACTGAGACATACAGTTGCCCAGAAGACACACTAAAAATTCCTCATTATCCCCAATCCATCACGAAAATGCAAATCAAAAACACAATGAGATTTCTTCTCACTTCAGTCAGAATGCATATTATCCGAAAGACAAACAAACAAAAAAAAAAAAAGAAAGAAAAGAAAACCCTAATCTCTGGTGAGGAGGCAGAGAAAACGAATTCCCTGCTCACTTTTGGGGAGAATGTAAATTAGTGCTGGCATTAAAGAAGCTTTATGGCTCTTATTTAAGTATAAACAGCCTTCAGAAATCTACAAGTAGAACCACCCACTATATGATCCAGCAAATCAGAATACCCGGGCACGCCCGCCAGTACACAGATCAGTATGTTGAAGCGGTGCGCGCACCCATGCAATTATTGCTGCACTCATTACATTTTTGCTGTAGCCAAAATGCGGAAGCAACCTGAGTGTCCCTCCATTGATAAGTGGATTAAAAAATGGGGCAAAAACGCATATGCGCAACGGAAATATGCGCTGCAATAAGAAATCAGGAAATCCTGCCAGTTGTGAGAATGTGTGGGAATCTGCTGAATGTGTGCATGCCATTCTGTTAAGTGACATAAGCCAGGTATCAGAAAGGAAAATAGCACATGATCTCATTCTTATATGAAATCAAAAAAGCGGACTTCACAGAAGTAGTGACTCCAATGACTGCGGTGAAGAGGGTGCACTGACGAGATGCTGGATGAAGAACTCATACTTCTAGTTATAAAGGAGGAATAGGTTAAAAATATTTTCTTCAGCATGCTCACTATAACTAGTGGTAACATATTCTTTCTCTAAAAATATTCGAATACAGTGCAAGTCAAGTTTTTTCACAACAAAAATGACAACTATGTGAGGTCACACATATGTTGATTGGCTGGATGTATCCAATGCATAATGTATATGACCTGTTGAACATCACGCCTTAAGTTGTAAATATGTATCATTTCATATGACATTTTTTAAACAAACATACAATTTTTAAAATGCCTTAACAAAATAAATGCAAATAAAATATTTTATTATAAAGCAGTGCTTTTCTTTTCTAGCAAAGTCTTTTTCATGACACAGGAAAGAATGCAAGCCGTTTCGTAACTTGAGAAATAAATACATATGTGTACATGTATATATATACGTATATACATGTATATACGTATATAAATGTGCATATATACGTATATACATGTATATACGTATATATGTGTGTACATAGGTATTCTTATATAAATGTGCATATATACGTATATACATGTATATACGTATATATGTGTGTACATAGGTATTCTTATATAGGTGTATATATATATGAAAATCCCAATGAATGCTGATGATGAGTTGAAAGATAGAAATTCCAGGCACAGAGACTACAGTCCATGAATTGAAACCTTCAGTGCATGTTTCAAAACAAGACGTGAGGAGGAGGAAGAAAAAAGCAAAAAACACAAAGCCATGGCAGGGCCATGGGTCACACCTGTCATCCCAGCACTTTGATAAGCTGAGGTGGGAGGATTGCCTGCACTCAGGAGTTCCAGATGAGCCTGGGGCAACATGGACCCACATTCAAAAAGTAAGTATTTAGTTAATTAATACATAGCTTGGAGGGGTGGCATGCACCTGTACTGCCAGGTGTGTGAGAGTCTGAGTTGACAGGATCACATGGGTGTGTGGTGCCTGGGCTGCAGTGGGCTGAGATCGTGGGGCTGCTGTCCAACCTAGAAGACAGAGTAAGACCCATTCTCGGAAAACAAACAAAAAAACAGTCACATTAGGTAAATTAAAACTATGTAGTGTGAGGAGAATCAAAATAAACGAAACATCATTAGAGCCTACGCGATGTGATGAAGGAAACCAGCTTTCACATAATAACAGCCCCGGCTGGGGAGAACAATGAGAAAGGGCAGAGAGAACCCTGTAAATAATACCACGCCAAATTCCCCAAATGAGTTAAAACACATAAAAGTACGAAGAGTGCTTCTTTTCAATTCAATGCCCTTGAATTCAGAATTAGAAAGTAAACCCAGATAGAGAATAGAAACATAGACGATACAGATGGAGAGAGTGTGGTGGGGAAGCAAGGGAAGGATGAAAGGGGTGTAAAGGAAGGAAAAGAAAAAAGGAAGGGAGAGAGAGTGACAGATGTTCAAAGACACAGATACAAAGTCTACAATGGTTGTAGAGATAGGCATGTGCAAATTGTCGCAGGGAGTGTGGAAAAATATCGGAACCACGGAGACATAGGTGGAGTCAGAGAAAATATACAAACCCGCACAGAGAAATAAACATACGCAACCACAAACACACACGTGCTACTTTAAACACGAAAAGACACCAAGTCCCTGTCGGTACAAATCACAGATGTGCTTCCGAGTTACTGAGGCACGGTGCAAATTTGTCAGTGCCCTTAGCATCTGTGGCCCACGTGCACGGATATTCAGTGGAAGAAGCATTACACAGCCTGTATAATTCAGCACGATCTGTGATAATACCAGAAGAAGGGATCTCATGTGAAATCACTAGACTGAATTGCACGTAGGATTCAAGCAAGAAGCCCAGTCTGCTGCATCGACTCCGTGGGGTGGCAATATGGCTGAGCCACCAACCCATGGCACGCCCATCCATCGTAGACAGTTCCTGGTTTGCTACCTGCCTTGGAAAAACCTCCTCCCCTACCACCACTTTAAAAAAGGCTAGCTCCAAAACTAGCCCTGGCATCTATTTACGGTCATTTTCTTATCTATTTACCTCCTAGAAAAATCATTGCAAGACCCTTTCCTCAACATTTTCCTATGCCTTAAATTTGGGGCAACACGTTTTAAGACGACCTCGTTATAGGCAAGTCCCCAGATGTTTCCTAATCTGAGTTGCCCAGAGTGCACACACCAATCTGTTGCCCCATTGCCGCTATAGGGATACCGTACTGGACCACAGTGTCTTTGACATGCACACAGTAGGATAGAGGGCAGCTTGAGGGGGCCAAAGTGTTCCGACTGTTTTCAGAATAATTTGCTTAGAACACCTGTTTCTCCTGTGTTTGTGGGTCAGGGGGACGGTAGTCAGAGGAGGACAAGACTCCCGCTCCAGAGCTTCAGAGGTCTGCATAGGAGCAGGGACAAAACCAGGCGATAGATTTTCAAAGCTCAACTGCTTTGACACCGAGCAGGAGGGGTAGAATGCATATTGCAGGCACCACAACAGATTCAGGAACTTTGACTGTCAAACCCTCTTCCCTGAAACAACATAGCTCTTCTCACAGAAGCTGTGCTGACTGGAGTCTATACAGGACAGCAATGTTAGCACTCTAGTAGCGTGTGGTCAACATGGATGCTCGTGTTGGAACTGTTTCATCTGGGAACAGGAAAGAAAGTTCTGCCTCCGACACTGAAATCCTCCTGCCCCATCCTTGACAGAGGCAACCCCTTGTCTTGTGCAGACACACGTGTTCCTGGGAAGCAGCCTCCCACTCGCGAATGAAAGCTGTATGTTTTGTCCTCCTGTGTGAGGCTTGCAAAACATATTCCGCAACTATATTCGCTTTACGTTCTAAACCTTAGGCAAACTATGCTGAAGAGGCCACAGAAAATTTAGGGGCCCTGGGCTCCAGATACAATCTGCAGTGCCAATCACGAGGGAGAATAGAGCCTCACTAGACTTTGCAAGAGCACAAAATGCACTCGTACTGTTGTTAGCTACATACGTTATTGGCTCCTCACCTAACACAGAATCTTGGAGAAAAGCTTAAAACAACTAAAGATGTAAACATCAACAAGAGTGTCCATATCCTGGGTCATCAAGTGACAAGAGAGTCCATGGATGGATTCTCCAACAATCTTATATTCCACTAATCCACCCCCTTTCCCCTCACTTCTGTAAGTTTCTGTTTTCCCTTAGTCATCTATGCCAAAAGCGTATCCTGAATGCCTTCCCACATGCCTCTGTCACCTTTCCCACAGTCCCTCCATACACCTTACATGCCCATTTCTTCTCACGTTGATGTTTCAGAAGTCCTGAGAGGCTGATTGTCCCAGAAAAGGATCATGCATTCACCTTTAAAAGAACATGTGGATTCAACACGAAAGCGAACTTTAAGATTTCCATCATCCTGTGCTTAGCTACTGTGTATGATGATACCCAAAATGAAGGATTTTGGAGGTCCCAGCAAACTGGGCCCTGGAAACCCAGTAACCCCTTTCCTTGAACTATCTCTGCTTCCATAGGACGAAGTCAGCCTCCAACTAAGCTGTCTTTTGCTTTTACCTCTCCCACTCTGTCCTGTAGGAAGAATCCCAACACATCCCACACCCATTCACTCTACAACTTTAGAGGCCCAGCTCCAACGCAGACTGGTTATTTCCATGAAGAGAATAAAGCACGTGGATTGATCAATTCATTATGACACCCGAATAAAGTGGATAAACATACACACACAGACACACACACACACAAACACAAAGACACACACACACACACAGACACAGAGTCACACATCCTTGAGAATGTTTATTTTTCATTCCATACAATCCACATTTACCCCCTCTTCCTGAATTTTTGTGACTCGATCTCTTTTTCCTTTAGTTCCTGTGCATAAGACCATGCTGAGTACTGCCGTCCTGCATATGGCTGTAACTTTTTAGGAGTTCTGCTGTATTAGGTAAAATCTGATGCTCCATCATATTCAACTCAACAACTGGGAGTCCCCTAGAGAAACACAAACTCATGTTAAAACGCATTTTCTCTGAGCCATACTTTGAAATGTTTCAATTGTGGGGCCCGCTGAGAAAAGGATATCCCTTCCCCATTTGTGATCCCTTAAACTTCCTCCTACCACGTGTTACAAACTGTTCTGCGCAATCCCTGCCCCATTCCCAGTATTGTCTGTGAGGGGAGTCAGCTAACAAGATGCACTGGGCCCTAAAAGCACACACAAGTCTGATGGGGCAACAGCTTAAGGAAATCCATCAATCTAAACAGTCCTTTGTGGTTTGGGGCAAGGATGACCAGGACGCACATTCAGGGAGCCCAATCTCATGGGGTTGGTGGGATGACTGCCGGTGGGGTTGACAGCCGTGGAATCAAGTGCCACAGACTGAACTGAATGATTTTCAGCTTTACTTCTCATTGATTCTGGAAATGGACGATTCTTCACTGGGCTTAAGACTCCACAGCTATCACCCGCTTTGCAGTGCAGTCTCTAACGTGCCTTTTCAGCCCAATGCCATGAACGTCCTGGATTCTGTCACTCTCTGTCTTCCTCTCAAGGAATTTCTACATGTACGAAAGGAGCCTCAATTTCTACATTTCTGAAATGAGCACCCAGGCTCCCTGAATAGGCAGGTGTGTCAACCCCCTTATACTGGGCATCAAACAGCTCCAGTGCCAACTAACGGCTCACCTGACGTCTCTGTTCCCTCTTCAGGTGGCTTCATCCTCTTGTAGTATTGCAGGGGATTGCGCCACAGGTCCTTACATAGGATCTGTCAGGGGACTCAATCGGGAAAGGCCTCATCAGGGCTCAGAAAGGTGACCCAAGCAGCTGGGAACACATGGGGTCATTCCTCATGTTTCCCAGTGAGGACTCACCTCAGCAATCTTGTTAGATCCTGCGAAGTTGTGGTCAGAGAACCAGTTGAAGAAGTTAAGGCTGCTGTTGTGGTGTCTGCGGCGATAGGCCTCCACTTCATAATCCGGATACCACTCAATTGGAGTGGAATGAGAAGCCCTGTATTCTACAGAGACAGGAGTTTTTGTGGGAAGGGGGCTGGATCCCGTTGGCAATGATCCACCCACCATCTTCCTTCCACTACCCATCCTGGGAGCCACCTGTCACCTGTGATGTTCACCAGATATTCCTTGGTAATCACTTTATTCTGGAAGTAGGGGTTACTCCGAAAGAACAACATGATCTTGCAGAGATGAACAGGATGCTTCTCTTCTTCCACCTGTCAGGACAAGGTGGAGAAAGCTTAGATAGGTTTTCGGGTGAGGTGCTCACTCTTGCTTACAGGAATGAATTATTTCCCTTACCCTCCCCCGCTAAACCCTCTAGCCCCAGTCTTCCTGGCCTCACCTCCAGGCTGACCATGTAGCTCAGCATGTCTTCATCTTCGTCAGTGATCAGGGCTGACATCTGGGGGTGGTTTGCAATCTGATTTAGGTCAAAGAGACTTTACACACGATGGAAGGGAAAGCGAGGAGCAACAGGGAAGAAGGCCTAAGAGCACCCAGAGGCTGGGGTAGGGGATTTCTCAGATCTGCTTCCATGTATGATCTCCTTTCGCCTCCCCCTCCCCTTAAACTAAGGCCTCCTGTGTTCACAGAGGGTGTATGATTCTGAGGCTGACTGCACTGACATGGGGAGGCGCGATTTGCAGAGACTTGCTGGTGTCTGAGGAGTGGCAGAATCTGCTTATAGCCGAAGACGCCCAGTCCCAGATCGGACTAGCAAGGGGCAGCAATCACACTCCCTTAAAAATAGCTTCATTCACTGAAAAACCTCTTCCGCTCTGAACTCGCTTCTGCTCTTCAAAAAGATGCCCCAAACGTCTGCTGCTCGGCATCACCAAGGGTTTCTCTGCCGCATGCAGGACAATAGTACCCACGCCTGCTCCGGCTTTCCACAGCCACACTGGTCCGTGGCAACTCCCCTTTGTTCCCCAAAGAGTCACATCGACGCCGAGCTGCCCATCGGTCACTTACACTTCCCCGAGAGCACCTCTCCACTAGAAAGGCCGAAGAAACACTGAGAAGGATACAACATTGGCCCAGAAGCCAGGGACGCTCTGGATGACGGCGCCTCTGCGGTCTAGGTGGGGCTTGCGCCTCCGCTCCATCTTTTCCCGCTGCCGAGAAAAGGCCTTCCTGGCTTGGGCATTAACCGGCTCCAGCTCCACCTGAACGGCCAGCAGCTCCTCCAGTGCAGACTCTGGGGTCATGGGCCCAGGGCCAGGCACAGCCTGCTGTGCCCGCTGGGCCTCCTCCCGCCGCTCCACGAGGCCCTCCTCCTCCGCCACCACCTCCACCTCCGCCATTATGTCATCCAACAGCAGCACCGCCTCCTCCCCCAAAGCCGCCTGCTCACTCTCCACCCCGGCCGCCCCCTCCTGCACAGCCTCCATCCTGAAGGCGGTGCCCTCCTTGGCACTCGCACACACCAAGGCCTGTGCTGCCCGACCCACGCCACAGAAACCCTGCCGCAGCCTCTCTGGCACCCGGTAGGTCAGCGAGCCCTCAGGGCGCATGCGCCGGGCTTCCAGGCGCCCCCTAAGGGACTGCGCGCGAAGGGCCGGGGGGCCGCACCCAGGCCGACTTCCTCCCGTCGTGGCCAATCAATGGGAGGGCGGTGGGCGTCTCCCTGGGCGGCACAGCCACTGGCGGGCCTGCATCTCCAGCCCCCCCACCCCCCGCCTTCCCTGCCCAAGCCTCCTCCGAGAAGCCCTTGGAGCTTGTGCCGGGTAGCTAGGCATCCGGGCACACGCGGGCTGCGTGGCCTTTGGAATTGTGGGCATGGCAGCCCTGTGCCCTGACATCCTCAGTGTGGCAAGCCATGAACATCTCTATGTGTCATGAACACAGGAAACATCTCTCTTCGTTAGGCAGGCCAGGTAGATGGTACGGAGGTAATACAGCAGATGCAGAGAACTCTCTCTGGTTGCTGGGGCTAGGGCGGCAGGGGTGTCCTGGGGGAAGTGATCGGGGCGGGCACGTGGGAGGAAAGTCGCCTGCCGGTGCTGAGGTGGAATTGATCTGCTGTAGAGGCCAGAGCCCCGGCACACACTCTCACAGGTCGAGGCAAATAGAGGCTCCGAGTACCATGCTTCCTCCCTGAGGATGCTGTACTCCAAGGAGCATTCCAAAGGGCCTCTTGTCCTATGCCCTGGGCACACCAGAGGCCAGCCGCCAGGGTTGGCCATTGTCGGCCTGCGCGCACGCTGTTGTGCGCTGCCTTGACGACCCAGAGGCTCCCGCACCCGCAGCAGCGGTTGCGGTGCCTGTTGGTGGGGCTCTGCAAGCCCAGGGCCGGGGCCTCTGGCTCCCGAGCTCCTGTGCGCAGTTGAGCCTGCTGGGGACCGGAGCCCTTTGGCCAGTGCGGGATCTGCGGGTCCAGCGGAGCTCCTCAGGAAACCTGGGTCCACGTAGGTGTGGGACCAGGTTCACAGCAGGGCGACGCCCGTGGGTCTTGCAGGGAGCGGGTCTGCTGGGGAGCGGGCCCCCAGAGCCTACGGGTGCGGGGCATGGGCTGGGCTGGGCTGGGCTGCGCAGGCCCAGGGTCTGTGGGAGCACCCAGGAGAAAACCGTGTTCAGGCTGGAGGCAATGCTGGAGAGGACGGCCGGGGTACAGAGCAAGGAGGCGGCCTTGGAAGAGGAGGCGGTGCTGAAGGTGGAAGACATCATGGCTGAGGTGGAGGTGGTGGTTGAGGTGGAGCCCGACGTGGGGTGGCAGAAGGAGGGCCAGCGGGCACAGCCTGGCCCTGGACCGAGCACACCGGGGCCGTCAATGGACTCGCTGGAGGTCCTTCACTTGGAGCTGGGCTCCGTGAATGCCCTAGGCCACAGAGCATCTCCGCCTTGTGAGCCAGAGCCATATCCTTGCGGCTGCCGATTTGGGATGGCGGGCAGCAGGGGATAGTCATCGGGCCTCGGGGGGTATGGGGGCTGTTTGCGGGGAGGAGCCAGGTGGGAGGCGCGTGGGGTCAGCCAGGAGGCAGGGGATGGGGGACAGCGTGGGAGCCGAGGCCACGTTCCCGCAGCTGTGAGGGCAGCTCGCTTGTAGCAGCCCTGGGAGCACGTGGTAGGGAAGGGGAGCCAGGGCCAGCACTGACAAGGGAGAATCGCGGCGCCAAGGTCCCTTTGCGCACAGCCCAAATTCGAAGGACGCGTTTCCCTGGGAACGTCCCTGGAGGACGGGGAATCTGTATGCCATTACCAGCCATTGAACCACCCCTGCTCTCGGTGCCTGTTTCCAGCAGGCTCACCCCAGAAACACAAGGTGCTTAAGACGGGTTCGCGGCGCATGGGGCTGCCGACCACCTGACGGCGGGCACCAGCTCCGCAGATGCGCATTCATCCAACTGCAGGCGCTGCACTCAAAGGCGTGTAGGCCCTGAGCCTGTATAACTTCCTCTGGACCCACGCAATTCCCTTGGAGAGCGCCAGGCACGACCCTGCTGTGGCTTCTAACTACAAGGCTTCCCTCAGGTGGACAGGCCCACCCCTCAGGGAGACTAGGATAAGAGGACACCACACACCCGGACATCAGCGGAGCATGTCCAGCACCCAGCACACAAAGGCCTCCTGCATCTCAGAAACTCAGAGAAGCAGCCGCCTCACACCACCCCCGGCCCCTCCCGTCCCTCAGCTGCAACCACCTGCCCACTTTTTCTGCCTCCCGTCTCTGGTCAGCCCAGGCCGTCTTGGCCGGGGTCCACCCACTCCAAAAACCACCACAGTTGTGGCGTTGCCTCCTCGCCAGACAGAGATAGAGGGCCAACAATGAAGGGTGACTGGCCAAATGTCTGGGAGATGGCCCTGTTCCACATTGTCTGTGTTCTTGCGAAATTGCAAGGCGTCACGAGGCTTGCCCACCCAATCCTCTGGAGAGTTCTTGCGCAGAGGTAGATTGTTTGGCACACGAGATGTCGGCGTGGGTCGGAAAGCATGCGGAAGTCCTGCTTTGCTACGTGATGGATTTGCAGGTCAGGCTGGGGAGCCTGGGTCTGTGGGAGGAGTCCAGTGTCTGAGTCAGTTTGAGGTCCCCCTGGGGACCAGGGTTGTCTCAGTGGGAGAGCTGGGAAGGGGAAACTCATGGTTCACTACAGCTAGTAGGCCACCTCAGCCCGGCTAGTTGAGATGGTCCCATTGAATCCATCCTCTTTCTCCTTGATCCGGCAGGTGGAGGAACTCAGCCATCCCGGTTACCGGTGACAGGATGATTTCCTTTCATCCCAACCTTTATTTCCACAGTGAAATCATCATGAAGGAGCACTGTGTTGGCATCCTCGGTAAGGAATGCCTCCCAGCATGGTAGGGGAGCTGGTGTGTGGGAGGGTGGGACTGGCATGAACCTTCCTGACTCCTCTCCCTGCAGGCTACAGGGTGTCTCATTCCACTGCAGTCCAGCGGTTCTGGGATCACGAAGGTCAAGCCTCCAGCTGCAGGCAGTACACCTCCTACCTGAGCTCATTCAGCTGTTTGGCTGAACATGACTGCCCGGGTTTTGGCAGGATTGCTGAGGTGGGGTTCGCCGTGGGGCATCATGGGAAAGGACCTAGCTGGTCATTCCTTGGTCTCTGGGGAATTGGCTTTGAACTGTCACCTGAACTGTCCTGGACCCACTTCTGCAGTCACCTAGATCATCAGCCAGGGCCTATGGCTCAATCCATTGCAGTTCTATCCCATGGAGAGAGGGTCAGCCCTAGAGGCGGAACAGAGAGGAGGCCAGGCGAGCAGCCTAGGGCTGGGAAGGGCTGGGAACTGAGAGGCCTTTTGACCTGGATCTGGGCCCCACATGGAGAACCCAAGGATCCGGGAGGAGACTGCAGTGAGCAATCCCAGGCAATCCGTGGGTTGGGGGAGAGAGGCCCATCAGGGACATGTAACACCCACATTTCAGGATCGGGGCACCTTAAGCCACTATGATGCATATGTGGCTAAAGTCAGTGGGTGACAAGCAGGGCTTAAGGGATAGCTGTCTCATCATTACTCGCCAGCTCCCTGCCCTGCGGTAAGACCTGCTACCACCTGGGGCTCATTTTGAGATCAACCAGGGCCCCCTTTTTCTCCACGAGGATGTCCACCTGAGGCCCACCTAGGTGTATGTCCTTTCACAGTGTTTCTCCCAGGCCAGTCATGTTTTGTTTCCATGACCCCGGCTGCCTTGACATGTGTAATCCTCTCTGCCATCCTCACTCCCGCTGCCCTGCCTTCCCATATAAGTTAGTCCACCTCACACGGAATCTGGAGGACCACACTGGGCTCCAGTGTGAGGCAATGTTTTATTTTCTTCAGGTACATGTATTTTAGGGCTACCTCCAGGGCTGGGAATGTGAAGAGATTGCCAAATGGCTGGGGACCTTCAGTGTGTGTCCAGGGAGGGAACCCGGCTGGGAATTAAGGCCCACCTGAGTAATGGTATGGACATCCAGTGTCAGTTATCTTGATAAAGGCCTGCTTTCTTACATCACCTACTATTAATATAAAAGTTAATTCCTTAGAATATTGAAAAAACAAATCTATGTATGAAGAAATATAATTTGTTCATAATTGTATGGAAAAAGCTGCCGACCGATCCATTTTCCATTACAATTCTTATGGGAGACTTGAAGGGTTTAGCAAGTTTTAAGATGCATTTCTATTCGTCTACTCCTGCCAGTTTTTATGATCATTTTTGTAATACAAGGACATGGCCTCTGGAAAGTTTTTGAGGGACTTTCAGCTTCTTTTAGGGTAGATACTTGTAAATTTTGAATTGTTTTCCCCTGCGGTTCTTTTGAGGTTACTCTTTGTACTTTCTTTGGGGGGTGTTAAATTTGTTTTCTTCTTTTGCCCTTGTGGAACTTTCGTTTTCAAGGAATTGTGTGTGTGTGTGTGTGTGTGTGTGTGTGTGTGTGTGTGTGTTAGATATGGGAGTTAGCCTGTGAGCATGTTTTCGAATATGGATTTTTTTTTTACTTATCAATTTTGGGGGTGTGTGTGTGTGTGTGTGTGTGTGTGTGTGTTTGTTTCTTTTCAGTTGGAGTCTCACTGTGTCATCCAGGCTGCAGTCAAGTGGCAAACTCTCAGATCACTGCAACCTCTCCCTCCAGCTTCAAAGGATTCCTCTGCCTGCTGATGCTGCTTTTCCCCCACATGAGGAGAACATGCAGACAGTTATAAAAAATTCTGTGCCTGGGTAGGTATGAAAATATAATTTCAATGAATGGTAAATTTCACAAATACAGTTTCACATTTGTATTTTGCAACATTTTGAAAATTTTAGTTGCTGACACATGAAATTCTGTGTTGACTTTCATGTTAAATGTACACTTTTGAATCAATTTCAACAGTGACAACTAGCGAAGGCCAAGCGTTAGTTCAGGAAGCTGAAAGCAGTCGTTCTGTAAAAAAAACGATATTTATTGAAGGTATATTTAGAGAGATTTTAGAAGGCTTCAGTCAATATTTTTGTTTCTGTTGCTCTGGTGTTTTATCATACAGGGACCAGACTGTAGCATCAGTAGCTATAGTTACAAGGCTACCAAAGACTCAGTGCTATAGAAATTATTATTGTGGAAATTGGCAGCCTGGCTGTCTGTTTGAGGAGACTAGAGGACTTAGGAGTTTCCACCCAAAGTACAAGGGCCTGGTTTAGTGGGTGGCCTTCTTTTGCTGAAGTAGATAAGATCCAGGAGAAGGGTGGATTCACTGTAGTAGCCAGGGCTTTGAGACTGGTAAAGCTTATTTGTCTCCTAGTGCCATTGCCAGATATTGGTCTGTGCATAAAGGCACTTCCCGGACTCGCTGACTCCTGTAAATTCAAATGTAGAATTTAGATTTAAATCCCTATTCCAACTTCTTAAACTTAGATCTAATAGGTGGGTAATAAAATATGTATTCAGAAGAAAGGGAGACGTCAGGTAGGTATATAAGCAAATCATCCTGGTCAAATACCTTCAAAAATATTACTACAAAAAATTACTGAAGATTAAACCTTAAAAAAGTTATTTTAATTGGAGAAACAGAAAAAGGTTGGAGTCATTTTAAACCCTGAGGTGTAAAGGTACTGTTATTAGATTACAGGAATTATATACAATGAATAATTTGTGGGAAGAGCAGCATACTATCTCTTTAGTATGGCTAGAGATTCATAAGCCGTGTAAGAAAACTCAGAGATTGAGAAGAAAATGTTTTCAGGGATTTTGTTCTGTTATGAAAGACTTTTAAAATGGTTTCCTACTGATCAATGATTCACTTATATTTATCACTGAGGCATATGCTATATACCCTTCTATATAGGGATGAAGTTATAGTTTCTATCATGTAGATACAAAAACATGTGACTCTGTACCACATTTGCATTAGAGCCTTTGGCATGATTAATGAAGCAAACGGTGGAACTGTCTACGTCAGGTTACAGGTGGGCACAGCTGGAAGCTTCCGTCCCTTGCACTTTAACATTTCTGCATTCTCATCTGTCTCTCCTGGAAAGAAAACGGACTATAACTATCCTAAAGGACATATGTTACATGAAGACACTAAGTATTGAGATAAGACCATGAGTTGTCTTATCAGTGTCTTGGCATTACATTTATATGTATAACTTATACAAAAAATCCAGTTTATTTTATCACGATTACATATTACATCCCACATTTATGTATTTTATTATCTTTCCAGTGACTGTTTTGTTTTGTTTTGTTTTGTTTTGTTTTGAAATCTCGTTCCACTCTGTCACTCAGTCTGGAATGCAGTGGCCTGATCTCAGCTCACTGCAACCTCCATCTCTTGGGTTCAAGGATTTTAAAAATTAGTAAAGAATTTTCAATTGAGTTAGCAGAAGTAAAAATAAACTTAAGTGGAAATAGAACAACAAAATTGTAAACACTATTTCTCAGCAATTCATAGATTATCATACTAGGAATTGAAATGTACTTAGAACTCAATGATACCGCCAATATTAAAGATTAAATCTGTGAGTAGCAAGAAAAGTGATATTACAATAGGAGTTTACAGACAAATATTTCTCTAATAACTTGAAAATTAATGTACTAGATATTTCAATAAAGAATTAGAAAAGAAACAACAGAATCAATTCTGAAAAACTAAAGTGTGGGAATAATGATGTAGACAAAATTAGTAAAACATACAAAGCTAACCTCTGCTTGTTGGAGAAATATAATAAATGATGCAACCGTCAGTCAAGTTTAGAAAAAAAGGGAGAAAACATAGATAAAACTAAGAATTTAAAAGGTACACAACCATAGATACAGCATAGATTAAGAAGCTAATAAGGAAATATCGTTAACACCTTAACCTACAAATTTGAAAACTTAGATCAAATAGACAGATATTTATAATCTGTCTATATATATAGACATATATATCGCTTTCTATATATATTTTCATATTTATACATAATTTTTATATTTGTATCTTACATTTATATATATAATATATAAACATAAGCTATGTATATAGCTTAGTAAAATTGATACAAGAAGACATATATAATCTGTATAGTCTCATAAATGTTCAAGGAAATAAAGGATTCTTCCTAGAGATAAAACGCTAGGCTCAGATTTTTTTCCCCAGGCAGAGCATTTCAATATATATGAAGAATTCTATAGAATAAAAAAGGGAAAATCCTAAACTCATTGTGTGAAGCAAGCAGAACTTTGACGCCAACAAGACATAAACTGAGTGTAGAAAAAGATATGAAAATTAAGGCCATTCTCATTCCTGAAGCAAATCGTAAAATCCCAAATGTAACAAGATTTATGTGGATTCTTTGAGGGTTAGAAGGAAATTTCCTTCTGCCAGATCCTGCTACTCTGGGACAACCCACACACAAATTTATGTTTTGAGATTTTCTGTAATACCCATGCAATATGGAACTGGCTTGACAATCTGTGTGATAGCCAGCCTGTGGCCATGACTTCTCAGGGACACAAATCTTTTCTGTTTGCCTCCTTGTTCTGCTCAGCTCCAAGAGAACTTTGACCAAAGTTCCTTGAGCTTGGAAATAGGAATGGGTTTGCTTCTGTTTCACCCTTACTGTGAAGATACAGTCCGGTGGAATCCAGATCCACTGGGAGAGAGTCGGCTATTAAACTCTTTTCATGAGTAGTCCCTAGGCCTTGACTGGAGTCTTTCTTGAGATATGAGGCTAATAGTTCCTTCTTGGTCCACCACTTTTTGATATAATTAATGCTTCTTCTATTGGGAATTTTTAATTGTTTGGGAAGTGACATGGTTTGGTGTGTCTCCATTCAAATCTCAGCTTCAATTGTATCTCCCAGAATTCCCTCGTGTTGCGGGTGGGACCCAGGGGGAGGTAATTGAATCATGGGGGTCGGTCTTTCTCATGCTATTCTTGTGACAGTGAAGAAGTCTCACGGGATCTGATGGGTTTTTCAGGGGTTTCTGCCTCAGGTTCTTCCTCATTCTCTCTTGGCATTGCCATGTAAGAAGTGCCTTTATTCGTATACCATGATTCTGAGGCCTCCACAGCCATGTGGAACTGTCAGTCCAATTAAACCTCCTTTTATTCCCAGTTTCAGGTATGTCTTCTTCAGCAGCGTGAAAATGAACTAAGACAGGAGGTTTGGTCCAAATAACCTTGGCTTCCATGACAGAAGATAGAAGTTGCTGAAATGTTTAATCTTTTCTGTGGCAACCTTTTGCAGTGGGTCTTATTTTTCTCATTTTTTTTTTCTTGTTCTCTTCACCTTTGTTTCTCACAGGGTACTCTCGCTCTGTAGACCAGGCTGGAGCGCAGTGGCAGGATCTCAGCTCAACACATCCTCCGCCTCCCAGGTTCAGCCTCTGCAGTAGCTGGGATTACAAGCATGCATCACCACGCTCAGCTAATGTTTTGTATTTTTAGTAGAAGCCAGGCTTCACCATGTTGGCCAGGCTGCTCTCCTACTACAGATCTCAGGTGACCCGCCCGACTCAGCTTCCCAAAATCCAAAGTGCTGGGAATACAGGTGTGAGCCACCGAGCCCAGCCAACTCCAGTACTTTTTACCTAAGCCAGTGGACGAGTGGAGTTGCCTTTATTTTTTTTTTTCTTTTTTCAGTCATGGTCTCGCTGTGTCATCCAGGCTGGAGTGCAGTAGTCTGATCTTGGCTTACTATACAATCTCTGCCACCCATGTTCAGGTGGTTCTCCTGCCTCAGCCTCCCAAGTAGCTGGGACCACAGGAAAGTGCCACTAGGTCTGGCTAATTTTTGTATTTTTGGTAGAGACAGCTTTTTGCCATGTTGCCCATGCTGGTCTCCAACTCCTGACCTCAAGTGACCCACCAACCTCGGCCTCCCAAAATGTAGAAATTACAACAAGAGCCACGAAGCCTGGCCTGGAGTTGTGGCTTTTTGACATAAGAAATCTGTGGAGGGAAAAGCTTGGTTTGTGGGAGCACCCGAGCTCAGTTTGGCTCAAAGGTTTGGGATACCTATTATTGAGTGGCAGTGATGGTATGTTGTTAATGTACAATATGTTCCTGTATATAGCATACGTCTATGCTCATCAGATATTTTCAGGTAAAAAAAAGATAGTCTTTCCAGTAGTTTGAGCCATTATAGCAATTTCCACCAGGGGATTTCAAAGTCCAATTCCAGTTGTGGGCAACAGTGATTAACATAATGGTAATTAATGAGAAGAGATTTTGAGACGTCCAGCCACGTTTCCATGTCAGTGCCTTGTTTGCAGTATTATGAAGAAAGAGTGCATTGGACTAGATACTAAGAAAAACATTGAATTATTTTTCTTGCCTCTATAACATCAAAGGACAATTAGAGATATAGAAACTATGGAACATTTCACAGCATGGCTTGACATTTCACTGAACTTTTATCCTTTTAACCATGTACAAAGTTTGTTACCTATGCAAAGGTAGGACTGCAAAAGGAAGACAGAGGTGGAGTCAGAGGTCACAATCCACAGCAAGGTGACACTCTTGTTGATCGCACCTTGAAAGCCAAATTAGAGCGAGAATTAACTTTCCGGTTGCCGTAAGAGAACAAGGAGAATGAAGCTACCAGCAGTTAACAGTATTGGATTAATTGAAATGAAGGTGGACAGAGTTTTTTGGCTTTCCATCAAATTGAGTAAAGAAAAGGTAACCGCTTATCTAATTTCACACACATACAATTATGGATTAATTAAAAGATTACACAACCCATATATTATGGGTTTCTCATATAAGTGTATATATACATGGGCAAACTCACAGTGTGCCAGTATGTGTCTATATCCAAATATATACAAATCCATGTCCAACAGTTAGCAAGTGAGAAATTCTCTTCCATTTCACCATTCCCTTTCCTAGAATTTTTTCATAAATATAATTTTTCCATATATTTGAAGCCTACTCTCTGGAGGCATGTAATGCATGCATGCAGTAAACCTGTGCGATATCACAATGTTGGTGTCAGAGAAAACTATAACACCGATGTTATAAAAGATTAATTGTGAGGAGAAAGTTATGCTTCGCATTACTACAAATACACAAGTATGATTTCATCCAAAGCTGAAATCAGTCAATATAATTTGTTTTTAATGTTTTATTTAAAATCCTTAATTTCAACAGGATTACTCAAGAAAAATAACGTTATTGGTATTAAATAATGTTGACGTATTCCCTTTAATTGTTGATTATTTAAAATGTCAGTAAAATAGTAAATGGCACTGTACAATGTAGTTTCATGAAGCATTCTTTATAGTTTTCATAAAATTGATAGTCTCCATGGAATATTTTAAGACTGAGGAAGTTCCATATATCATTTGATTGTACTTTCACTTTATTACTTGCTTGCATGTCATAACTGATGGAAATAAAACTATGTATATTTACAAATATGAAAAACATGGATTTTTGTTTACGTTTTCTAGTGAGACACAGTTACCAATAATTTTATCTATATAGGAAAATTTTTACAAACCCAAAGTTCTAATGTTTCTTTTCTTTGAAGTTTCGTATTTCAGTCTAGGTATGTAATGGAATTGGCTGTGATCATTCTTTGATTTCACTGTTATTTGTGAGTTTCTGATATGCTTTTAGGAATGAATAGAGTTTAACGCTTGCTTTCTTCTTCTTCCTCTACCTTTGGACCTGTATATGCGATGTCTGCAGTAATGTGCAGTGCTATCTGACATACGGTTGCTGAAAGATACAAGCATATATAGAATTCTTCGTTTCAGTGAATCTTTAGGAACAGACAAGTAACCTGAGAGATAATTACGGTATGAATGTAAGCAAGCAGTTTATCATAGAGGTACAATAAGGGTGAAAATAAATTTAAAAATACATGCCTCATCCAAAACATGAGGTAGTAAAAATGAAAAATTTAAGTTGGCATAAAGAACACTTTAAAAGTTCTGATTCTTTCTGGTGAGAGCAAGGAGCTCAGAAACCATGAGAAAGTCCTTCAAAGCTGCATGTTGGATTTGCAGGTCAGGATGGAAAGCCTGGGTCTGGGGGAGGGTGCTAAGGTCCTGGTCAGGTTGAGGTCCTTCTGGGGCTCAGGTGTGTCTCAGCGGGAAAGCTGGGAAGGGGAAACGCATGCTTCACCCCGGCTAGAATGCCACCTCAGCCCACCTAGATGAAATTGCCCCTTCACAGCCCTGTTTCTCCTTCTTGGACAGGCAGGTGGAGGAACTCGGCCACCCTGAATACAAGGGGTAGGAAGAAGTTTGCCTTTCATCACAACATTTACTTCGGAAACAAAGTGATGACTAAGGAGTATTGCGTTGGCATCCTCCCTGAGGAGTAGAGGGGGTAGTACCTCGGGAGCTGGGCCTGGCGTGCGCCTTCCTGACTCGTCTCCCTCCAGGATACAGGGCGACTGGCTCCACTGCAGTCCAGTGGTTCTAGGGTCATGCAGGTGAAAGCCCGAGTTTCCCGCAGGTCACTGCCTGAGCTTCTTCAGCTGGTTGTCTGACTGTGAGGGCCCAGGTTACGGCACGATTGCTGAGGTGGGGCAGCTATGGGGCATCATGGCAAAGGACCTTCTTCGACATTCCTTGGCATCGGAGGAATTGGCTTTGAACCAGAACCTGACCTGTCACGACCAATTTGCCCAGTCCACCAGATCATCAGCCAGGGCCTGTGGCTCTATATTCTGCAGCACTACCCAAGGGAGTTAGGCCCTCAGAGAGGGAACAGAGAAGAGGCCAGGGAAGCAGCCCAGGGCTGGGGGTTGACAGGCCTGTGGGTCCTGGAGTTAGGACACACATAGAGAAGCCAAGGCTCAGGGAGGAGACTGCAGTAAGGAAACTCAGGCCATCATGGGCTGGTGGAGAAATGCCCATCAGGGAACTGTGGTACCCACATTTCACGATGGGGGAACCGTAATCTGCTTAATAGGCATAAGTAGCTAAGGTCAATGGGTGGGAAGCCAGGGTCAAGAGATAGCTGCCTCATCATCCCTTGCTAGCTACTTCCCTGTCCTGAGGCTTGCTTCTACCTGGGGTTCAGTTTGGGCTCAACCAGGGATCTCTCACCCTCCACACAGATGCCCACCTGAGGCCTCTCTAGGTCTGCGTCCTCCCAGAATGACTCTCCCAGGCCTGCTAAGTACCGTTTGGATGACACCACGCTCCACTGACATGCTTGGTTCCCTCCGCCATCCTCATTCACCCAGCAACTCCCCACCCCAAAAAAGGCAGGCCACCGCACAGGGAATCTGGAGGACCACACAGGGCTCACAGGGGAGGAAATGTGAAGAGATGGCAAAACAGAACAGGACAT
Organism: Homo sapiens; assembly: GCF_000001405.40. Lineage (NCBI taxonomy): Eukaryota > Metazoa > Chordata > Mammalia > Primates > Hominidae > Homo > Homo sapiens. The sequence continues at coordinate 557,793 of NW_025791821.1, read as the reverse complement.
TCCGTGTGTTTCCAGAAGGCAATCTGGCTGGATATTAAGGCCCACCTCAGTATTGGTGAGGACACCCAGTGTCTCTTGGCCCTGAGCTTGTGCACACAAACACGCACATTGTCTAAACGGCATTGACATCACTACTACCTGAGTCATCCTCAGATTCTATACAACCCCTGTAAAAATATCAATGACACATTCTTCTTAGAAAAACAATCTGGGAATCCCAAATTTGCTATGAAATGGCAGAAGATCCTGAAAACCCAGAGCAATCCAGTAAAAAGCACAAAGCTGGAGCCACCACACTACCTAACTTCATGATATACTACTACAAAACTTTTTGTACCAAAATACAATAGCACTGGCAGAAAAGCAGAGACTAGAGCTTAGGAAAAACAACAGGAGCCCAGAACTAAGTCACTGCATTTGCAGCTCACAGCCTTTTCCCAAAGAAGCAAGAACGCCCAATGCAAAATCAAGTATCTTCTATAAACTAGGTTGGGGAAATCTGAATAGCCACACAAAGGATTTTACAAGTGGATTATTTATCACCAAACTCCAGTGTCAGATGTGAAACGATAAAAATAGCAGAAGAGATCACAAGGAAGAAGCTCCATGGCGTCCGTGTGTGCAATGATGGTCTCAAAGTGACTGCAAGAACACAGTAAACACCATCAAAAATAGAGAATGGAATCATATCAAACTAAAGTGCTTCACCACACCATAGAAAACTCAACATACAGAAGGGGCATCCTACAGGATGGGAGCAATGATTGGATCACCATACATCTGTTCATGGGGGAATAGTCACAGTACATAAGGAACTCCCAACAACTCAATAGCATGAAAACAAATGGGCGAAGGCTGCGAAGACTCATTTGTGAAACTGAGACATACAGTTGCCCAGAAGACACACTAAAAATTCCTCATTATCCCCAATCCATCACGAAAATGCAAATCAAAAACACAATGAGATTTCTTCTCACTTCAGTCAGAATGCATATTATCCGAAAGACAAACAAACAAAAAAAAAAAAAGAAAGAAAAGAAAACCCTAATCTCTGGTGAGGAGGCAGAGAAAACGAATTCCCTGCTCACTTTTGGGGAGAATGTAAATTAGTGCTGGCATTAAAGAAGCTTTATGGCTCTTATTTAAGTATAAACAGCCTTCAGAAATCTACAAGTAGAACCACCCACTATATGATCCAGCAAATCAGAATACCCGGGCACGCCCGCCAGTACACAGATCAGTATGTTGAAGCGGTGCGCGCACCCATGCAATTATTGCTGCACTCATTACATTTTTGCTGTAGCCAAAATGCGGAAGCAACCTGAGTGTCCCTCCATTGATAAGTGGATTAAAAAATGGGGCAAAAACGCATATGCGCAACGGAAATATGCGCTGCAATAAGAAATCAGGAAATCCTGCCAGTTGTGAGAATGTGTGGGAATCTGCTGAATGTGTGCATGCCATTCTGTTAAGTGACATAAGCCAGGTATCAGAAAGGAAAATAGCACATGATCTCATTCTTATATGAAATCAAAAAAGCGGACTTCACAGAAGTAGTGACTCCAATGACTGCGGTGAAGAGGGTGCACTGACGAGATGCTGGATGAAGAACTCATACTTCTAGTTATAAAGGAGGAATAGGTTAAAAATATTTTCTTCAGCATGCTCACTATAACTAGTGGTAACATATTCTTTCTCTAAAAATATTCGAATACAGTGCAGGTCAAGTTTTTTCACAACAAAAATGACAACTATGTGAGGTCACACATATGTTGATTGGCTGGATGTATCCAATGCATAATGTATATGACCTGTTGAACATCACGCCTTAAGTTGTAAATATGTATCATTTCATATGACATTTTTTAAACAAACATACAATTTTTAAAATGCCTTAACAAAATAAATGCAAATAAAATATTTTATTATAAAGCAGTGCTTTTCTTTTCTAGCAAAGTCTTTTTCATGACACAGGAAAGAATGCAAGCCGTTTCGTAACTTGAGAAATAAATACATATGTGTACATGTATATATATACGTATATACATGTATATACGTATATAAATGTGCATATATACGTATATACATGTATATACGTATATATGTGTGTACATAGGTATTCTTATATAGGTGTATATATATATATATATATATATATATATATATGAAAATCCCAATGAATGCTGATGATGAGTTGAAAGATAGAAATTCCAGGCACAGAGACTACAGTCCATGAACTGAAACCTTCAGTGCATGTTTCAAAACAAGACGTGAGGAGGAGGAAGAAAAAAGCAAAAAACACAAAGCCATGGCAGGGCCATGGGTCACACCTGTCATCCCAGCACTTTGATAAGCTGAGGTGGGAGGATTGCCTGCACTCAGGAGTTCCAGATGAGCCTGGGGCAACATGGACCCACATTCAAAAAGTAAGTATTTAGTTAATTAATACATAGCTTGGAGGGGTGGCATGCACCTGTACTGCCAGGTGTGTGAGAGTCTGAGTTGACAGGATCACATGGGTGTGTGGTGCCTGGGCTGCAGTGGGCTGAGATCGTGGGGCTGCTGTCCAACCTAGAAGACAGAGTAAGACCCATTCTCGGAAAACAAACAAAAAAACAGTCACATTAGGTAAATTAAAACTATGTAGTGTGAGGAGAATCAAAATAAACGAAACATCATTAGAGCCTACGCGATGTGATGAAGGAAACCAGCTTTCACATAATAACAGCCCCGGCTGGGGAGAACAATGAGAAAGGGCAGAGAGAACCCTGTAAATAATACCACGCCAAATTCCCCAAATGAGTTAAAACACATAAAAGTACGAAGAGTGCTTCTTTTCAATTCAATGCCCTTGAATTCAGAATTAGAAAGTAAACCCAGATAGAGAATAGAAACATAGACGATACAGATGGAGAGAGTGTGGTGGGGAAGCAAGGGAAGGATGAAAGGGGTGTAAAGGAAGGAAAAGAAAAAAGGAAGGGAGAGAGAGTGACAGATGTTCAAAGACACAGATACAAAGTCTACAATGGTTGTAGAGATAGGCATGTGCAAATTGTCGCAGGGAGTGTGGAAAAATATCGGAACCACGGAGACACAGGTGGAGTCAGAGAAAATATACAAACCCGCACAGAGAAATAAACATACGCAACCACAAACACACACGTGCTACTTTAAACACGAAAAGACACCAAGTCCCTGTCGGTACAAATTACAGATGTGCTTCCGAGTTACTGAGGCACGGTGCAAATTTGTCAGTGCCCTTAGCATCTGTGGCCCACGTGCACGGATATTCAGTGGAAGAAGCATTACACAGCCTGTATAATTCAGCACGATCTGTGATAATACCAGAAGAAGGGATCTCATGTGAAATCACTAGACTGAATTGCACGTAGGATTCAAGGAAGAAGCCCAGTCTGCTGCATTCACTCGGTGGGGTGGCAATATGGCTGAGCCACCAACCCGTGGCACGCCCATCCATCGTAGACAGTTCCTGGTTTGCTACCTGCCTTGGAAAAAGCTCCTCCCCTACCACCACTTTAAAACAGGCTAGCTCCAAAACTAGCCCTGGCATCTATTTACGGTCATTTTCTTATCTATTTACCTCCTAGAAAAATCATTGCAAGACCCTTTCCTCAACATTTTCCTATGCCTTAAATTTGGGGCAACACGTTTTAAGACGACCTCGTTATAGGCAAGTCCCCAGACGTTTCCTAATCTGAGTTGCCCAGAGTGCACACACCAATCTGTTGCCCCATTGCCGCTATAGGGATACCGTACTGGACCACAGTGTCTTTGACATGCACACAGTAGGATAGAGGGCAGCTTGAGGGGGCCAAAGTGTTCCGACTGTTTTCAGAATAATTTGCTTAGAACACCTGTTTCTCCTGTGTTTGTGGGTCAGGGGGACGGTAGTCAGAGGAGGACAAGACTCCCGCTCCAGAGCTTCAGAGGTCTGCATAGGAGCAGGGACAAAACCGGGCGATAGATTTTCAAAGCTCAACTGCTTTGACACCGAGCAGGAGGTGTAGAATGCATATTGCAGGCACCACAACAGATTCAGGAACTTTGACTGTCAAACCCTCTTCCCTGAAACAACATAGCTCTTCTCACAGAAGCTGTGCTGACCAGAGTCTATACGGGACAGCAATGTTAGCACTCTAGTAGCGTGTGGTCAACATGGATGCTCGTGTTGGAACTGTTTCATCTGGGAACAGGAAAGAAAGTTCTGCCTCCGACACTGAAATCCTCCTGCCCCATCCTTGACAGAGGCAACCCCTTGTCTTGTGCAGACACACGTGTTCCTGGGAAGCAGCCTCCCACTCGCGAATGAAAGCTGTATGTTTTGTCCTCCTGTGTGAGGCTTGCAAAACATATTCCGCAACTATATTCGCTTTACGTTCTAAACCTTAGGCAAACTATGCTGAAGAGGCCACAGAAAATTTAGGGGCCCTGGGCTCCAGATACAATCTGCAGTGCCAATCACGAGGGAGAATAGAGCCTCACTAGACTTTGCAAGAGCACAAAATGCACTCGTACTGTTGTTAGCTACATACGTTATTGGCTCCTCACCTAACACAGAATCTTGGAGAAAAGCTTAAAACAACTAAAGATGTAAACATCAACAAGAGTGTCCATATCCTGGGTCATCAAGTGACAAGAGAGTCCATGGATGGATTCTCCAACAATCTTATATTCCACTAATCCACCCCCTTTCCCCTCACTTCTGTAAGTTTCTGTTTTCCCTTAGTCATCTATGCCAAAAGCGTATCCTGAATGCCTTCCCACATGCCTCTGTCACCTTTCCCACAGTCCCTCCATACACCTTACATGCCCATTTCTTCTCACGTTGATGTTTCAGAAGTCCTGAGAGGCTGATTGTCCCAGAAAAGGATCATGCATTCACCTTTAAAAGAACATGTGGATTCAACACGAAAGCGAACTTTAAGATTTCCATCATCCTGTGCTTAGCTACTGTGTATGATGATACCCAAAATGAAGGATTTTGGAGGTCCCAGCAAACTGGGCCCTGGAAACCCAGTAACCCCTTTCCTTGAACTATCTCTGCTTCCATAGGACGAAGTCAGCCTCCAACTAAGCTGTCTTTTGCTTTTACCTCTCCCAGTCTGTCCTGTAGGAAGAATCCCAACACATCCCACACCCATTCACTCTACAACTTTAGAGGCCCAGCTCCAACGCAGACTGGTTATTTCCATGAAGAGAATAAAGCACGTGGATTGATCAATTCATTATGACACCCGAATAAAGTGGATAAACATACACACACACACACACACACACACAAACACAAAGACACACACACACACAGACACAGAGTCACACATCCTTGAGAATGTTTATTTTTCATTCCATACAATCCACATTTACCCCCTCTTCCTGAATTTTTGTGACTCGATCTCTTTTTCCTTTAGTTCCTGTGCATAAGACCATGCTGAGTACTGCCGTCCTGCATATGGCTGTAACTTTTTAGGAGTTCTGCTGTATTAGGTAAAATCTGATGCTCCATCATATTCAACTCAACAACTGGGAGTCCCCTAGAGAAACACAAACTCATGTTAAAACGCATTTTCTCTGAGCCATACTTTGAAATGTTTCAATTGTGGGGCCCGCTGAGAAAAGGATATCCCTTCCCCATTTGTGATCCCTTAAACTTCCTCCTACCACGTGTTACAAACTGTTCTGCGCAATCCCTGCCCCATTCCCAGTATTGTCTGTGAGGGGAGTCAGCTAACAAGATGCACTGGGCCCTAAAAGCACACACAAGTCTGATGGGGCAACAGCTTAAGGAAATCCATCAATCTAAACAGTCCTTTGTGGTTTGGGGCAAGGATGACCAGGACGCACATTCAGGGAGCCCAATCTCATGGGGTTGGTGGGATGACTGCCGGTGGGGTTGACAGCCGTGGAATCAAGTGCCACAGACTGAACTGAATGATTTTCAGCTTTACTTCTCATTGATTCTGGAAATGGACGATTCTTCACTGGGCTTAAGACTCCACAACTATCACCCGCTTTGCAGTGCAGTCTCTAACGTGCCTTTTCAGCCCAATGCCATGAACGTCCTGGATTCTGTCACTCTCTGTCTTCCTCTCAAGGAATTTCTACATGTACGAAAGGAGCCTCAATTTCTACATTTCTGAAATGAGCACCCAGGCTCCCTGAATAGGCAGGTGTGTCAACCCCCTTATACTGGGCATCAAACAGCTCCAGTGCCAACTAACGGCTCACCTGACGTCTCTGTTCCCTCTTCAGGTGGCTTCATCCTCTTGTAGTATTGCAGGGGATTGCGCCACAGGTCCTTACATAGGATCTGTCAGGGGACTCAATCGGGAAAGGCCTCATCAGGGCTCAGAAAGGTGACCCAAGCAGCTGGGAACACACGGGGTCATTCCTCATGTTTCCCAGTGAGGACTCACCTCAGCAATCTTGTTAGATCCTGCGAAGTTGTGGTCAGAGAACCAGTTGAAGAAGTTAAGGCTGCTGTTGTGGTGTCTGCGGCGATAGGCCTCCACTTCATAATCCGGATACCACTCAATTGGAGTGGAATGAGAAGCCCTGTATTCTACAGAGACAGGAGTTTTTGTGGGAAGGGGGCTGGATCCCGTTGGCAATGATCCACCCACCATCTTCCTTCCACTACCCATCCTGGGAGCCACCTGTCACCTGTGATGTTCACCAGATATTCCTTGGTAATCACTTTATTCTGGAAGTAGGGGTTACTCCGAAAGAACAACATGATCTTGCAGAGATGAACAGGATGCTTCTCTTCTTCCACCTGTCAGGACAAGGTGGAGAAAGCTTAGATAGGTTTTCGGGTGAGGTGCTCACTCTTGCTTACAGGAATGAATTATTTCCCTTACCCTCCCCCGCTAAACCCTCTAGCCCCAGTCTTCCTGGCCTCACCTCCAGGCTGACCATGTAGCTCAGCATGTCTTCATCTTCGTCAGTGATCAGGGCTGACATCTGGGGGTGGTTTGCAATCTGATTTAGGTCAAAGAGACTTTACACACGATGGAAGGGAAAGCGAGGAGCAACAGGGAAGAAGGCCTAAGAGCACCCAGAGGCTGGGGTAGGGGATTTCTCAGATCTGCTTCCACGTATGATCTCCTTTCGCCTCCCCCTCCCCGTAAACTAAGGCCTCCTGTGTTCACAGAGGGTGTATGATTCTGAGGCTGACTGCACTGACATGGGGAGGCGCGATTTGCAGAGACTTGCTGGTGTCTGAGGAGTGGCAGAATCTGCTTATAGCCGAAGACGCCCAGTCCCAGATCGGACTAGCAAGGGGCAGCAATCACACTCCCTTAAAAATAGCTTCATTCACTGAAAAACCTCTTCCGCTCTGAACTCGCTTCTGCTCTTCAAAAAGATGCCCCAAACGTCTGCTGCTCGGCATCACCAAGGGTTTCTCTGCCGCATGCAGGACAATAGTACCCACGCCTGCTCCGGCTTTCCACAGCCACACTGGTCCGTGGCAACTCCCCTTTGTTCCCCAAAGAGTCACATCGACGCCGAGCTGCCCATCGGTCACTTACACTTCCCCGAGAGCACCTCTCCACTAGAAAGGCCGAAGAAACACTGAGAAGGATACAACATTGGCCCAGAAGCCAGGGACGCTCTGGATGACGGCGCCTCTGCGGTCTAGGTGGGGCTTGCGCCTCCGCTCCATCTTTTCCCGCTGCCGAGAAAAGGCCTTCCTGGCTTGGGCATTAACCGGCTCCAGCTCCACCTGAACGGCCAGCAGCTCCTCCAGTGCAGACTCTGGGGTCATGGGCCCAGGGCCAGGCACAGCCTGCTGTGCCCGCTGGGCCTCCTCCCGCCGCTCCACGAGGCCCTCCTCCTCCGCCACCACCTCCACCTCCGCCATTATGTCATCCAACAGCAGCACCGCCTCCTCCCCCAAAGCCGCCTGCTCACTCTCCACCCCGGCCGCCCCCTCCTGTACAGCCTCCATCCTGAAGGCGGTGCCCTCCTTGGCACTCGCACACACCAAGGCCTGTGCTGCCCGACCCACGCCACAGAAACCCTGCCGCAGCCTCTCTGGCACCCGGTAGGTCAGCGAGCCCTCAGGGCGCATGCGCCGGGCTTCCAGGCGCCCCCTAAGGGACTGCGCGCGAAGGGCCGGGGGGCCGCACCCAGGCCGACTTCCTCCCGTCGTGGCCAATCAATGGGAGGGCGGTGGGCGTCTCCCTGGGCGGCACAGCCACTGGCGGGCCTGCATCTCCAGCCCCCCCACCCCCCGCCTTCCCTGCCCAAGCCTCCTCCGAGAAGCCCTTGGAGCTTGTGCCGGGTAGCTAGGCATCCGGGCACACGCGGGCTGCGTGGCCTTTGGAATTGTGGGCATGGCAGCCCTGTGCCCTGACATCCTCAGTGTGGCAAGCCATGAACATCTCTATGTGTCATGAACACAGGAAACATCTCTCTTCGTTAGGCAGGCCAGGTAGATGGTACGGAGGTAATACAGCAGATGCAGAGAACTCTCTCTGGTTGCTGGGGCAAGGGCGGCAGGGGTGTCCTGGGGGAAGTGATCGGGGCGGGCACGTGGGAGGAAAGTCGCCTGCCGGTGCTGAGGTGGAATTGATCTGCTGTAGAGGCCAGAGCCCCGGCACACACTCTCACAGGTCGAGGCAAATAGAGGCTCCGAGTACCATGCTTCCTCCCTGAGGATGCTGTACTCCAAGGAGCATTCCAAAGGGCCTCTTGTCCTATGCCCTGGGCACACCAGAGGCCAGCCGCCAGGGTTGGCCATTGTCGGCCTGCGCGCACGCTGTTGTGCGCTGCCTTGACGACCCAGAGGCTCCCGCACCCGCAGCAGCGGTTGCGGTGCCTGTTGGTGGGGCTCTGCAAGCCCAGGGCCGGGGCCTCTGGCTCCCGAGCTCCTGTGCGCAGTTGAGCCTGCTGGGGACCGGAGCCCTTTGGCCAGTGCGGGATCTGCGGGTCCAGCGGAGCTCCTCAGGAAACCTGGGTCCACGTAGGTGTGGGACCAGGTTCACAGCAGGGCGACGCCCGTGGGTCTTGCAGGGAGCGGGTCTGCTGGGGAGCGGGCCCCCAGAGCCTACGGGTGCGGGGCATGGGCTGGGCTGGGCTGGGCTGCGCAGGCCCAGGGTCTGTGGGAGCACCCAGGAGAAAACCGTGTTCAGGCTGGAGGCAATGCTGGAGAGGACGGCCGGGGTACAGAGCAAGGAGGCGGCCTTGGAAGAGGAGGCGGTGCTGAAGGTGGAAGACATCATGGCTGAGGTGGAGGTGGTGGTTGAGGTGGAGCCCGACGTGGGGTGGCAGAAGGAGGGCCAGCGGGCACAGCCTGGCCCTGGACCGAGCACACCGGGGCCGTCAATGGACTCGCTGGAGGTCCTTCACTTGGAGCTGGGCTCCGTGAATGCCCTAGGCCACAGAGCATCTCCGCCTTGTGAGCCAGAGCCATATCCTTGCGGCTGCCGATTTGGGATGGCGGGCAGCAGGGGATAGTCATCGGGCCTCGGGGGGTATGGGGGCTGTTTGCGGGGAGGAGCCAGGTGGGAGGCACGTGGGGTCAGCCAGGAGGCAGGGGATGGGGGACAGCGTGGGAGCCGAGGCCACGTTCCCGCAGCTGTGAGGGCAGCTCGCTTGTAGCAGCCCTGGGAGCACGTGGTAGGGAAGGGGAGCCAGGGCCAGCACTGACAAGGGAGAATCGCGGCGCCAAGGTCCCTTTGCGCACAGCCCAAATTCGAAGGACGCGTTTCCCTGGGAACGTCCCTGGAGGACGGGGAATCTGTATGCCATTACCAGCCATTGAACCACCCCTGCTCTCGGTGCCTGTTTCCAGCAGGCTCACCCCAGAAACACAAGGTGCTTAAGACGGGTTCGCGGCGCATGGGGCTGCCGACCACCTGACGGCGGGCACCAGCTCCGCAGATGCGCATTCATCCAACTGCAGGCGCTGCACTCAAAGGCGTGTAGGCCCTGAGCCTGTATAACTTCCTCTGGACCCACGCAATTCCCTTGGAGAGCGCCAGGCACGACCCTGCTGTGGCTTCTAACTACAAGGCTTCCCTCAGGTGGACAGGCCCACCCCTCAGGGAGACTAGGATAAGAGGACACCACACACCCGGACATCAGCGGAGCATGTCCAGCACCCAGCACACAAAGGCCTCCTGCATCTCAGAAACCCAGAGAAGCAGCCGCCTCACACCACCCCCGGTCCCTCCCGTCCCTCAGCTGCAACCACCTGCCCACTTTTTCTGCCTCCCGTCTCTGGTCAGCCCAGGCCGTCTTGGCCGGGGTCCACCCACTCCAAAAACCACCACAGTTGTGGCGTTGCCTCCTCGCCAGACAGAGATAGAGGGCCAACAATGAAGGGTGACTGGCCAAATGTCTGGGAGATGGCCCTGTTCCACATTGTCTGTGTTCTTGCGAAATTGCAAGGCGTCACGAGGCTTGCCCACCCAATCCTCTGGAGAGTTCTTGCGCAGAGGTAGATTGTTTGGCACACGAGATGTCGGCGTGGGTCGGAAAGCATGCGGAAGTCCTGCTTTGCTACGTGATGGATTTGCAGGTCAGGCTGGGGAGCCTGGGTCTGTGGGAGGAGTCCAGTGTCTGAGTCAGTTTGAGGTCCCCCTGGGGACCAGGGTTGTCTCAGTGGGAGAGCTGGGAAGGGGAAACTCATGGTTCACTACAGCTAGTAGGCCACCTCAGCCCGGCTAGTTGAGATGGTCCCATTGAATCCATCCTCTTTCTCCTTGATCCGGCAGGTGGAGGAACTCAGCCATCCCGGTTACCGGTGGCAGGATGATTTCCTTTCATCCCAACCTTTATTTCCACAGTGAAATCATCATGAAGGAGCACTGTGTTGGCATCCTCGGTAAGGAATGCCTCCCAGCATGGTAGGGGAGCTGGTGTGTGGGAGGGTGGGACTGGCATGAACCTTCCTGACTCCTCTCCCTGCAGGCTACAGGGTGTCTCATTCCACTGCAGTCCAGCGGTTCTGGGATCACGAAGGTCAAGCCTCCAGCTGCAGGCAGTACACCTCCTACCTGAGCTCATTCAGCTGTTTGGCTGAACATGACTGCCCGGGTTTTGGCAGGATTGCTGAGGTGGGGTTCGCCGTGGGGCATCATGGGAAAGGACCTAGCTGGTCATTCCTTGGTCTCTGGGGAATTGGCTTTGAACTGTCACCTGAACTGTCCTGGACCCACTTCTGCAGTCACCTAGATCATCAGCCAGGGCCTATGGCTCAATCCATTGCAGTTCTATCCCATGGAGAGAGGGTCAGCCCTAGAGGCGGAACAGAGAGGAGGCCAGGCGAGCAGCCTAGGGCTGGGAAGGGCTGGGAACTGAGAGGCCTTTTGACCTGGATCTGGGCCCCACATGGAGAACCCAAGGATCCGGGAGGAGACTGCAGTGAGCAATCCCAGGCAATCCGTGGGTTGGGGGAGAGAGGCCCATCAGGGACATGTAACACCCACATTTCAGGATCGGGGCACCTTAAGCCACTATGATGCATATGTGGCTAAAGTCAGTGGGTGACAAGCAGGGCTTAAGGGATAGCTGTCTCATCATTACTCGCCAGCTCCCTGCCCTGCGGTAAGACCTGCTACCACCTGGGGCTCATTTTGAGATCAACCAGGGCCCCCTTTTTCTCCACGAGGATGTCCACCTGAGGCCCACCTAGGTCTGTGTCCTTTCACAGTGTTTCTCCCAGGCCAGTCATGTTTTGTTTCCATGACCCCGGCTGCCTTGACATGTGTAATCCTCTCTGCCATCCTCACTCCCGCTGCCCTGCCTTCCCATATAAGTTAGTCCACCTCACACGGAATCTGGAGGACCACACTGGGCTCCAGTGTGAGGCAATGTTTTATTTTCTTCAGGTACATGTATTTTAGGGCTACCTCCAGGGCTGGGAATGTGAAGAGATTGCCAAATGGCTGGGGACCTTCAGTGTGTGTCCAGGGAGGGAACCCGGCTGGGAATTAAGGCCCACCTGAGTAATGGTATGGACATCCAGTGTCAGTTATCTTGATAAAGGCCTGCTTTCTTACATCACCTACTATTAATATAAAAGTTAATTCCTTAGAATATTGAAAAAACAAATCTATGTATGAAGAAATATAATTTGTTCATAATTGTATGGAAAAAGCTGCCGACCGATCCATTTTCCATTACAATTCTTATGGGAGACTTGAAGGGTTTAGCAAGTTTTAAGATGCATTTCTATTCGTCTACTCCTGCCAGTTTTTATGATCATTTTTGTAATACAAGGACATGGCCTCTGGAAAGTTTTTGAGGGACTTTCAGCTTCTTTTAGGGTAGATACTTGTAAATTTTGAATTGTTTTCCCCTGCGGTTCTTTTGAGGTTACTCTTTGTACTTTCTTTGGGGGGTGTTAAATTTGTTTTCTTCTTTTGCCCTTGTGGAACTTTCGTTTTCAAGGAATTGTGTGTGTGTGTGTGTGTGTGTGTGTGTGTGTGTGTGTCTGTGTGTTAGATATGGGAGATAGCCTGTGAGCATGTTTTCGAATATGGATTTTTTTTTTACTTATCAATTTTGGGGGTGTGTGTGTGTGTGTGTGTGTGTGTGTGTGTGTGTTTGTTTCTTTTCAGTTGGAGTCTCACTGTGTCATCCAGGCTGCAGTCAAGTGGCAAACTCTCAGATCACTGCAACCTCTCCCTCCAGCTTCAAAGGATTCCTCTGCCTGCTGATGCTGCTTTTCCCCCACATGAGGAGAACATGCAGACAGTTATAAAAAATTCTGTGCCTGGGTAGGTATGAAAATATAATTTCAATGAATGGTAAATTTCACAAATACAGTTTCACATTTGTATTTTGCAACATTTTGAAAATTTTAGTTGCTGACACATGAAATTCTGTGTTGACTTTCATGTTAAATGTACACTTTTGAATCAATTTCAACAGTGACAACTAGCGAAGGCCAAGCGTTAGTTCAGGAAGCTGAAAGCAGTCGTTCTGTAAAAAAAACCATATTTATTGAAGGTATATTTAGAGAGATTTTAGAAGGCTTCAGTCAATATTTTTGTTTCTGTTGCTCTGGTGTTTTATCATACAGGGACCAGACTGTAGCATCAGTAGCTATAGTTACAAGGCTACCAAAGACTCAGTGCTATAGAAATTATTATTGTGGAAATTGGCAGCCTGGCTGTCTGTTTGAGGAGACTAGAGGACTTAGGAGTTTCCACCCAAAGTACAAGGGCCTGGTTTAGTGGGTGGCCTTCTTTTGCTGAAGTAGATAAGATCCAGGAGAAGGGTGGATTCACTGTAGTAGCCAGGGCTTTGAGACTGGTAAAGCTTATTTGTCTCCTAGTGCCATTGCCAGATATTGGTCTGTGCATAAAGGCACTTCCCGGACTCGCTGACTCCTGTAAATTCAAATGTAGAATTTAGATTTAAATCCCTATTCCAACTTCTTAAACTTAGATCTAATAGGTGGGTAATAAAATATGTATTCAGAAGAAAGGGAGACGTCAGGTAGGTATATAAGCAAATCATCCTGGTCAAATACCTTCAAAAATATTACTACAAAAAATTACTGAAGATTAAACCTTAAAAAAGTTATTTTAATTGGAGAAACAGAAAAAGGTTGGAGTCATTTTAAACCCTGAGGTGTAAAGGTACTGTTATTAGATTACAGGAATTATATACAATGAATAATTTGTGGGAAGAGCAGCATACTATCTCTTTAGTATGGCTAGAGATTCATAAGCCGTGTAAGAAAACTCAGAGATTGAGAAGAAAATGTTTTCAGGGATTTTGTTCTGTTATGAAAGACTTTTAAAATGGTTTCCTACTGATCAATGATTCACTTATATTTATCACTGAGGCATATGCTATATACCCTTCTATATAGGGATGAAGTTATAGTTTCTATCATGTAGATACAAAAACATGTGACTCTGTACCACATTTGCATTAGAGCCTTTGGCATGATTAATGAAGCAAACGGTGGAACTGTCTACGTCAGGTTACAGGTGGGCACAGCTGGAAGCTTCCGTCCCTTGCACTTTAACATTTCTGCATTCTCATCTGTCTCTCCTGGAAAGAAAACGGACTATAACTATCCTAAAGGACATATGTTACATGAAGACACTAAGTATTGAGATAAGACCATGAGTTGTCTTATCAGTGTCTTGGCATTACATTTATATGTATAACTTATACAAAAAATCCAGTTTATTTTATCACGATTACATATTACATCCCACATTTATGTATTTTATTATCTTTCCAGTGACTGTTTTGTTTTGTTTTGTTTTGTTTTGTTTTGAAATCTCGTTCCACTCTGTCACTCAGTCTGGAATGCAGTGGCCTGATCTCAGCTCACTGCAACCTCCATCTCTTGGGTTCAAGGATTTTAAAAATTAGTAAAGAATTTTCAATTGAGTTAGCAGAAGTAAAAATAAACTTAAGTGGAAATAGAACAACAAAATTGTAAACACTATTTCTCAGCAATTCATAGATTATCATACTAGGAATTGAAATGTACTTAGAACTCAATGATACCGCCAATATTAAAGATTAAATCTGTGAGTAGCAAGAAAAGTGATATTACAATAGGAGTTTACAGACAAATATTTCTCTAATAACTTGAAAATTAATGTACTAGATATTTCAATAAAGAATTAGAAAAGAAACAACAGAATCAATTCTGAAAAACTAAAGTGTGGGAATAATGATGTAGACAAAATTAGTAAAACATACAAAGCTAACCTTTGCTTGTTGGAGAAATATAATAAATGATGCAACCGTCAGTCAAGTTTAGAAAAAAAGGGAGAAAACATAGATAAAACTAAGAATTTAAAAGGTACACAACCATAGATACAGCATAGATTAAGAAGCTAATAAGGAAATATCGTTAACACCTTAACCTACAAATTTGAAAACTTAGGTCAAATAGACAGATATTTATAATCTGTCTATATATATAGACATATATATCGCTTTCTATATATATTTTCATATTTATACATAATTTTTATATTTGTATCTTACATTTATATATATAATATATAAACATAAGCTATGTATATAGCTTAGTAAAATTGATACAAGAAGACATATATAATCTGTATAGTCTCATAAATGTTCAAGGAAATAAAGGATTCTTCCTAGAGATAAAACGCTAGGCTCAGATTTTTTTCCCCAGGCAGAGCATTTCAATATATATGAAGAATTCTATAGAATAAAAAAGGGAAAATCCTAAACTCATTGTGTGAAGCAAGCAGAACTTTGACGCCAACAAGACATAAACTGAGTGTAGAAAAAGATATGAAAATTAAGGCCATTCTCATTCCTGAAGCAAATCGTAAAATCCCAAATGTAACAAGATTTATGTGGATTCTTTGAGGGTTAGAAGGAAATTTCCTTCTGCCAGATCCTGCTACTCTGGGACAACCCACACACAAATTTATGTTTTGAGATTTTCTGTAATACCCATGCAATATGGAACTGGCTTGACAATCTGTGTGATAGCCAGCCTGTGGCCATGACTTCTTAGGGACACAAATCTTTTCTGTTTGCCTCCTTGTTCTGCTCAGCTCCAAGAGAACTTTGACCAAAGTTCCTTGAGCTTGGAAATAGGAATGGGTTTGCTTCTGTTTCACCCTTACTGTGAAGATACAGTCCGGTGGAATCCAGATCCACTGGGAGAGAGTCGGCTATTAAACTCTTTTCATGAGTAGTCCCTAGGCCTTGACTGGAGTCTTTCTTGAGATATGAGGCTAATAGTTCCTTCTTGGTCCACCACTTTTTGATATAATTAATGCTTCTTCTATTGGGAATTTTTAATTGTTTGGGAAGTGACATGGTTTGGTGTGTCTCCATTCAAATCT
This sequence comes from Homo sapiens, assembly GCF_000001405.40. Taxonomy (NCBI): domain Eukaryota; kingdom Metazoa; phylum Chordata; class Mammalia; order Primates; family Hominidae; genus Homo; species Homo sapiens. The sequence continues at coordinate 541,960 of NW_025791821.1, read as the reverse complement.
CAGCTTCAATTGTATCTCCCAGAATTCCCTCGTGTTGCGGGTGGGACCCAGGGGGAGGTAATTGAATCATGGGGGTCGGTCTTTCTCATGCTATTCTTGTGACAGTGAAGAAGTCTCACGGGATCTGATGGGTTTTTCAGGGGTTTCTGCCTCAGGTTCTTCCTCATTCTCTCTTGGCATTGCCATGTAAGAAGTGCCTTTATTCGTATACCATGATTCTGAGGCCTCCACAGCCATGTGGAACTGTCAGTCCAATTAAACCTCCTTTTATTCCCAGTTTCAGGTATGTCTTCTTCAGCAGCGTGAAAATGAACTAAGACAGGAGGTTTGGTCCAAATAACCTTGGCTTCCATGACAGAAGATAGAAGTTGCTGAAATGTTTAATCTTTTCTGTGGCAACCTTTTGCAGTGGGTCTTATTTTTCTCATTTTTTTTTCTTGTTCTCTTCACCTTTGTTTCTCACAGGGTACTCTCGCTCTGTAGACCAGGCTGGAGCGCAGTGGCAGGATCTCAGCTCAACACATCCTCCGCCTCCCAGGTTCAGCCTCTGCAGTAGCTGGGATTACAAGCATGCATCACCACGCTCAGCTAATGTTTTGTATTTTTAGTAGAAGCCAGGCTTCACCATGTTGGCCAGGCTGCTCTCCTACTACAGATCTCAGGTGACCCGCCCGACTCAGCTTCCCAAAATCCAAAGTGCTGGGAATACAGGTGTGAGCCACCGAGCCCAGCCAACTCCAGTACTTTTTACCTAAGCCAGTGGACGAGTGGAGTTGCCTTTATTTTTTTTTTTTCTTTTTTCAGTCATGGTCTCGCTGTGTCATCCAGGCTGGAGTGCAGTAGTCTGATCTTGGCTTACTATACAATCTCTGCCACCCATGTTCAGGTGGTTCTCCTGCCTCAGCCTCCCAAGTAGCTGGGACCACAGGAAAGTGCCACTAGGTCTGGCTAATTTTTGTATTTTTGGTAGAGACAGCTTTTTGCCATGTTGCCCATGCTGGTCTCCAACTCCTGACCTCAAGTGACCCACCAACCTCGGCCTCCCAAAATGTAGAAATTACAACAAGAGCCACGAAGCCTGGCCTGGAGTTGTGGCTTTTTGACATAAGAAATCTGTGGAGGGAAAAGCTTGGTTTGTGGGAGCACCTGAGCTCAGTTTGGCTCAAAGGTTTGGGATACCTATTATTGAGTGGCAGTGATGGTATGTTGTTAATGTACAATATGTTCCTGTATATAGCATACGTCTATGCTCATCAGATATTTTCAGGTAAAAAAAAGATAGTCTTTCCAGTAGTTTGAGCCATTATAGCAATTTCCACCAGGGGATTTCAAAGTCCAATTCCAGTTGTGGGCAACAGTGATTAACATAATGGTAATTAATGAGAAGAGATTTTGAGACGTCCAGCCACGTTTCCATGTCAGTGCCTTGTTTGCAGTATTATGAAGAAAGAGTGCATTGGACTAGATACTAAGAAAAACATTGAATTATTTTTCTTGCCTCTATAACATCAAAGGACAATTAGAGATATAGAAACTATGGAACATTTCACAGCATGGCTTGACATTTCACTGAACTTTTATCCTTTTAACCATGTACAAAGTTTGTTACCTATGCAAAGGTAGGACTGCAAAAGGAAGACAGAGGTGGAGTCAGAGGTCACAATCCACAGCAAGGTGACACTCTTGTTGATCGCACCTTGAAAGCCAAATTAGAGCGAGAATTAACTTTCCGGTTGCCGTAAGAGAACAAGGAGAATGAAGCTACCAGCAGTTAACAGTATTGGATTAATTGAAATGAAGGTGGACAGAGTTTTTTGGCTTTCCATCAAATTGAGTAAAGAAAAGGTAACCGCTTATCTAATTTCACACACATACAATTATGGATTAATTAAAAGATTACACAACCCATATATTATGGGTTTCTCATATAAGTGTATATATACATGGGCAAACTCACAGTGTGCCAGTATGTGTCTATATCCAAATATATACAAATCCATGTCCAACAGTTAGCAAGTGAGAAATTCTCTTCCATTTCACCATTCCCTTTCCTAGAATTTTTTCATAAATATAATTTTTCCATATATTTGAAGCCTACTCTCTGGAGGCATGTAATGCATGCATGCAGTAAACCTGTGCGATATCACAATGTTGGTGTCAGAGAAAACTATAACACCGATGTTATAAAAGATTAATTGTGAGGAGAAAGTTATGCTTCGCATTACTACAAATACACAAGTATGATTTCATCCAAAGCTGAAATCAGTCAATATAATTTGTTTTTAATGTTTTATTTAAAATCCTTAATTTCAACAGGATTACTCAAGAAAAATAACGTTATTGGTATTAAATAATGTTGACGTATTCCCTTTAATTGTTGATTATTTAAAATGTCAGTAAAATAGTAAATGGCACTGTACAATGTAGTTTCATGAAGCATTCTTTATAGTTTTCATAAAATTGATAGTCTCCATGGAATATTTTAAGACTGAGGAAGTTCCATATATCATTTGATTGTACTTTCACTTTATTACTTGCTTGCATGTCATAACTGATGGAAATAAAACTATGTATATTTACAAATATGAAAAACATGGATTTTTGTTTACGTTTTCTAGTGAGACACAGTTACCAATAATTTTATCTATATAGGAAAATTTTTACAAACCCAAAGTTCTAATGTTTCTTTTCTTTGAAGTTTCGTATTTCAGTCTAGGTATGTAATGGAATTGGCTGTGATCATTCTTTGATTTCACTGTTATTTGTGAGTTTCTGATATGCTTTTAGGAATGAATAGAGTTTAACGCTTGCTTTCTTCTTCTTCCTCTACCTTTGGACCTGTATATGCGATGTCTGCAGTAATGTGCAGTGCTATCTGACATACGGTTGCTGAAAGATACAAGCATATATAGAATTCTTCGTTTCAGTGAATCTTTAGGAACAGACAAGTAACCTGAGAGATAATTACGGTATGAATGTAAGCAAGCAGTTTATCATAGAGGTACAATAAGGGTGAAAATAAATTTAAAAATACATGCCTCATCCAAAACATGAGGTAGTAAAAATGAAAAATTTAAGTTGGCATAAAGAACACTTTAAAAGTTCTGATTCTTTCTGGTGAGAGCAAGGAGCTCAGAAACCATGAGAAAGTCCTTCAAAGCTGCATGTTGGATTTGCAGGTCAGGATGGAAAGCCTGGGTCTGGGGGAGGGTGCTAAGGTCCTGGTCAGGTTGAGGTCCTTCTGGGGCTCAGGTGTGTCTCAGCGGGAAAGCTGGGAAGGGGAAACGCATGCTTCACCCCGGCTAGAGTGCCACCTCAGCCCACCTAGATGAAATTGCCCCTTCACAGCCCTGTTTCTCCTTCTTGGACAGGCAGGTGGAGGAACTCGGCCACCCTGAATACAAGGGGTAGGAAGAAGTTTGCCTTTCATCACAACATTTACTTCGGAAACAAAGTGATGACTAAGGAGTATTGCGTTGGCATCCTCCCTGAGGAGTAGAGGGGGTAGTACCTCGGGAGCTGGGCCTGGCGTGCGCCTTCCTGACTCGTCTCCCTCCAGGATACAGGGCGACTGGCTCCACTGCAGTCCAGTGGTTCTAGGGTCATGCAGGTGAAAGCCCGAGTTTCCCGCAGGTCACTGCCTGAGCTTCTTCAGCTGGTTGTCTGACTGTGAGGGCCCAGGTTACGGCACGATTGCTGAGGTGGGACAGCTATGGGACATCATGGCAAAGGACCTTCTTCGACATGCCTTGGCATCGGAGGAATTGGCTTTGAACCAGAACCTGACCTGTCACGACCAATTTGCCCAGTCCACCAGATCATCAGCCAGGGCCTGTGGCTCTATATTCTGCAGCACTACCCAAGGGAGTTAGGCCCTCAGAGAGGGAACAGAGAAGAGGCCAGGGAAGCAGCCCAGGGCTGGGGGTTGACAGGCCTGTGGGTCCTGGAGTTAGGACACACATAGAGAAGCCAAGGCTCAGGGAGGAGACTGCAGTAAGGAAACTCAGGCCATCATGGGCTGGTGGAGAAATGCCCATCAGGGAACTGTGGTACCCACATTTCACGATGGGGGAACCGTAATCTGCTTAATAGGCATAAGTAGCTAAGGTCAATGGGTGGGAAGCCAGGGTCAAGAGATAGCTGCCTCATCATCCCTTGCTAGCTACTTCCCTGTCCTGAGGCTTGCTTCTACCTGGGGTTCAGTTTGGGCTCAACCAGGGATCTCTCACCCTCCACACAGATGCCCACCTGAGGCCTCTCTAGGTCTGCGTCCTCCCAGAATGACTCTCCCAGGCCTGCTAAGTACCGTTTGGATGACACCACGCTCCACTGACATGCTTGGTTCCCTCCGCCATCCTCATTCACCCAGCAACTCCCCACCCCAAAAAAGGCAGGCCACCGCACAGGGAATCTGGAGGACCACACAGGGCTCACAGGGGAGGAAATGTGAAGAGATGGCAAAACAGAACAGGACATTCCGTGTGTTTCCAGAAGGCAATCTGGCTGGATATTAAGGCCCACCTCAGTATTGGTGAGGACACCCAGTGTCTCTTGGCCCTGAGCATGTGCACACAAACACGCACATTGTCTAAACGGCATTGACATCACTACTACCTGAGTCATCCTCAGATTCTATACAACCCCTTTAAAAATATCAATGACACATTCTTCTTAGAAAACAATCTGGGAATCCCAAATTTGCTATGAAATGGCAGAAGATCCTGAAAACCCAGAGCAATCCAGTAAAAAGCACAAAGCTGGAGCCACCCCACTACCTAACTTCATGATATACTACTACAAAACTTTTTGTACCAAAATACAATAGCACTGGCAGAAAAGCAGAGACTAGAGCTTAGGAAAAACAACAGGAGCCCAGAACTAAGTCACTGCATTTGCAGCTCACAGCCTTTTCCCAAAGAAGCAAGAACGCCCAATGCAAAATCAAGTATCTTCTATAAACTAGGTTGGGGAAATCTGAATAGCCACACAAAGGATTTTACAAGTGGATTATTTATCACCAAACTCCAGTGTCAGATGTGAAACGATAAAAATAGCAGAAGAGATCACAAGGAAGAAGCTCCATGGCGTCCGTGTGTGCAATGATGGTCTCAAAGTGACTGCAAGAACACAGTAAACACCATCAAAAATAGAGAATGGAATCATATCAAACTAAAGTGCTTCACCACACCATAGAAAACTCAACATACAGAAGGGGCATCCTACAGGATGGGAGCAATGATTGGATCACCATACATCTGTTCATGGGGGAATAGTCACAGTACATAAGGAACTCCCAACAACTCAATAGCATGAAAACAAATGGGCGAAGGCTGCGAAGACTCATTTGTGAAACTGAGACATACAGTTGCCCAGAAGACACACTAAAAATTCCTCATTATCCCCAATCCATCACGAAAATGCAAATCAAAAACACAATGAGATTTCTTCTCACTTCAGTCAGAATGCATATTATCCGAAAGACAAACAAACAAAAAAAAAAAAAAGAAAGAAAAGAAAACCCTAATCTCTGGTGAGGAGGCAGAGAAAACGAATTCCCTGCTCACTTTTGGGGAGAATGTAAATTAGTGCTGGCATTAAAGAAGCTTTATGGCTCTTATTTAAGTATAAACAGCCTTCAGAAATCTACAAGTAGAACCACCCACTATATGATCCAGCAAATCAGAATACCCGGGCACGCCCGCCAGTACACAGATCAGTATGTTGAAGCGGTGCGCGCACCCATGCAATTATTGCTGCACTCATTACATTTTTGCTGTAGCCAAAATGCGGAAGCAACCTGAGTGTCCCTCCATTGATAAGTGGATTAAAAAATGGGGCAAAAACGCATATGCGCAACGGAAATATGCGCTGCAATAAGAAATCAGGAAATCCTGCCAGTTGTGAGAATGTGTGGGAATCTGCTGAATGTGTGCATGCCATTCTGTTAAGTGACATAAGCCAGGTATCAGAAAGGAAAATAGCACATGATCTCATTCTTATATGAAATCAAAAAAGCGGACTTCACAGAAGTAGTGACTCCAATGACTGCGGTGAAGAGGGTGCACTGACGAGATGCTGGATGAAGAACTCATACTTCTAGTTATAAAGGAGGAATAGGTTAAAAATATTTTCTTCAGCATGCTCACTATAACTAGTGGTAACATATTCTTTCTCTAAAAATATTCGAATACAGTGCAAGTCAAGTTTTTTCACAACAAAAATGACAACTATGTGAGGTCACACATATGTTGATTGGCTGGATGTATCCAATGCATAATGTATATGACCTGTTGAACATCACGCCTTAAGTTGTAAATATGTATCATTTCATATGACATTTTTTAAACAAACATACAATTTTTAAAATGCCTTAACAAAATAAATGCAAATAAAATATTTTATTATAAAGCAGTGCTTTTCTTTTCTAGCAAAGTCTTTTTCATGACACAGGAAAGAATGCAAGCCGTTTCGTAACTTGAGAAATAAATACATATGTGTACATGTATATATATACGTATATACATGTATATACGTATATAAATGTGCATATATACGTATATACATGTATATACGTATATATGTGTGTACATAGGTATTCTTATATAGGTGTATATATATATGAAAATCCCAATGAATGCTGATGATGAGTTGAAAGATAGAAATTCCAGGCACAGAGACTATAGTCCATGAATTGAAACCTTCAGTGCATGTTTCAAAACAAGACGTGAGGAGGAGGAAGAAAAAAGCAAAAAACACAAAGCCATGGCAGGGCCATGGGTCACACCTGTCATCCCAGCACTTTGATAAGCTGAGGTGGGAGGATTGCCTGCACTCAGGAGTTCCAGATGAGCCTGGGGCAACATGGACCCACATTCAAAAAGTAAGTATTTAGTTAATTAATACATAGCTTGGAGGGGTGGCATGCACCTGTACTGCCAGGTGTGTGAGAGTCTGAGTTGACAGGATCACATGGGTGTGTGGTGCCTGGGCTGCAGTGGGCTGAGATCGTGGGGCTGCTGTCCAACCTAGAAGACAGAGTAAGACCCATTCTCGGAAAACAAACAAAAAAACAGTCACATTAGGTAAATTAAAACTATGTAGTGTGAGGAGAATCAAAATAAACGAAACATCATTAGAGCCTACGCGATGTGATGAAGGAAACCAGCTTTCACATAATAACAGCCCCGGCTGGGGAGAACAATGAGAAAGGGCAGAGAGAACCCTGTAAATAATACCACGCCAAATTCCCCAAATGAGTTAAAACACATAAAAGTACGAAGAGTGCTTCTTTTCAATTCAATGCCCTTGAATTCAGAATTAGAAAGTAAACCCAGATAGAGAATAGAAAGATAGACGATACAGATGGAGAGAGTGTGGTGGGGAAGCAAGGGAAGGATGAAAGGGGTGTAAAGGAAGGAAAAGAAAAAAGGAAGGGAGAGAGAGTGACAGATGTTCAAAGACACAGATACAAAGTCTACAATGGTTGTAGAGATAGGCATGTGCAAATTGTCGCAGGGAGTGTGGAAAAATATCGGAACCACGGAGACACAGGTGGAGTCAGAGAAAATATACAAACCCGCACAGAGAAATAAACATACGCAACCACAAACACACACGTGCTACTTTAAACACGAAAAGACACCAAGTCCCTGTCGGTACAAATCACAGATGTGCTTCCGAGTTACTGAGGCACGGTGCAAATTTGTCAGTGCCCTTAGCATCTGTGGCCCACGTGCACGGATATTCAGTGGAAGAAGCATTACACAGCCTGTATAATTCAGCACGATCTGTGATAATACCAGAAGAAGGGATCTCATGTGAAATCACTAGACTGAATTGCACGTAGGATTCAAGGAAGAAGCCCAGTCTGCTGCATTCACTCGGTGGGGTGGCAATATGGCTGAGCCACCAACCCGTGGCACACCCATCCATCGTAGACAGTTCCTGGTTTGCTACCTGCCTTGGAAAAAGCTCCTCCCCTACCACCACTTTAAAACAGGCTAGCTCCAAAACTAGCCCTGGCATCTATTTACGGTCATTTTCTTATCTATTTACCTCCTAGAAAAATCATTGCAAGACCCTTTCCTCAACATTTTCCTATGCCTTAAATTTGGGGCAACACGTTTTAAGACGACCTCGTTATAGGCAAGTCCCCAGACGTTTCCTAATCTGAGTTGCCCAGAGTGCACACACCAATCTGTTGCCCCATTGCCGCTATAGGGATACCGTACTGGACCACAGTGTCTTTGACATGCACACAGTAGGATAGAGGGCAGCTTGAGGGGGCCAAAGTGTTCCGACTGTTTTCAGAATAATTTGCTTAGAACACCTGTTTCTCCTGTGTTTGTGGGTCAGGGGGACGGTAGTCAGAGGAGGACAAGACTCCCGCTCCAGAGCTTCAGAGGTCTGCATAGGAGCAGGGACAAAACCAGGCGATAGATTTTCAAAGCTCAACTGCTTTGACACCGAGCAGGAGGGGTAGAATGCATATTGCAGGCACCACAACAGATTCAGGAACTTTGACTGTCAAACCCTCTTCCCTGAAACAACATAGCTCTTCTCACAGAAGCTGTGCTGACCAGAGTCTATACGGGACAGCAATGTTAGCACTCTAGTAGCGTGTGGTCAACATGGATGCTCGTGTTGGAACTGTTTCATCTGGGAACAGGAAAGAAAGTTCTGCCTCCGACACTGAAATCCTCCTGCCCCATCCTTGACAGAGGCAACCCCTTGTCTTGTGCAGACACACGTGTTCCTGGGAAGCAGCCTCCCACTCGCGAATGAAAGCTGTATGTTTTGTCCTCCTGTGTGAGGCTTGCAAAACATATTCCGCAACTATATTCGCTTTACGTTCTAAACCTTAGGCAAACTATGCTGAAGAGGCCACAGAAAATTTAGGGGCCCTGGGCTCCAGATACAATCTGCAGTGCCAATCACGAGGGAGAATAGAGCCTCACTAGACTTTGCAAGAGCACAAAATGCACTCGTACTGTTGTTAGCTACATACGTTATTGGCTCCTCACCTAACACAGAATCTTGGAGAAAAGCTTAAAACAACTAAAGATGTAAACATCAACAAGAGTGTCCATATCCTGGGTCATCAAGTGACAAGAGAGTCCATGGATGGATTCTCCAACAATCTTATATTCCACTAATCCACCCCCTTTCCCCTCACTTCTGTAAGTTTCTGTTTTCCCTTAGTCATCTATGCCAAAAGCGTATCCTGAATGCCTTCCCACATGCCTCTGTCACCTTTCCCACAGTCCCTCCATACACCTTACATGCCCATTTCTTCTCACGTTGATGTTTCAGAAGTCCTGAGAGGCTGATTGTCCCAGAAAAGGATCATGCATTCACCTTTAAAAGAACATGTGGATTCAACACGAAAGCGAACTTTAAGATTTCCATCATCCTGTGCTTAGCTACTGTGTATGATGATACCCAAAATGAAGGATTTTGGAGGTCCCAGCAAACTGGGCCCTGGAAACCCAGTAACCCCTTTCCTTGAACTATCTCTGCTTCCACAGGACGAAGTCAGCCTCCAACTAAGCTGTCTTTTGCTTTTACCTCTCCCACTCTGTCCTGTAGGAAGAATCCCAACACATCCCACACCCATTCACTCTACAACTTTAGAGGCCCAGCTCCAACGCAGACTGGTTATTTCCATGAAGAGAATAAAGCACGTGGATTGATCAATTCATTATGACACCCGAATAAAGTGGATAAACATACACACACAGACACACACACACACAAACACAAAGACACACACACACACACAGACACAGAGTCACACATCCTTGAGAATGTTTATTTTTCATTCCATACAATCCACATTTACCCCCTCTTCCTGAATTTTTGTGACTCGATCTCTTTTTCCTTTAGTTCCTGTGCATAAGACCATGCTGAGTACTGCCGTCCTGCATATGGCTGTAACTTTTTAGGAGTTCTGCTGTATTAGGTAAAATCTGATGCTCCATCATATTCAACTCAACAACTGGGAGTCCCCTAGAGAAACACAAACTCATGTTAAAACGCATTTTCTCTGAGCCATACTTTGAAATGTTTCAATTGTGGGGCCCGCTGAGAAAAGGATATCCCTTCCCCATTTGTGATCCCTTAAACTTCCTCCTACCACGTGTTACAAACTGTTCTGCGCAATCCCTGCCCCATTCCCAGTATTGTCTGTGAGGGGAGTCAGCTAACAAGATGCACTGGGCCCTAAAAGCACACACAAGTCTGATGGGGCAACAGCTTAAGGAAATCCATCAATCTAAACAGTCCTTTGTGGTTTGGGGCAAGGATGACCAGGACGCACATTCAGGGAGCCCAATCTCATGGGGTTGGTGGGATGACTGCCGGTGGGGTTGACAGCCGTGGAATCAAGTGCCACAGACTGAACTGAATGATTTTCAGCTTTACTTCTCATTGATTCTGGAAATGGACGATTCTTCACTGGGCTTAAGACTCCACAGCTATCACCCGCTTTGCAGTGCAGTCTCTAACGTGCCTTTTCAGCCCAATGCCATGAACGTCCTGGATTCTGTCACTCTCTGTCTTCCTCTCAAGGAATTTCTACATGTACGAAAGGAGCCTCAATTTCTACATTTCTGAAATGAGCACCCAGGCTCCCTGAATAGGCAGGTGTGTCAACCCCCTTATACTGGGCATCAAACAGCTCCAGTGCCAACTAACGGCTCACCTGACGTCTCTGTTCCCTCTTCAGGTGGCTTCATCCTCTTGTAGTATTGCAGGGGATTGCGCCACAGGTCCTTACATAGGATCTGTCAGGGGACTCAATCGGGAAAGGCCTCATCAGGGCTCAGAAAGGTGACCCAAGCAGCTGGGAACACACGGGGTCATTCCTCATGTTTCCCAGTGAGGACTCACCTCAGCAATCTTGTTAGATCCTGCGAAGTTGTGGTCAGAGAACCAGTTGAAGAAGTTAAGGCTGCTGTTGTGGTGTCTGCGGCGATAGGCCTCCACTTCATAATCCGGATACCACTCAATTGGAGTGGAATGAGAAGCCCTGTATTCTACAGAGACAGGAGTTTTTGTGGGAAGGGGGCTGGATCCCGTTGGCAATGATCCACCCACCATCTTCCTTCCACTACCCATCCTGGGAGCCACCTGTCACCTGTGATGTTCACCAGATATTCCTTGGTAATCACTTTATTCTGGAAGTAGGGGTTACTCCGAAAGAACAACATGATCTTGCAGAGATGAACAGGATGCTTCTCTTCTTCCACCTGTCAGGACAAGGTGGAGAAAGCTTAGATAGGTTTTCGGGTGAGGTGCTCACTCTTGCTTACAGGAATGAATTATTTCCCTTACCCTCCCCCGCTAAACCCTCTAGCCCCAGTCTTCCTGGCCTCACCTCCAGGCTGACCATGTAGCTCAGCATGTCTTCATCTTCGTCAGTGATCAGGGCTGACATCTGGGGGTGGTTTGCAATCTGATTTAGGTCAAAGAGACTTTACACACGATGGAAGGGAAAGCGAGGAGCAACAGGGAAGAAGGCCTAAGAGCACCCAGAGGCTGGGGTAGGGGATTTCTCAGATCTGCTTCCATGTATGATCTCCTTTCGCCTCCCCGTCCCCGTAAACTAAGGCCTCCTGTGTTCACAGAGGGTGTATGATTCTGAGGCTGACTGCACTGACATGGGGAGGCGCGATTTGCAGAGACTTGCTGGTGTCTGAGGAGTGGCAGAATCTGCTTATAGCCGAAGACGCCCAGTCCCAGATCGGACTAGCAAGGGGCAGCAATCACACTCCCTTAAAAATAGCTTCATTCACTGAAAAACCTCTTCCGCTCTGAACTCGCTTCTGCTCTTCAAAAAGATGCCCCAAACGTCTGCTGCTCGGCATCACCAAGGGTTTCTCTGCCGCATGCAGGACAATAGTACCCACGCCTGCTCCGGCTTTCCACAGCCACATTGGTCCGTGGCAACTCCCCTTTGTTCCCCAAAGAGTCACATCGACGCCGAGCTGCCCATCGGTCACTTACACTTCCCCGAGAGCACCTCTCCACTAGAAAGGCCGAAGAAACACTGAGAAGGATACAACATTGGCCCAGAAGCCAGGGACGCTCTGGATGACGGCGCCTCTGCGGTCTAGCTGGGGCTTGCGCCTCCGCTCCATCTTTTCCCGCTGCCGAGAAAAGGCCTTCCTGGCTTGGGCATTAACCGGCTCCAGCTCCACCTGAACGGCCAGCAGCTCCTCCAGTGCAGACTCTGGGGTCATGGGCCCAGGGCCAGGCACAGCCTGCTGTGCCCGCTGGGCCTCCTCCCGCCGCTCCACGAGGCCCTCCTCCTCCGCCACCACCTCCACCTCCGCCATTATGTCATCCAACAGCAGCACCGCCTCCTCCCCCAAAGCCGCCTGCTCACTCTCCACCCCGGCCGCCCCCTCCTGTACAGCCTCCATCCTGAAGGCGGTGCCCTCCTTGGCACTCGCACACACCAAGGCCTGTGCTGCCCGACCCACGCCACAGAAACCCTGCCGCAGCCTCTCTGGCACCCGGTAGGTCAGCGAGCCCTCAGGGCGCATGCGCCGGGCTTCCAGGCGCCCCCTAAGGGACTGCGCGCGAAGGGCCGGGGGGCCGCACCCAGGCCGACTTCCTCCCGTCGTGGCCAATCAATGGGAGGGCGGTGGGCGTCTCCCTGGGCGGCACAGCCACTGGCGGGCCTGCATCTCCAGCCCCCCCACCCCCCGCCTTCCCTGCCCAAGCCTCCTCCGAGAAGCCCTTGGAGCTTGTGCCGGGTAGCTAGGCATCCGGGCACACGCGGGCTGCGTGGCCTTTGGAATTGTGGGCATGGCAGCCCTGTGCCCTGACATCCTCAGTGTGGCAAGCCATGAACATCTCTATGTGTCATGAACACAGGAAACATCTCTCTTCGTTAGGCAGGCCAGGTAGATGGTACGGAGGTAATACAGCAGATGCAGAGAACTCTCTCTGGTTGCTGGGGCTAGGGCGGCAGGGGTGTCCTGGGGGAAGTGATCGGGGCGGGCACGTGGGAGGAAAGTCGCCTGCCGGTGCTGAGGTGGAATTGATCTGCTGTAGAGGCCAGAGCCCCGGCACACACTCTCACAGGTCGAGGCAAATAGAGGCTCCGAGTACCATGCTTCCTCCCTGAGGATGCTGTACTCCAAGGAGCATTCCAAAGGGCCTCTTGTCCTATGCCCTGGGCACACCAGAGGCCAGCCGCCAGGGTTGGCCATTGTCGGCCTGCGCGCACGCTGTTGTGCGCTGCCTTGACGACCCAGAGGCTCCCGCACCCGCAGCAGCGGTTGCGGTGCCTGTTGGTGGGGCTCTGCAAGCCCAGGGCCGGGGCCTCTGGCTCCCGAGCTCCTGTGCGCAGTTGAGCCTGCTGGGGACCGGAGCCCTTTGGCCAGTGCGGGATCTGCGGGTCCAGCGGAGCTCCTCAGGAAACCTGGGTCCACGTAGGTGTGGGACCAGGTTCACAGCAGGGCGACGCCCGTGGGTCTTGCAGGGAGCGGGTCTGCTGGGGAGCGGGCCCCCAGAGCCTACGGGTGCGGGGCATGGGCTGGGCTGGGCTGGGCTGCGCAGGCCCAGGGTCTGTGGGAGCACCCAGGAGAACCGTGTTCAGGCTGGAGGCAATGCTGGAGAGGACGGCCGGGGTACAGAGCAAGGAGGCGGCCTTGGAAGAGGAGGCGGTGCTGAAGGTGGAAGACATCATGGCTGAGGTGGAGGTGGTGGTTGAGGTGGAGCCCGACGTGGGGTGGCAGAAGGAGGGCCAGCGGGCACAGCCTGGCCCTGGACCGAGCACACCGGGGCCGTCAATGGACTCGCTGGAGGTCCTTCACTTGGAGCTGGGCTCCGTGAATGCCCCAGGCCACAGAGCATCTCCGCCTTGTGAGCCAGAGCCATATCCTTGCGGCTGCCGATTTGGGATGGCGGGCAGCAGGGGATAGTCATCGGGCCTCGGGGGGTATGGGGGCTGTTTGGGGGGAGGAGCCAGGTGGGAGGCACGTGGGGTCAGCCAGGAGGCAGGGGATGGGGGACAGCGTGGGAGCCGAGGCCACGTTCCCGCAGCTGTGAGGGCAGCTCGCTTGTAGCAGCCCTGGGAGCACGTGGTAGGGAAGGGGAGCCAGGGCCAGCACTGACAAGGGAGAATCGCGGCGCCAAGGTCCCTTTGCGCACAGCCCAAATTCGAAGGACGCGTTTCCCTGGGAACGTCCCTGGAGGACGGGGAATCTGTATGCCATTACCAGCCATTGAACCACCCCTGCTCTCGGTGCCTGTTTCCAGCAGGCTCACCCCAGAAACACAAGGTGCTTAAGACGGGTTCGCGGCGCATGGGGCTGCCGACCACCTGACGGCGGGCACCAGCTCCGCAGATGCGCATTCATCCAACTGCAGGCGCTGCACTCAAAGGCGTGTAGGCCCTGAGCCTGTATAACTTCCTCTGGACCCACGCAATTCCCTTGGAGAGCGCCAGGCACGACCCTGCTGTGGCTTCTAACTACAAGGCTTCCCTCAGGTGGACAGGCCCACCCCTCAGGGAGACTAGGATAAGAGGACACCACACACCCGGACATCAGCGGAGCATGTCCAGCACCCAGCACACAAAGGCCTCCTGCATCTCAGAAACCTCAGAGAAGCAGCCGCCTCACACCACCCCCGGTCCCTCCCGTCCCTCAGCTGCAACCACCTGCCCACTTTTTCTGCCTCCCGTCTCTGGTCAGCCCAGGCCGTCTTGGCCGGGGTCCACCCACTCCAAAAACCACCACAGTTGTGGCGTTGCCTCCTCGCCAGACAGAGATAGAGGGCCAACAATGAAGGGTGACTGGCCAAATGTCTGGGAGATGGCCCTGTTCCACATTGTCTGTGTTCTTGCGAAATTGCAAGGCGTCACGAGGCTTGCCCACCCAATCCTCTGGAGAGTTCTTGCGCAGAGGTAGATTGTTTGGCACACGAGATGTCGGCGTGGGTCGGAAAGCATGCGGAAGTCCTGCTTTGCTACGTGATGGATTTGCAGGTCAGGCTGGGGAGCCTGGGTCTGTGGGAGGAGTCCAGTGTCTGAGTCAGTTTGAGGTCCCCCTGGGGACCAGGGTTGTCTCAGTGGGAGAGCTGGGAAGGGGAAACTCATGGTTCACTACAGCTAGTAGGCCACCTCAGCCCAGCTAGTTGAGATGGTCCCATTGAATCCATCCTCTTTCTCCTTGATCCGGCAGGTGGAGGAACTCAGCCATCCCGGTTACCGGTGGCAGGATGATTTCCTTTCATCCCAACCTTTATTTCCACAGTGAAATCATCATGAAGGAGCACTGTGTTGGCATCCTCGGTAAGGAATGCCTCCCAGCATGGTAGGGGAGCTGGTGTGTGGGAGGGTGGGACTGGCATGAACCTTCCTGACTCCTCTCCCTGCAGGCTACAGGGTGTCTCATTCCACTGCAGTCCAGCGGTTCTGGGATCACGAAGGTCAAGCCTCCAGCTGCAGGCAGTACACCTCCTACCTGAGCTCATTCAGCTGTTTGGCTGAACATGACTGCCCGGGTTTTGGCAGGATTGCTGAGGTGGGGTTCGCCATGGGGCATCATGGGAAAGGACCTAGCTGGTCATTCCTTGGTCTCTGGGGAATTGGCTTTGAACTGTCACCTGAACTGTCCTGGACCCACTTCTGCAGTCCCCTAGATCATCAGCCAGGGCCTATGGCTCAATCCATTGCAGTTCTATCCCATGGAGAGAGAGGGTCAGCCCTAGAGGCGGAACAGAGAGGAGGCCAGGCGAGCAGCCTAGGGCTGGGAAGGGCTGGGAACTGAGAGGCCTTTTGACCTGGATCCGGGCCCCACATGGAGAACCCAAGGATCCGGGAGGAGACTGCAGTGAGCAATCCCAGGCAATCCGTGGGTTGGGGGAGAGAGGCCCATCAGGGACACGTAACACCCACATTTCAGGATCGGGGCACCTTAAGCCACTATGATGCATATGTGGCTAAAGTCAGTGGGTGACAAGCAGGGCTTAAGGGATAGCTGTCTCATCATTACTCGCCAGCTCCCTGCCCTGCGGTAAGACCTGCTACCACCTGGGGCTCATTTTGAGATCAACCAGGGCCCCCTTTTTCTCCACGAGGATGTCCACCTGAGGCCCACCTAGGTCTGTGTCCTTTCACAGTGTTTCTCCCAGGCCAGTCATGTTTTGTTTCCATGACCCCGGCTGCCTTGACATGTGTAATCCTCTCTGCCATCCTCACTCCCGCTGCCCTGCCTTCCCATATAAGTTAGTCCACCTCACACGGAATCTGGAGGACCACACTGGGCTCCAGTGTGAGGCAATGTTTTATTTTCTTCAGGTACATGTATTTTAGGGCTACCTCCAGGGCTGGGAATGTGAAGAGATTGCCAAATGGCTGGGGACCTTCAGTGTGTGTCCAGGGAGGGAACCCGGCTGGGAATTAAGGCCCACCTGAGTAATGGTATGGACATCCAGTGTCAGTTATCTTGATAAAGGCCTGCTTTCTTACATCACCTACTATTAATATAAAAGTTAATTCCTTAGAATATTGAAAAAACAAATCTATGTATGAAGAAATATAATTTGTTCATAATTGTATGGAAAAAACTGCCGACTGATCCATTTTCCATTACAATTCTTATGGGAGACTTGAAGTGTTCAGCAAGTTTTAAGATGCATTTCTATTCGTCTACTCCTGCCAGTTTTTATGATCATTTTTGTAATACAAGGACATGGCCTCTGGAAAGTTTTTGAGGGACTTTCAGCTTCTTTTAGGGTAGATACTTGTAAATTTTGAATTGTTTTCCCCTGCGGTTCTTTTGAGGTTACTCTTCGTACTTTCTTTGGGGGGTGTTAAATTTGTTTTCTTGTTTTGCCCTTGTGGAACTTTCGTTTTCAAGGAATTGTGTGTGTGTGTGTGTGTGTGTGTGTGTGTGTGTGTGTGTGTGTGTGTTAGATATGGGAGTTAGCCTGTGAGCATGTTTTCGAATACGGATTTTTTTTTTACTTATCAATTTTGGGGGTGTGTGTGTGTGTGTGTGTGTGTGTGTGTGTGTTTGTTTCTTTTCAGTTGGAGTCTCACTGTGTCATCCAGGCTGCAGTCAAGTGGCAAACTCTCAGATCACTGCAACCTCTCCCTCCAGCTTCAAAGGATTCCTCTGCCTGCTGATGCTGCTTTTCCCCCACATGAGGAGAACATGCAGACAGTTATAAAAAATTCTGTGCCTGGGTAGGTATGAAAATATAATTTCAATGAATGGTAAATTTCACAAATACAGTTTCACATTTGTATTTTGCAACATTTTGAAAATTTTAGTTGCTGACACATGAAATTCTGTGTTGACTTTCATGTTAAATGTACACTTTTGAATCAATTTCAACAGTGACAACTAGCGAAGGCCAAGCGTTCGTTCAGGAAGCTGAAAGCAGTCGTTCTGTAAAAAAAACGATATTTATTGAAGGTATATTTAGAGAGATTTTAGAAGGCTTCAGTCAATATTTTTGTTTCTGTTGCTCTGGTGTTTTATCATACAGGGACCAGACTGTAGCATCAGTAGCTATAGTTACAAGGCTACCAAAGACTCAGTGCTATAGAAATTATTATTGTGGAAATTGGCAGCCTGGCTGTCTGTTTGAGGAGACTAGAGGACTTAGGAGTTTCCACCCAAAGTACAAGGGCCTGGTTTAGTGGGTGGCCTTCTTTTGCTGAAGTAGATAAGATCCAGGAGAAGGGTGGATTCACTGTAGTAGCCAGGGCTTTGAGACTGGTAAAGCTTATTTGTCTCCTAGTGCCATTGCCAGATATTGGTCTGTGCATAAAGGCACTTCCCCGACTCGCTGACTCCTGTAAATTCAAATGTAGAATTTAGATTTAAATCCCTATTCCAACTTCTTAAACTTAGATCTAATAGGTGGGTAATAAAATATGTATTCAGAAGAAAGGGAGACGTCAGGTAGGTATATAAGCAAATCATCCTGGTCAAATACCTTCAAAAATATTACTACAAAAAATTACTGAAGATTAAACCTTAAAAAAGTTATTTTAATTGGAGAAACAGAAAAAGGTTGGAGTCATTTTAAACCCTGAGGTGTAAAGGTACTGTTATTAGATTACAGGAATTATATACAATGAATAATTTGTGGGAAGAGCAGCATACTATCTCTTTAGTATGGCTAGAGATTCATAAGCCGTGTAAGAAAACTCAGAGATTGAGAAGAAAATGTTTTCAGGGATTTTGTTCTGTTATGAAAGACTTTTAAAATGGTTTCCTACTGATCAAGGATTCACTTATATTTATCACTGAGGCATATGCTATATACCCTTCTATATAGGGATGAAGTTATAGTTTCTATCATGTAGATACAAAAACATGTGACTCTGTACCACATTTGCATTAGAGCCTTTGGCATGATTAATGAAGCAAACGGTGGAACTGTCTACGTCAGGTTACAGGTGGGCACAGCTGGAAGCTTCCGTCCCTTGCACTTTAACATTTCTGCATTCTCATCTGTCTCTCCTGGAAAGAAAACGGACTATAACTATCCTAAAGGACATATGTTACATGAAGACACTAAGTATTGAGATAAGACCATGAGTTGTCTTATCAGTGTCTTGGCATTACATTTATATGTATAACTTATACAAAAAATCCAGTTTATTTTATCACGATTACATATTACATCCCACATTTATGTATTTTATTATCTTTCCAGTGACTGTTTTGTTTTGTTTTGTTTTGTTTTGTTTTGAAATCTCGTTCCACTCTGTCACTCAGTCTGGAATGCAGTGGCCTGATCTCAGCTCACTGCAACCTCCATCTCTTGGGTTCAAGGATTTTAAAAATTAGTAAAGAATTTTCAATTGAGTTAGCAGAAGTAAAAATAAACTTAAGTGGAAATAGAACAACAAAATTGTAAACACTATTTCTCAGCAATTCATAGATTATCATACTAGGAATTGAAATGTACTTAGAACTCAATGATACCGCCAATATTAAAGATTAAATCTGTGAGTAGCAAGAAAAGTGATATTACAATAGGAGTTTACAGACAAATATTTCTCTAATAACTTGAAAATTAATGTACTAGATATTTCAATAAAGAATTAGAAAAGAAACAACAGAATCAATTCTGAAAAACTAAAGTGTGGGAATAATGATGTAGACAAAATTAGTAAAACATACAAAGCTAACCTTTGCTTGTTGGAGAAATATAATAAATGATGCAACCGTCAGTCAAGTTTAGAAAAAAAGGGAGAAAACATAGATAAAACTAAGAATTTAAAAGGTACACAACCATAGATACAGCATAGATTAAGAAGCTAATAAGGAAATATCATTAACACCTTAACCTACAAATTTGAAAACTTAGATCAAATAGACAGATATTTATAATCTGTCTATATATATAGACATATATATCGCTTTCTATATATATTTTCATATTTATACATAATTTTTATATTTGTATCTTACATTTATATATATAATATATAAACATAAGCTATGTATATAGCTTAGTAAAATTGATACAAGAAGACATATATAATCTGTATAGTCTCATAAATGTTCAAGGAAATAAAGGATTCTTCCTAGAGATAAAACGCTAGGCTCAGATTTTTTTCCCCAGGCAGAGCATTTCAATATATATGAAGAATTCTATAGAATAAAAAAGGGAAAATCCTAAACTCATTGTGTGAAGCAAGCAGAACTTTGACGCCAACAAGCCATAAACTGAGTGTAGAAAAAGATATGAAAATTAAGGCCATTCTCATTCCTGAAGCAAATCGTAAAATCCCAAATGTAACAAGATTTATGTGGATTCTTTGAGGGTTAGAAGGAAATTTCCTTCTGCCAGATCCTGCTACTCTGGGACAACCCACACACAAATTTATGTTTTGAGATTTTCTGTAATACCCATGCAATATGGAACTGGCTTGACAATCTGTGTGATAGCCAGCCTGTGGCCATGACTTCTCAGGGACACAAATCTTTTCTGTTTGCCTCCTTGTTCTGCTCAGCTCCAAGAGAACTTTGACCAAAGTTCCTTGAGCTTGGAAATAGGAATGGGTTTGCTTCTGTTTCACCCTTACTGTGAAGATACAGTCCGGTGGAATCCAGATCCACTGGGAGAGAGTCGGCTATTAAACTCTTTTCATGAGTAGTCCCTAGGCCTTGACTGGAGTCTTTCTTGAGATATGAGGCTAATAGTTCCTTCTTGGTCCACCACTTTTTGATATAATTAATGCTTCTTCTATTGGGAATTTTTAATTGTTTGGGAAGTGACATGGTTTGGTGTGTCTCCATTCAAATCTCAGCTTCAATTGTATCTCCCAGAATTCCCTCGTGTTGCGGGTGGGACCCAGGGGGAGGTAATTGAATCATGGGGGTCGGTCTTTCTCATGCTATTCTTGTGACAGTGAAGAAGTCTCACGGGATCTGATGGGTTTTTCAGGGGTTTCTGCCTCAGGTTCTTCCTCATTCTCTCTTGGCATTGCCATGTAAGAAGTGCCTTTATTCGTATACCATGATTCTGAGGCCTCCACAGCCATGTGGAACTGTCAGTCCAATTAAACCTCCTTTTATTCCCAGTTTCAGGTATCTCTTCTTCAGCAGCGTGAAAATGAACTAAGACAGGAGGTTTGGTCCAAATAACCTTGGCTTCCATGACAGAAGATAGAAGTTGCTGAAATGTTTAATCTTTTCTGTGGCAACCTTTTGCAGTGGGTCTTATTTTTCTCATTTTTTTTTTCTTGTTCTCTTCACCTTTGTTTCTCACAGGGTACTCTCGCTCTGTAGACCAGGCTGGAGCGCAGTGGCAGGATCTCAGCTCAACACATCCTCCGCCTCCCAGGTTCAGCCTCTGCAGTAGCTGGGATTACAAGCATGCATCACCACGCTCAGCTAATGTTTTGTATTTTTAGTAGAAGCCAGGCTTCACCATGTTGGCCAGGCTGCTCTCCTACTACAGATCTCAGGTGACCCGCCCGACTCAGCTTCCCAAAATCCAAAGTGCTGGGAATACAGGTGTGAGCCACCGAGCCCAGCCAACTCCAGTACTTTTTACCTAAGCCAGTGGACGAGTGGAGTTGCCTTTATTTTTTTTTTCATGGTCTCGCTGTGTCATCCAGGCTGGAGTGCAGTAGTCTGATCTTGGCTTACTATACAATCTCTGCCACCCATGTTCAGGTGGTTCTCCTGCCTCAGCCTCCCAAGTAGCTGGGACCACAGGAAAGTGCCACTAGGTCTGGCTAATTTTTGTATTTTTGGTAGAGACAGCTTTTTGCCATGTTGCCCATGCTGGTCTCCAACTCCTGACCTCAAGTGACCCACCAACCTCGGCCTCCCAAAATGTAGAAATTACAACAAGAGCCACGAAGCCTGGCCTGGAGTTGTGGCTTTTTGACATAAGAAATCTGTGGAGGGAAAAGCTTGGTTTGTGGGAGCACCCGAGCTCAGTTTGGCTCAAAGGTTTGGGATACCTATTATTGAGTGGCAGTGATGGTATGTTGTTAATGTACAATATGTTCCTGTATATAGCATACGTCTATGCTCATCAGATATTTTCAGGTAAAAAAAAGATAGTCTTTCCAGTAGTTTGAGCCATTATAGCAATTTCCACCAGGGGATTTCAAAGTCCAATTCCAGTTGTGGGCAACAGTGATTAACATAATGGTAATTAATGAGAAGAGATTTTGAGACGTCCAGCCACGTTTCCATGTCAGTGCCTTGTTTGCAGTATTATGAAGAAAGAGTGCATTGGACTAGATACTAAGAAAAACATTGAATTATTTTTCTTGCCTCTATAACATCAAAGGACAATTAGAGATATAGAAACTATGGAACATTTCACAGCATGGCTTGACATTTCACTGAACTTTTATCCTTTTAACCATGTACAAAGTTTGTTACCTATGCAAAGGTAGGACTGCAAAAGGAAGACAGAGGTGGAGTCAGAGGTCACAATCCACAGCAAGGTGACACTCTTGTTGATTGCACCTTGAAAGCCAAATTAGAGCGAGAATTAACTTTCCGGTTGCCGTAAGAGAACAAGGAGAATGAAGCTACCAGCAGTTAACAGTATTGGATTAATTGAAATGAAGGTGGACAGAGTTTTTTGGCTTTCCATCAAATTGAGTAAAGAAAAGGTAACCGCTTATCTAATTTCACACACATACAATTATGGATTAATTAAAAGATTACACAACCCATATATTATGGGTTTCTCATATAAGTGTATATATACATGGGCAAACTCACAGTGTGCCAGTATGTGTCTATATCCAAATATATACAAATCCATGTCCAACAGTTAGCAAGTGAGAAATTCTCTTCCATTTCACCATTCCCTTTCCTAGAATTTTTTCATAAATATAATTTTTCCATATATTTGAAGCCTACTCTCTGGAGGCATGTAATGCATGCATGCAGTAAACCTGTGCGACATCACAATGTTGGTGTCAGAGAAAACTATAACACCGATGTTATAAAAGATTAATTGTGAGGAGAAAGTTATGCTTCGCATTACTACAAATACACAAGTATGATTTCATCCAAAGCTGAAATCAGTCAATATAATTTGTTTTTAATGTTTTATTTAAAATCCTTAATTTCAACAGGATTACTCAAGAAAAATAACGTTATTGGTATTAAATAATGTTGACGTATTCCCTTTAATTGTTGATTATTTAAAATGTCAGTAAAATAGTAAATGGCACTGTACAATGTAGTTTCATGAAGCATTCTTTATAGTTTTCATAAAATTGATAGTCTCCATGGAATATTTTAAGACTGAGGAAGTTCCATATATCATTTGATTGTACTTTCACTTTATTACTTGCTTGCATGTCATAACTGATGGAAATAAAACTATGTATATTTACAAATATGAAAAACATGGATTTTTGTTTACGTTTTCTAGTGAGACACAGTTACCAACAATTTTATCTATATAGGAAAATTTTTACAAACCCAAAGTTCTAATGTTTCTTTTCTTTGAAGTTTCGTATTTCAGTCTAGGTATGTAATGGAATTGGCTGTGATCATTCTTTGATTTCACTGTTATTTGTGAGTTTCTGATATGCTTTTAGGAATGAATAGAGTTTAACGCTTGCTTTCTTCTTCTTCCTCTACCTTTGGACCTGTATATGCGATGTCTGCAGTAATGTGCAGTGCTATCTGACATACGGTTGCTGAAAGATACAAGCATATATAGAATTCTTCGTTTCAGTGAATCTTTAGGAACAGACAAGTAACCTGAGAGATAATTACGGTATGAATGTAAGCAAGCAGTTTATCATAGAGGTACAATAAGGGTGAAAATAAATTTAAAAATACATGCCTCATCCAAAACATGAGGTAGTAAAAATGAAAAATTTAAGTTGGCATAAAGAACACTTTAAAAGTTCTGATTCTTTCTGGTGAGAGCAAGGAGCTCAGAAACCATGAGAAAGTCCTTCAAAGCTGCATGTTGGATTTGCAGGTCAGGATGGAAAGCCTGGGTCTGGGGGAGGGTGCTAAGGTCCTGGTCAGGTTGAGGTCCTTCTGGGGCTCAGGTGTGTCTCAGCGGGAAAGCTGGGAAGGGGAAACGCATGCTTCACCCCGGCTAGAGTGCCACCTCAGCCCACCTAGATGAAATTGCCCCTTCACAGCCCTGTTTCTCCTTCTTGGACAGGCAGGTGGAGGAACTCGGCCACCCTGAATACAAGGGGTAGGAAGAAGTTTGCCTTTCATCACAACATTTACTTCGGAAACAAAGTGATGACTAAGGAGTATTGCGTTGGCATCCTCCCTGAGGAGTAGAGGGGGTAGTACCTCGGGAGCTGGGCCTGGCGTGCGCCTTCCTGACTCGTCTCCCTCCAGGATACAGGGCGACTGGCTCCACTGCAGTCCAGTGGTTCTAGGGTCATGCAGGTGAAAGCCCGAGTTTCCCGCAGGTCACTGCCTGAGCTTCTTCAGCTGGTTGTCTGACTGTGAGGGCCCAGGTTACGGCACGATTGCTGAGGTGGGACAGCTATGGGACATCATGGCAAAGGACCTTCTTCGACATTCCTTGGCATCGGAGGAATTGGCTTTGAACCAGAACCTGACCTGTCACGACCAATTTGCCCAGTCCACCAGATCATCAGCCAGGGCCTGTGGCTCTATATTCTGCAGCACTACCCAAGGGAGTTAGGCCCTCAGAGAGGGAACAGAGAAGAGGCCAGGGAAGCAGCCCAGGGCTGGGGGTTGACAGGCCTGTGGGTCCTGGAGTTAGGACACACATAGAGAAGCCAAGGCTCAGGGAGGAGACTGCAGTAAGGAAACTCAGGCCATCATGGGCTGGTGGAGAAATGCCCATCAGGGAACTGTGGTACCCACATTTCACGATGGGGGAACCGTAATCTGCTTAATAGGCATAAGTAGCTAAGGTCAATGGGTGGGAAGCCAGGGTCAAGAGATAGCTGCCTCATCATCCCTTGCTAGCTACTTCCCTGTCCTGAGGCTTGCTTCTACCTGGGGTTCAGTTTGGGCTCAACCAGGGATCTCTCACCCTCCACACAGATGCCCACCTGAGGCCTCTCTAGGTCTGCGTCCTCCCAGAATGACTCTCCCAGGCCTGCTAAGTACCGTTTGGATGACACCACGCTCCACTGACATGCTTGGTTCCCTCCGCCATCCTCATTCACCCAGCAACTCCCCACCCCAAAAAAGGCAGGCCACCGCACAGGGAATCTGGAGGACCACACAGGGCTCACAGGGGAGGAAATGTGAAGAGATGGCAAAACAGAACAGGACATTCCGTGTGTTTCCAGAAGGCAATCTGGCTGGATATTAAGGCCCACCTCAGTATTGGTGAGGACACCCAGTGTCTCTTGGCCCTGAGCATGTGCACACAAACACGCACATTGTCTAAACGGCATTGACATCACTACTACCTGAGTCATCCTCAGATTCTATACAACCCCTGTAAAAATATCAATGACACATTCTTCTTAGAAAACAATCTGGGAATCCCAAATTTGCTATGAAATGGCAGAAGATCCTGAAAACCCAGAGCAATCCAGTAAAAAGCACAAAGCTGGAGCCACCCCACTACCTAACTTCATGATATACTACTACAAAACTTTTTGTACCAAAATACAATAGCGCTGGCAGAAAAGCAGAGACTAGAGCTTAGGAAAAACAACAGGAGCCCAGAACTAAGTCACTGCATTTGCAGCTCACAGCCTTTTCCCAAAGAAGCAAGAACGCCCAATGCAAAATCAAGTATCTTCTATAAACTAGGTTGGGGAAATCTGAATAGCCACACAAAGGATTTTACAAGTGGATTATTTATCACCAAACTCCAGTGTCAGATGTGAAACGATAAAAATAGCAGAAGAGATCACAAGGAAGCAGCTCCATGGCGTCCGTGTGTGCAATGATGGTCTCAAAGTGACTGCAAGAACACAGTAAACACCATCAAAAATAGAGAATGGAATCATATCAAACTAAAGTGCTTCACCACACCATAGAAAACTCAACATACAGAAGGGGCATCCTACAGGATGGGAGCAATGATTGGATCACCATACATCTGTTCATGGGGGAATAGTCACAGTACATAAGGAACTCCCAACAACTCAATAGCATGAAAACAAATGGGCGAAGGCTGCGAAGACTCATTTGTGAAACTGAGACATACAGTTGCCCAGAAGACACACTAAAAATTCCTCATTATCCCCAATCCATCACGAAAATGCAAATCAAAAACACAATGAGATTTCTTCTCACTTCAGTCAGAATGCATATTATCCGAAAGACAAACAAACAAAAAAAAAAAAAGAAAGAAAAGAAAACCCTAATCTCTGGTGAGGAGGCAGAGAAAACGAATTCCCTGCTCACTTTTGGGGAGAATGTAAATTAGTGCTGGCATTAAAGAAGCTTTATGGCTCTTATTTAAGTATAAACAGCCTTCAGAAATCTACAAGTAGAACCACCCACTATATGATCCAGCAAATCAGAATACCCGGGCACGCCCGCCAGTACACAGATCAGTATGTTGAAGCGGTGCGCGCACCCATGCAATTATTGCTGCACTCATTACATTTTTGCTGTAGCCAAAATGCGGAAGCAACCTGAGTGTCCCTCCATTGATAAGTGGATTAAAAAATGGGGCAAAAACGCATATGCGCAACGGAAATATGCGCTGCAATAAGAAATCAGGAAATCCTGCCAGTTGTGAGAATGTGTGGGAATCTGCTGAATGTGTGCATGCCATTCTGTTAAGTGACATAAGCCAGGTATCAGAAAGGAAAATAGCACATGATCTCATTCTTATATGAAATCAAAAAAGCGGACTTCACAGAAGTAGTGACTCCAATGACTGCGGTGAAGAGGGTGCACTGACGAGATGCTGGATGAAGAACTCATACTTCTAGTTATAAAGGAGGAATAGGTTAAAAATATTTTCTTCAGCATGCTCACTATAACTAGTGGTAACATATTCTTTCTCTAAAAATATTCGAATACAGTGCAGGTCAAGTTTTTTCACAACAAAAATGACAACTATGTGAGGTCACACATATGTTGATTGGCTGGATGTATCCAATGCATAATGTATATGACCTGTTGAACATCACGCCTTAAGTTGTAAATATGTATCATTTCATATGACATTTTTTAAACAAACATACAATTTTTAAAATGCCTTAACAAAATAAATGCAAATAAAATATTTTATTATAAAGCAGTGCTTTTCTTTTCTAGCAAAGTCTTTTTCATGACACAGGAAAGAATGCAAGCCGTTTCGTAACTTGAGAAATAAATACATATGTGTACATGTATATATATACGTATATACATGTATATACGTATATAAATGTGCATATATACGTATATACATGTATATACGTATATATGTGTGTACATAGGTATTCTTATATAGGTATATATATATATGAAAATCCCAATGAATGCTGATGATGAGTTGAAAGATAGAAATTCCAGGCACAGAGGCTATAGTCCATGAATTGAAACCTTCAGTGCATGTTTCAAAACAAGACGTGAGGAGGAGGAAGAAAAAAGCAAAAAACACAAAGCCATGGCAGGGCCATGGGTCACACCTGTCATCCCAGCACTTTGATAAGCTGAGGTGGGAGGATTGCCTGCACTCAGGAGTTCCAGATGAGCCTGGGGCAACATGGACCCACATTCAAAAAGTAAGTATTTAGTTAATTAATACATAGCTTGGAGGGGTGGCATGCACCTGTACTGCCAGGTGTGTGAGAGTCTGAGTTGACAGGATCACATGGGTGTGTGGTGCCTGGGCTGCAGTGGGCTGAGATCGTGGGGCTGCTGTCCAACCTAGAAGACAGAGTAAGACCCATTCTCGGAAAACAAACAAAAAAACAGTCACATTAGGTAAATTAAAACTATGTAGTGTGAGGAGAATCAAAATAAACGAAACATCATTAGAGCCTACGCGATGTGATGAAGGAAACCAGCTTTCACATAATAACAGCCCCGGCTGGGGAGAACAATGAGAAAGGGCAGAGAGAACCCTGTAAATAATACCACGCCAAATTCCCCAAATGAGTTAAAACACATAAAAGTACGAAGAGTGCTTCTTTTCAATTCAATGCCCTTGAATTCAGAATTAGAAAGTAAACCCAGATAGAGAATAGAAAGATAGACGATACAGATGGAGAGAGTGTGGTGGGGAAGCAAGGGAAGGATGAAAGGGGTGTAAAGGAAGGAAAAGAAAAAAGGAAGGGAGAGAGAGTGACAGATGTTCAAAGACACAGATACAAAGTCTACAATGGTTGTAGAGATAGGCATGTGCAAATTGTCGCAGGGAGTGTGGAAAAATATCGGAACCACGGAGACACAGGTGGAGTCAGAGAAAATATACAAACCCGCACAGAGAAATAAACATACGCAACCACAAACACACACGTGCTACTTTAAACACGAAAAGACACCAAGTCCCTGTCGGTACAAATCACAGATGTGCTTCCGAGTTACTGAGGCACGGTGCAAATTT
This sequence comes from Homo sapiens, assembly GCF_000001405.40. Taxonomy (NCBI): domain Eukaryota; kingdom Metazoa; phylum Chordata; class Mammalia; order Primates; family Hominidae; genus Homo; species Homo sapiens. Next base: position 513,979 of record NW_025791821.1, on the reverse strand, counting down.
GTCAGTGCCCTTAGCATCTGTGGCCCACGTGCACGGATATTCAGTGGAAGAAGCATTACACAGCCTGTATAATTCAGCACGATCTGTGATAATACCAGAAGAAGGGATCTCATGTGAAATCACTAGACTGAATTGCACGTAGGATTCAAGGAAGAAGCCCAGTCTGCTGCATTCACTCGGTGGGGTGGCAATATGGCTGAGCCACCAACCCGTGGCACGCCCATCCATCGTAGACAGTTCCTGGTTTGCTACCTGCCTTGGAAAAAGCTCCTCCCCTACCACCACTTTAAAACAGGCTAGCTCCAAAACTAGCCCTGGCATCTATTTACGGTCATTTTCTTATCTATTTACCTCCTAGAAAAATCATTGCAAGACCCTTTCCTCAACATTTTCCTATGCCTTAAATTTGGGGCAACACGTTTTAAGACGACCTCGTTATAGGCAAGTCCCCAGACGTTTCCTAATCTGAGTTGCCCAGAGTGCACACACCAATCTGTTGCCCCATTGCCGCTATAGGGATACCGTACTGGACCACAGTGTCTTTGACATGCACACAGTAGGATACAGGGCAGCTTGAGGGGGCCAAAGGGTTCCGACTGTTTTCAGAATAATTTGCTTAGAACACCTGTTTCTCCTGTGTTTGTGGGTCAGGGGGACGGTAGTCAGAGGAGGACAAGACTCCCGCTCCAGAGCTTCAGAGGTCTGCATAGGAGCAGGGACAAAACCGGGCGATAGATTTTCAAAGCTCAACTGCTTTGACACCGAGCAGGAGGGGTAGAATGCATATTGCAGGCACCACAACAGATTCAGGAACTTTGACTGTCAAACCCTCTTCCCTGAAACAACATAGCTCTTCTCACAGAAGCTGTGCTGACCAGAGTCTATACGGGACAGCAATGTTAGCACTCTAGTAGCGTGTGGTCAACATGGATGCTCGTGTTGGAACTGTTTCATCTGGGAACAGGAAAGAAAGTTCTGCCTCCGACACTGAAATCCTCCTGCCCCATCCTTGACAGAGGCAACCCCTTGTCTTGTGCAGACACACGTGTTCCTGGGAAGCAGCCTCCCACTCGCGAATGAAAGCTGTATGTTTTGTCCTCCTGTGTGAGGCTTGCAAAACATATTCCGCAACTATATTCGCTTTACGTTCTAAACCTTAGGCAAACTATGCTGAAGAGGCCACAGAAAATTTAGGGGCCCTGGGCTCCAGATACAATCTGCAGTGCCAATCACGAGGGAGAATAGAGCCTCACTAGACTTTGCAAGAGCACAAAATGCACTCGTACTGTTGTTAGCTACATACGTTATTGGCTCCTCACCTAACACAGAATCTTGGAGAAAAGCTTAAAACAACTAAAGATGTAAACATCAACAAGAGTGTCCATATCCTGGGTCATCAAGTGACAAGAGAGTCCATGGATGGATTCTCCAACAATCTTATATTCCACTAATCCACCCCCTTTCCCCTCACTTCTGTAAGTTTCTGTTTTCCCTTAGTCATCTATGCCAAAAGCGTATCCTGAATGCCTTCCCACATGCCTCTGTCACCTTTCCCACAGTCCCTCCATACACCTTACATGCCCATTTCTTCTCACGTTGATGTTTCAGAAGTCCTGAGAGGCTGATTGTCCCAGAAAAGGATCATGCATTCACCTTTAAAAGAACATGTGGATTCAACACGAAAGCGAACTTTAAGATTTCCATCATCCTGTGCTTAGCTACTGTGTATGATGATACCCAAAATGAAGGATTTTGGAGGTCCCAGCAAACTGGGCCCTGGAAACCCAGTAACCCCTTTCCTTGAACTATCTCTGCTTCCACAGGACGAAGTCAGCCTCCAACTAAGCTGTCTTTTGCTTTTACCTCTCCCACTCTGTCCTGTAGGAAGAATCCCAACACATCCCACACCCATTCACTCTACAACTTTAGAGGCCCAGCTCCAACGCAGACTGGTTATTTCCATTAAGAGAATAAAGCACGTGGATTGATCAATTCATTATGACACCCGAATAAAGTGGATAAACATACACACACACACACACACACAAACTCAAAGACACACACACACACACAGACACAGAGTCACACATCCTTGAGAATGTTTATTTTTCATTCCATACAATCCACATTTACCCCCTCTTCCTGAATTTTTGTGACTCGATCTCTTTTTCCTTTAGTTCCTGTGCATAAGACCATGCTGAGTACTGCCGTCCTGCATATGGCTGTAACTTTTTAGGAGTTCTGCTGTATTAGGTAAAATCTGATGCTCCATCATATTCAACTCAACAACTGGGAGTCCCCTAGAGAAACACAAACTCATGTTAAAACGCATTTTCTCTGAGCCATACTTTGAAATGTTTCAATTGTGGGGCCCGCTGAGAAAAGGATATCCCTTCCCCATTTGTGATCCCTTAAACTTCCTCCTACCACGTGTTACAAACTGTTCTGCGCAATCCCTGCCCCATTCCCAGTATTGTCTGTGAGGGGAGTCAGCTAACAAGATGCACTGGGCCCTAAAAGCACACACAAGTCTGATGGGGCAACAGCTTAAGGAAATCCATCAATCTAAACAGTCCTTTGTGGTTTGGGGCAAGGATGACCAGGACGCACATTCAGGGAGCCCAATCTCATGGGGTTGGTGGGATGACTGCCGGTGGGGTTGACAGCCGTGGAATCAAGTGCCACAGACTGAACTGAATGATTTTCAGCTTTACTTCTCATTGATTCTGGAAATGGACGATTCTTCACTGGGCTTAAGACTCCACAGCTATCACCCGCTTTGCAGTGCAGTCTCTAACGTGCCTTTTCAGCCCAATGCCATGAACGTCCTGGATTCTGTCACTCTCTGTCTTCCTCTCAAGGAATTTCTACATGTACGAAAGGAGCCTCAATTTCTACATTTCTGAAATGAGCACCCAGGCTCCCTGAATAGGCAGGTGTGTCAACCCCCTTATACTGGGCATCAAACAGCTCCAGTGCCAACTAACGGCTCACCTGACGTCTCTGTTCCCTCTTCAGGTGGCTTCATCCTCTTGTAGTATTGCAGGGGATTGCGCCACAGGTCCTTACATAGGATCTGTCAGGGGACTCAATCGGGAAAGGCCTCATCAGGGCTCAGAAAGGTGACCCAAGCAGCTGGGAACACACGGGGTCATTCCTCATGTTTCCCAGTGAGGACTCACCTCAGCAATCTTGTTAGATCCTGCGAAGTTGTGGTCAGAGAACCAGTTGAAGAAGTTAAGGCTGCTGTTGTGGTGTCTGCGGCGATAGGCCTCCACTTCATAATCCGGATACCACTCAATTGGAGTGGAATGAGAAGCCCTGTATTCTACAGAGACAGGAGTTTTTGTGGGAAGGGGGCTGGATCCCGTTGGCAATGATCCACCCACCATCTTCCTTCCACTACCCATCCTGGGAGCCACCTGTCACCTGTGATGTTCACCAGATATTCCTTGGTAATCACTTTATTCTGGAAGTAGGGGTTACTCCGAAAGAACAACATGATCTTGCAGAGATGAACAGGATGCTTCTCTTCTTCCACCTGTCAGGACAAGGTGGAGAAAGCTTAGATAGGTTTTCGGGTGAGGTGCTCACTCTTGCTTACAGGAATGAATTATTTCCCTTACCCTCCCCCGCTAAACCCTCTAGCCCCAGTCTTCCTGGCCTCACCTCCAGGCTGACCATGTAGCTCAGCATGTCTTCATCTTCGTCAGTGATCAGGGCTGACATCTGGGGGTGGTTTGCAATCTGATTTAGGTCAAAGAGACTTTACACACGATGGAAGGGAAAGCGAGGAGCAACAGGGAAGAAGGCCTAAGAGCACCCAGAGGCTGGGGTAGGGGATTTCTCAGATCTGCTTCCATGTATGATCTCCTTTCGCCTCCCCGTCCCCGTAAACTAAGGCCTCCTGTGTTCACAGAGGGTGTATGATTCTGAGGCTGACTGCACTGACATGGGGAGGCGCGATTTGCAGAGACTTGCTGGTGTCTGAGGAGTGGCAGAATCTGCTTATAGCCGAAGACGCCCAGTCCCAGATCGGACTAGCAAGGGGCAGCAATCACACTCCCTTAAAAATAGCTTCATTCACTGAAAAACCTCTTCCGCTCTGAACTCGCTTCTGCTCTTCAAAAAGATGCCCCAAACGTCTGCTGCTCGGCATCACCAAGGGTTTCTCTGCCGCATGCAGGACAATAGTACCCACGCCTGCTCCGGCTTTCCACAGCCACACTGGTCCGTGGCAACTCCCCTTTGTTCCCCAAAGAGTCACATCGACGCCGAGCTGCCCATCGGTCACTTACACTTCCCCGAGAGCACCTCTCCACTAGAAAGGCCGAAGAAACACTGAGAAGGATACAACATTGGCCCAGAAGCCAGGGACGCTCTGGATGACGGCGCCTCTGCGGTCTAGCTGGGGCTTGCGCCTCCGCTCCATCTTTTCCCGCTGCCGAGAAAAGGCCTTCCTGGCTTGGGCATTAACCGGCTCCAGCTCCACCTGAACGGCCAGCAGCTCCTCCAGTGCAGACTCTGGGGTCATGGGCCCAGGGCCAGGCACAGCCTGCTGTGCCCGCTGGGCCTCCTCCCGCCGCTCCACGAGGCCCTCCTCCTCCGCCACCACCTCCACCTCCGCCACCACCTCCACCTCCGCCATTATGTCATCCAACAGCAGCACCGCCTCCTCCCCCAAAGCCGCCTGCTCACTCTCCACCCCGGCCGCCCCCTCCTGTACAGCCTCCATCCTGAAGGCGGTGCCCTCCTTGGCACTCGCACACACCAAGGCCTGTGCTGCCCGACCCACGCCACAGAAACCCTGCCGCAGCCTCTCTGGCACCCGGTAGGTCAGCGAGCCCTCAGGGCGCATGCGCCGGGCTTCCAGGCGCCCCCTAAGGGACTGCGCGCGAAGGGCCGGGGGGCCGCACCCAGGCCGACTTCCTCCCGTCGTGGCCAGTCAATGGGAGGGCGGTGGGCGTCTCCCTGGGCGGCACAGCCACTGGCGGGCCTGCATCTCCAGCCCCCCCACCCCCCGCCTTCCCTGCCCAAGCCTCCTCCGAGAAGCCCTTGGAGCTTGTGCCGGGTAGCTAGGCATCCGGGCACACGCGGGCTGCGTGGCCTTTGGAATTGTGGGCATGGCAGCCCTGTGCCCTGACATCCTCAGTGTGGCAAGCCATGAACATCTCTATGTGTCATGAACACAGGAAACATCTCTCTTCGTTAGGCAGGCCAGGTAGATGGTACGGAGGTAATACAGCAGATGCAGAGAACTCTCTCTGGTTGCTGGGGCTAGGGCGGCAGGGGTGTCCTGGGGGAAGTGATCGGGGCGGGCACGTGGGAGGAAAGTCGCCTGCCGGTGCTGAGGTGGAATTGATCTGCTGTAGAGGCCAGAGCCCCGGCACACACTCTCACAGGTCGAGGCAAATAGAGGCTCCGAGTACCATGCTTCCTCCCTGAGGATGCTGTACTCCAAGGAGCATTCCAAAGGGCCTCTTGTCCTATGCCCTGGGCACACCAGAGGCCAGCCGCCAGGGTTGGCCATTGTCGGCCTGCGCGCACGCTGTTGTGCGCTGCCTTGACGACCCAGAGGCTCCCGCACCCGCAGCAGCGGTTGCGGTGCCTGTTGGTGGGGCTCTGCAAGCCCAGGGCCGGGGCCTCTGGCTCCCGAGCTCCTGTGCGCAGTTGAGCCTGCTGGGGACCGGAGCCCTTTGGCCAGTGCGGGATCTGCGGGTCCAGCGGAGCTCCTCAGGAAACCTGGGTCCACGTAGGTGTGGGACCAGGTTCACAGCAGGGCGACGCCCGTGGGTCTTGCAGGGAGCGGGTCTGCTGGGGAGCGGGCCCCCAGAGCCTACGGGTGCGGGGCATGGGCTGGGCTGGGCTGGGCTGCGCAGGCCCAGGGTCTGTGGGAGCACCCAGGAGAAAACCGTGTTCAGGCTGGAGGCAATGCTGGAGAGGACGGCCGGGGTACAGAGCAAGGAGGCGGCCTTGGAAGAGGAGGCGGTGCTGAAGGTGGAAGACATCATGGCTGAGGTGGAGGTGGTGGTTGAGGTGGAGCCCGACGTGGGGTGGCAGAAGGAGGGCCAGCGGGCACAGCCTGGCCCTGGACCGAGCACACCGGGGCCGTCAATGGACTCGCTGGAGGTCCTTCACTTGGAGCTGGGCTCCGTGAATGCCCCAGGCCACAGAGCATCTCCGCCTTGTGAGCCAGAGCCATATCCTTGCGGCTGCCGATTTGGGATGGCGGGCAGCAGGGGATAGTCATCGGGCCTCGGGGGGTATGGGGGCTGTTTGCGGGGAGGAGCCAGGTGGGAGGCACGTGGGGTCAGCCAGGAGGCAGGGGATGGGGGACAGCGTGGGAGCCGAGGCCACGTTCCCGCAGCTGTGAGGGCAGCTCGCTTGTAGCAGCCCTGGGAGCACGTGGTAGGGAAGGGGAGCCAGGGCCAGCACTGACAAGGGAGAATCGCGGCGCCAAGGTCCCTTTGCGCACAGCCCAAATTCGAAGGACGCGTTTCCCTGGGAACGTCCCTGGAGGACGGGGAATCTGTATGCCATTACCAGCCATTGAACCACCCCTGCTCTCGGTGCCTGTTTCCAGCAGGCTCACCCCAGAAACACAAGGTGCTTAAGACGGGTTCGCGGCGCATGGGGCTGCCGACCACCTGACGGCGGGCACCAGCTCCGCAGATGCGCATTCATCCAACTGCAGGCGCTGCACTCAAAGGCGTGTAGGCCCTGAGCCTGTATAACTTCCTCTGGACCCACGCAATTCCCTTGGAGAGCGCCAGGCACGACCCTGCTGTGGCTTCTAACTACAAGGCTTCCCTCAGGTGGACAGGCCCACCCCTCAGGGAGACTAGGATAAGAGGACACCACACACCCGGACATCAGCGGAGCATGTCCAGCACCCAGCACACAAAGGCCTCCTGCATCTCAGAAACTCAGAGAAGCAGCCGCCTCACACCACCCCCGGCCCCTCCCGTCCCTCAGCTGCAACCACCTGCCCACTTTTTCTGCCTCCCGTCTCTGGTCAGCCCAGGCCGTCTTGGCCGGGGTCCACCCACTCCAAAAACCACCACAGTTGTGGCGTTGCCTCCTCGCCAGACAGAGATAGAGGGCCAACAATGAAGGGTGACTGGCCAAATGTCTGGGAGATGGCCCTGTTCCACATTGTCTGTGTTCTTGCGAAATTGCAAGGCGTCACGAGGCTTGCCCACCCAATCCTCTGGAGAGTTCTTGCGCAGAGGTAGATTGTTTGGCACACGAGATGTCGGCGTGGGTCGGAAAGCATGCGGAAGTCCTGCTTTGCTACGTGATGGATTTGCAGGTCAGGCTGGGGAGCCTGGGTCTGTGGGAGGAGTCCAGTGTCTGAGTCAGTTTGAGGTCCCCCTGGGGACCAGGGTTGTCTCAGTGGGAGAGCTGGGAAGGGGAAACTCATGGTTCACTACAGCTAGTAGGCCACCTCAGCCCGGCTAGTTGAGATGGTCCCATTGAATCCATCCTCTTTCTCCTTGATCCGGCAGGTGGAGGAACTCAGCCATCCCGGTTACCGGTGGCAGGATGATTTCCTTTCATCCCAACCTTTATTTCCACAGTGAAATCATCATGAAGGAGCACTGTGTTGGCATCCTCGGTAAGGAATGCCTCCCAGCATGGTAGGGGAGCTGGTGTGTGGGAGGGTGGGACTGGCATGAACCTTCCTGACTCCTCTCCCTGCAGGCTACAGGGTGTCTCATTCCACTGCAGTCCAGCGGTTCTGGGATCACGAAGGTCAAGCCTCCAGCTGCAGGCAGTACACCTCCTACCTGAGCTCATTCAGCTGTTTGGCTGAACATGACTGCCCGGGTTTTGGCAGGATTGCTGAGGTGGGGTTCGCCGTGGGGCATCATGGGAAAGGACCTAGCTGGTCATTCCTTGGTCTCTGGGGAATTGGCTTTGAACTGTCACCTGAACTGTCCTGGACCCACTTCTGCAGTCACCTAGATCATCACCCAGGGCCTATGGCTCAATCCATTGCAGTTCTATCCCATGGAGAGAGGGTCAGCCCTAGAGGCGGAACAGAGAGGAGGCCAGGCGAGCAGCCTAGGGCTGGGAAGGGCTGGGAACTGAGAGGCCTTTTGACCTGGATCTGGGCCCCACATGGAGAACCCAAGGATCCGGGAGGAGACTGCAGTGAGCAATCCCAGGCAATCCGTGGGTTGGGGGAGAGAGGCCCATCAGGGACATGTAACACCCACATTTCAGGATCGGGGCACCTTAAGCCACTATGATGCATATGTGGCTAAAGTCAGTGGGTGACAAGCAGGGCTTAAGGGATAGCTGTCTCATCATTACTCGCCAGCTCCCTGCCCTGCGGTAAGACCTGCTACCACCTGGGGCTCATTTTGAGATCAACCAGGGCCCCCTTTTTCTCCACGAGGATGTCCACCTGAGGCCCACCTAGGTGTATGTCCTTTCACAGTGTTTCTCCCAGGCCAGTCATGTTTTGTTTCCATGACCCCGGCTGCCTTGACATGTGTAATCCTCTCTGCCATCCTCACTCCCGCTGCCCTGCCTTCCCATATAAGTTAGTCCACCTCACACGGAATCTGGAGGACCACACTGGGCTCCAGTGTGAGGCAATGTTTTATTTTCTTCAGGTACATGTATTTTAGGGCTACCTCCAGGGCTGGGAATGTGAAGAGATTGCCAAATGGCTGGGGACCTTCAGTGTGTGTCCAGGGAGGGAACCCGGCTGGGAATTAAGGCCCACCTGAGTAATGGTATGGACATCCAGTGTCAGTTATCTTGATAAAGGCCTGCTTTCTTACATCACCTACTATTAATATAAAAGTTAATTCCTTAGAATATTGAAAAAACAAATCTATGTATGAAGAAATATAATTTGTTCATAATTGTATGGAAAAAGCTGCCGACCGATCCATTTTCCATTACAATTCTTATGGGAGACTTGAAGGGTTTAGCAAGTTTTAAGATGCATTTCTATTCGTCTACTCCTGCCAGTTTTTATGATCATTTTTGTAATACAAGGACATGGCCTCTGGAAAGTTTTTGAGGGACTTTCAGCTTCTTTTAGGGTAGATACTTGTAAATTTTGAATTGTTTTCCCCTGCGGTTCTTTTGAGGTTACTCTTTGTACTTTCTTTGGGGGGTGTTAAATTTGTTTTCTTGTTTTGCCCTTGTGGAACTTTCGTTTTCAAGGAATTGTGTGTGTGTGTGTGTGTGTGTGTGTGTGTGTGTGTGTGTTAGATATGGGAGATAGCCTGTGAGCATGTTTTCGAATATGGATTTTTTTTTTACTTATCAATTTTGGGGGTGTGTGTGTGTGTGTGTGTGTGTGTGTGTTTGTTTCTTTTCAGTTGGAGTCTCACTGTGTCATCCAGGCTGCAGTCAAGTGGCAAACTCTCAGATCACTGCAACCTCTCCCTCCAGCTTCAAAGGATTCCTCTGCCTGCTGATGCTGCTTTTCCCCCACATGAGGAGAACATGCAGACAGTTATAAAAAATTCTGTGCCTGGGTAGGTATGAAAATATAATTTCAATGAATGGTAAATTTCACAAATACAGTTTCACATTTGTATTTTGCAACATTTTGAAAATTTTAGTTGCTGACACATGAAATTCTGTGTTGACTTTCATGTTAAATGTACACTTTTGAATCAATTTCAACAGTGACAACTAGCGAAGGCCAAGCGTTAGTTCAGGAAGCTGAAAGCAGTCGTTCTGTAAAAAAAACGATATTTATTGAAGGTATATTTAGAGAGATTTTAGAAGGCTTCAGTCAATATTTTTGTTTCTGTTGCTCTGGTGTTTTATCATACAGGGACCAGACTGTAGCATCAGTAGCTATAGTTACAAGGCTACCAAAGACTCAGTGCTATAGAAATTATTATTGTGGAAATTGGCAGCCTGGCTGTCTGTTTGAGGAGACTAGAGGACTTAGGAGTTTCCACCCAAAGTACAAGGGCCTGGTTTAGTGGGTGGCCTTCTTTTGCTGAAGTAGATAAGATCCAGGAGAAGGGTGGATTCACTGTAGTAGCCAGGGCTTTGAGACTGGTAAAGCTTATTTGTCTCCTAGTGCCATTGCCAGATATTGGTCTGTGCATAAAGGCACTTCCCGGACTCGCTGACTCCTGTAAATTCAAATGTAGAATTTAGATTTAAATCCCTATTCCAACTTCTTAAACTTAGATCTAATAGGTGGGTAATAAAATATGTATTCAGAAGAAAGGGAGACGTCAGGTAGGTATATAAGCAAATCATCCTGGTCAAATACCTTCAAAAATATTACTACAAAAAATTACTGAAGATTAAACCTTAAAAAAGTTATTTTAATTGGAGAAACAGAAAAAGGTTGGAGTCATTTTAAACCCTGAGGTGTAAAGGTACTGTTATTAGATTACAGGAATTATATACAATGAATAATTTGTGGGAAGAGCAGCATACTATCTCTTTAGTATGGCTAGAGATTCATAAGCCGTGTAAGAAAACTCAGAGATTGAGAAGAAAATGTTTTCAGGGATTTTGTTCTGTTATGAAAGACTTTTAAAATGGTTTCCTACTGATCAAGGATTCACTTATATTTATCACTGAGGCATATGCTATATACCCTTCTATATAGGGATGAAGTTATAGTTTCTATCATGTAGATACAAAAACATGTGACTCTGTACCACATTTGCATTAGAGCCTTTGGCATGATTAATGAAGCAAACGGTGGAACTGTCTACGTCAGGTTACAGGTGGGCACAGCTGGAAGCTTCCGTCCCTTGCACTTTAACATTTCTGCATTCTCATCTGTCTCTCCTGGAAAGAAAACGGACTATAACTATCCTAAAGGACATATGTTACATGAAGACACTAAGTATTGAGATAAGACCATGAGTTGTCTTATCAGTGTCTTGGCATTACATTTATATGTATAACTTATACAAAAAATCCAGTTTATTTTATCACGATTACATATTACATCCCACATTTATGTATTTTATTATCTTTCCAGTGACTGTTTTGTTTTGTTTTGTTTTGTTTTGTTTTGTTTTGAAATCTCGTTCCACTCTGTCACTCAGTCTGGAATGCAGTGGCCTGATCTCAGCTCACTGCAACCTCCATCTCTTGGGTTCAAGGATTTTAAAAATTAGTAAAGAATTTTCAATTGAGTTAGCAGAAGTAAAAATAAACTTAAGTGGAAATAGAACAACAAAATTGTAAACACTATTTCTCAGCAATTCATAGATTATCATACTAGGAATTGAAATGTACTTAGAACTCAATGATACCGCCAATATTAAAGATTAAATCTGTGAGTAGCAAGAAAAGTGATATTACAATAGGAGTTTACAGACAAATATTTCTCTAATAACTTGAAAATTAATGTACTAGATATTTCAATAAAGAATTAGAAAAGAAACAACAGAATCAATTCTGAAAAACTAAAGTGTGGGAATAATGATGTAGACAAAATTAGTAAAACATACAAAGCTAACCTTTGCTTGTTGGAGAAATATAATAAATGATGCAACCGTCAGTCAAGTTTAGAAAAAAAGGGAGAAAACATAGATAAAACTAAGAATTTAAAAGGTACACAACCATAGATACAGCATAGATTAAGAAGCTAATAAGGAAATATCATTAACACCTTAACCTACAAATTTGAAAACTTAGATCAAATAGACAGATATTTATAATCTGTCTATATATATAGACATATATATCGCTTTCTATTTATATTTTCATATTTATACATAATTTTTATATTTGTATCTTACATTTATATATATAATATATAAACATAAGCTATGTATATAGCTTAGTAAAATTGATACAAGAAGACATATATAATCTGTATAGTCTCATAAATGTTCAAGGAAATAAAGGATTCTTCCTAGAGATAAAACGCTAGGCTCAGATTTTTTTCCCCAGGCAGAGCATTTCAATATATATGAAGCATTCTATAGAATAAAAAAGGGAAAATCCTAAACTCATTGTGTGAAGCAAGCAGAACTTTGACGCCAACAAGCCATAAACTGAGTGTAGAAAAAGATATGAAAATTAAGGCCATTCTCATTCTTGAAGCAAATCGTAAAATCCCAAATGTAACAAGATTTATGTGGATTCTTTGAGGGTTAGAAGGAAATTTCCTTCTGCCAGATCCTGCTACTCTGGGACAACCCACACACAAATTTATGTTTTGAGATTTTCTGTAATACCCATGCAATATGGAACTGGCTTGACAATCTGTGTGATAGCCAGCCTGTGGCCATGACTTCTCAGGGACACAAATCTTTTCTGTTTGCCTCCTTGTTCTGCTCAGCTCCAAGAGAACTTTGACCAAAGTTCCTTGAGCTTGGAAATAGGAATGGGTTTGCTTCTGTTTCACCCTTACTGTGAAGATACAGTCCGGTGGAATCCAGATCCACTGGGAGAGAGTCGGCTATTAAACTCTTTTCATGAGTAGTCCCTAGGCCTTGACTGGAGTCTTTCTTGAGATATGAGGCTAATAGTTCCTTCTTGGTCCACCACTTTTTGATATAATTAATGCTTCTTCTATTGGGAATTTTTAATTGTTTGGGAAGTGACATGGTTTGGTGTGTCTCCATTCAAATCTCAGCTTCAATTGTATCTCCCAGAATTCCCTCGTGTTGCGGGTGGGACCCAGGGGGAGGTAATTGAATCATGGGGGTCGGTCTTTCTCATGCTATTCTTGTGACAGTGAAGAAGTCTCACGGGATCTGATGGGTTTTTCAGGGGTTTCTGCCTCAGGTTCTTCCTCATTCTCTCTTGGCATTGCCATGTAAGAAGTGCCTTTATTCGTATACCATGATTCTGAGGCCTCCACAGCCATGTGGAACTGTCAGTCCAATTAAACCTCCTTTTATTCCCAGTTTCAGGTATCTCTTCTTCAGCAGCGTGAAAATGAACTAAGACAGGAGGTTTGGTCCAAATAACCTTGGCTTCCATGATAGAAGATAGAAGTTGCTGAAATGTTTAATCTTTTCTGTGGCAACCTTTTGCAGTGGGTCTTATTTTTCTCATTTTTTTTTCTTGTTCTCTTCACCTTTGTTTCTCACAGGGTACTCTCGCTCTGTAGACCAGGCTGGAGCGCAGTGGCAGGATCTCAGCTCAACACATCCTCCGCCTCCCAGGTTCAGCCTCTGCAGTAGCTGGGATTACAAGCATGCATCACCACGCTCAGCTAATGTTTTGTATTTTTAGTAGAAGCCAGGCTTCACCATGTTGGCCAGGCTGCTCTCCTACTACAGATCTCAGGTGACCCGCCCGACTCAGCTTCCCAAAATCCAAAGTGCTGGGAATACAGGTGTGAGCCACCGAGCCCAGCCAACTCCAGTATTTTTTACCTAAGCCAGTGGATGAGTGGAGTTGCCTTTATTTTTTTTTTCATGGTCTCGCTGTGTCATCCAGGCTGGAGTGCAGTAGTCTGATCTTGGCTTACTATACAATCTCTGCCACCCATGTTCAGGTGGTTCTCCTACCTCAGCCTCCCAAGTAGCTGGGACCACAGGAAAGTGCCACTAGGTCTGGCTAATTTTTGTATTTTTGGTAGAGACAGCTTTTTGCCATGTTGCCCATGCTGGTCTCCAACTCCTGACCTCAAGTGACCCACCAACCTCGGCCTCCCAAAATGTAGAAATTACAACAAGAGCCACGAAGCCTGGCCTGGAGTTGTGGCTTTTTGACATAAGAAATCTGTGGAGGGAAAAGCTTGGTTTGTGGGAGCACCTGAGCTCAGTTTGGCTCAAAGGTTTGGGATACCTATTATTGAGTGGCAGTGATGGTATGTTGTTAATGTACAATATCTTCCTGTATATAGCATACGTCTATGCTCATCAGATATTTTCAGGTAAAAAAAGATAGTCTTTCCAGTAGTTTGAGCCATTATAGCAATTTCCACCAGGGGATTTCAAAGTCCAATTCCAGTTGTGGGCAACAGTGATTAACATAATGGTAATTAATGAGAAGAGATTTTGAGACGTCCAGCCACGTTTCCATGTCAGTGCCTTGTTTGCAGTATTATGAAGAAAGAGTGCATTGGACTAGATACTAAGAAAAACATTGAATTATTTTTCTTGCCTCTATAACATCAAAGGACAATTAGAGATATAGAAACTATGGAACATTTCACAGCATGGCTTGACATTTCACTGAACTTTTATCCTTTTAACCATGTACAAAGTTTGTTACCTATGCAAAGGTAGGACTGCAAAAGGAAGACAGAGGTGGAGTCAGAGGTCACAATCCACAGCAAGGTGACACTCTTGTTGATCGCACCTTGAAAGCCAAATTAGAGCGAGAATTAACTTTCCGGTTGCCGTAAGAGAACAAGGAGAATGAAGCTACCAGCAGTTAACAGTATTGGATTAATTGAAATGAAGGTGGACAGAGTTTTTTGGCTTTCCATCAAATTGAGTAAAGAAAAGGTAACCGCTTATCTAATTTCACACACATACAATTATGGATTAATTAAAAGATTACACAACCCATATATTATGGGTTTCTCATTTAAGTGTATATATACATGGGCAAACTCACAGTGTGCCAGTATGTGTCTATATCCAAATATATACAAATCCATGTCCAACAGTTAGCAAGTGAGAAATTCTCTTCCATTTCACCATTCCCTTTCCTAGAATTTTTTCATAAATATAATTTTTCCATATATTTGAAGCCTACTCTCTGGAGGCATGTAATGCATGCATGCAGTAAACCTGTGCGATATCACAATGTTGGTGTCAGAGAAAACTATAACACCGATGTTATAAAAGATTAATTGTGAGGAGAAAGTTATGCTTCGCATTACTACAAATACACAAGTATGATTTCATCCAAAGCTGAAATCAGTCAATATAATTTGTTTTTAATGTTTTATTTAAAATCCTTAATTTCAACAGGATTACTCAAGAAAAATAACGTTATTGGTATTAAATAATGTTGACGTATTCCCTTTAATTGTTGATTATTTAAAATGTCAGTAAAATAGTAAATGGCACTGTACAATGTAGTTTCATGAAGCATTCTTTATAGTTTTCATAAAATTGATAGTCTCCATGGAATATTTTAAGACTGAGGAAGTTCCATATATCATTTGATTGTACTTTCACTTTATTACTTGCTTGCATGTCATAACTGATGGAAATAAAACTATGTATATTTACAAATATGAAAAACATGGACTTTTGTTTACGTTTTCTAGTGAGACACAGTTACCAATAATTTTATCTATATAGGAAAATTTTTACAAACCCAAAGTTCTAATGTTTCTTTTCTTTGAAGTTTCGTATTTCAGTCTAGGTATGTAATGGAATTGGCTGTGATCATTCTTTGATTTCACTGTTATTTGTGAGTTTCTGATATGCTTTTAGGAATGTATAGAGCTTAACGCTTGCTTTCTTCTTCTTCCTCTACCTTTGGACCTGTATATGCGATGTCTGCAGTAATGTGCAGTGCTATCTGACATACGGTTGCTGAAAGATACAAGCATATATAGAATTCTTCGTTTCAGTGAATCTTTAGGAACAGACAAGTAACCTGAGAGATAATTACGGTATGAATGTAAGCAAGCAGTTTATCATAGAGGTACAATAAGGGTGAAAATAAATTTAAAAATACATGCCTCATCCAAAACATGAGGTAGTAAAAATGAAAAATTTAAGTTGGCATAAAGAACACTTTAAAAGTTCTGATTCTTTCTGGTGAGAGCAAGGAGCTCAGAAACCATGAGAAAGTCCTTCAAAGCTGCATGTTGGATTTGCAGGTCAGGATGGAAAGCCTGGGTCTGGGGGAGGGTGCTAAGGTCCTGGTCAGGTTGAGGTCCTTCTGGGGCTCAGGTGTGTCTCAGCGGGAAAGCTGGGAAGGGGAAACGCATGCTTCACCCCGGCTAGAATGCCACCTCAGCCCACCTAGATGAAATTGCCCCTTCACAGCCCTGTTTCTCCTTCTTGGACAGGCAGGTGGAGGAACTCGGCCACCCTGAATACAAGGGGTAGGAAGAAGTTTGCCTTTCATCACAACATTTACTTCGGAAACAAAGTGACGACTAAGGAGTATTGCGTTGGCATCCTCCCTGAGGAGTAGAGGGGGTAGTACCTCGGGAGCTGGGCCTGGCGTGCGCCTTCCTGACTCGTCTCCCTCCAGGATACAGGGCGACTGGCTCCACTGCAGTCCAGTGGTTCTAGGGTCATGCAGGTGAAAGCCCGAGTTTCCCGCAGGTCACTGCCTGAGCTTCTTCAGCTGGTTGTCTGACTGTGAGGGCCCAGGTTACGGCACGATTGCTGAGGTGGGGCAGCTATGGGGCATCATGGCAAAGGACCTTCTTCGACATTCCTTGGCATCGGAGGAATTGGCTTTGAACCAGAACCTGACCTGTCACGACCAATTTGCCCAGTCCACCAGATCATCAGCCAGGGCCTGTGGCTCTATATTCTGCAGCACTACCCAAGGGAGTTAGGCCCTCAGAGAGGGAACAGAGAAGAGGCCAGGGAAGCAGCCCAGGGCTGGGGGTTGACAGGCCTGTGGGTCCTGGAGTTAGGACACACATAGAGAAGCCAAGGCTCAGGGAGGAGACTGCAGTAAGGAAACTCAGGCCATCATGGGCTGGTGGAGAAATGCCCATCAGGGAACTGTGGTACCCACATTTCACGATGGGGGAACCGTAATCTGCTTAATAGGCACAAGTAGCTAAGGTCAATGGGTGGGAAGCCAGGGTCAAGAGATAGCTCCCTCATCATCCCTTGCTAGCTACTTCCCTGTCCTGAGGCTTGCTTCTACCTGGGGTTCAGTTTGGGCTCAACCAGGGATCTCTCACCCTCCACACAGATGCCCACCTGAGGCCTCTCTAGGTCTGCGTCCTCCCAGAATGACTCTCCCAGGCCTGCTAAGTACCGTTTGGATGACACCACGCTCCACTGACATGCTTGGTTCCCTCCGCCATCCTCATTCACCCAGCAACTCCCCACCCCAAAAAAGGCAGGCCACCGCACAGGGAATCTGGAGGACCACACAGGGCTCACAGGGGAGGAAATGTGAAGAGATGGCAAAACAGAACAGGACATTCCGTGTGTTTCCAGAAGGCAATCTGGCTGGATATTAAGGCCCACCTCAGTATTGGTGAGGACACCCAGTGTCTCTTGGCCCTGAGCTTGTGCACACAAACACGCACATTGTCTAAACGGCATTGACATCACTACTACCTGAGTCATCCTCAGATTCTATACAACCCCTGTAAAAATATCAATGACACATTCTTCTTAGAAAAACAATCTGGGAATCCCAAATTTGCTATGAAATGGCAGAAGATCCTGAAAACCCAGAGCAATCCAGTAAAAAGCACAAAGCTGGAGCCACCACACTACCTAACTTCATGATATACTACTACAAAACTTTTTGTACCAAAATACAATAGCACTGGCAGAAAAGCAGAGACTAGAGCTTAGGAAAAACAACAGGAGCCCAGAACTAAGTCACTGCATTTGCAGCTCACAGCCTTTTCCCAAAGAAGCAAGAACGCCCAATGCAAAATCAAGTATCTTCTATAAACTAGGTTGGGGAAATCTGAATAGCCACACAAAGGATTTTACAAGTGGATTATTTATCACCAAACTCCAGTGTCAGATGTGAAACGATAAAAATAGCAGAAGAGATCACAAGGAAGAAGCTCCATGGCGTCCGTGTGTGCAATGATGGTCTCAAAGTGACTGCAAGAACACAGTAAACACCATCAAAAATAGAGAATGGAATCATATCAAACTAAAGTGCTTCACCACACCATAGAAAACTCAACATACAGAAGGGGCATCCTACAGGATGGGAGCAATGATTGGATCACCATACATCTGTTCATGGGGGAATAGTCACAGTACATAAGGAACTCCCAACAACTCAATAGCATGAAAACAAATGGGCGAAGGCTGCGAAGACTCATTTGTGAAACTGAGACATACAGTTGCCCAGAAGACACACTAAAAATTCCTCATTATCCCCAATCCATCACGAAAATGCAAATCAAAAACACAATGAGATTTCTTCTCACTTCAGTCAGAATGCATATTATCCGAAAGACAAACAAACAAAAAAAAAAAAAGAAAGAAAAGAAAACCCTAATCTCTGGTGAGGAGGCAGAGAAAACGAATTCCCTGCTCACTTTTGGGGAGAATGTAAATTAGTGCTGGCATTAAAGAAGCTTTATGGCTCTTATTTAAGTATAAACAGCCTTCAGAAATCTACAAGTAGAACCACCCACTATATGATCCAGCAAATCAGAATACCCGGGCACGCCCGCCAGTACACAGATCAGTATGTTGAACCGGTGCGCGCACCCATGCAATTATTGCTGCACTCATTACATTTTTGCTGTAGCCAAAATGCGGAAGCAACCTGAGAGTCCCTCCATTGATAAGTGGATTAAAAAATGGGGCAAAAACGCATATGCGCAACGGAAATATGCGCTGCAATAAGAAATCAGGAAATCCTGCCAGTTGTGAGAATGTGTGGGAATCTGCTGAATGTGTGCATGCCATTCTGTTAAGTGACATAAGCCAGGTATCAGAAAGGAAAGTAGCACATGATCTCATTCTTATATGAAATCAAAAAAGCGGACTTCACAGAAGTAGTGACTCCAATGACTGCGGTGAAGAGGGTGCACTGACGAGATGCTGGATGAAGAACTCATACTTCTAGTTATAAAGGAGGAATAGGTTAAAAATATTTTCTTCAGCATGCTCACTATAACTAGTGGTAACATATTCTTTCTCTAAAAATATTCGAATACAGTGCAGGTCAAGTTTTTTCACAACAAAAATGACAACTATGTGAGGTCACACATATGTTGATTGGCTGGATGTATCCAATGCATAATGTATATGACCTGTTGAACATCACGCCTTAAGTTGTAAATATGTATCATTTCATATGACATTTTTTAAACAAACATACAATTTTTAAAATGCCTTAACAAAATAAATGCAAATAAAATATTTTATTATAAAGCAGTGCTTTTCTTTTCTAGCAAAGTCTTTTTCATGACACAGGAAAGAATGCAAGCCGTTTCGTAACTTGAGAAATAAATACATATGTGTACATGTATATATATACGTATATACATGTATATACGTATATAAATGTGCATATATACGTATATACATGTATATACGTATATATGTGTGTACATAGGTATTCTTATATAGGTATATATATATATGAAAATCCCAATGAATGCTGATGATGAGTTGAAAGATAGAAATTCCAGGCACAGAGGCTATAGTCCATGAATTGAAACCTTCAGTGCATGTTTCAAAACAAGACGTGAGGAGGAGGAAGAAAAAAGCAAAAAACACAAAGCCATGGCAGGGCCATGGGTCACACCTGTCATCCCAGCACTTTGATAAGCTGAGGTGGGAGGATTGCCTGCACTCAGGAGTTCCAGATGAGCCTGGGGCAACATGGACCCACATTCAAAAAGTAAGTATTTAGTTAATTAATACATAGCTTGGAGGGGTGGCATGCACCTGTACTGCCAGGTGTGTGAGAGTCTGAGTTGACAGGATCACATGGGTGTGTGGTGCCTGGGCTGCAGTGGGCTGAGATCGTGGGGCTGCTGTCCAACCTAGAAGACAGAGTAAGACCCATTCTCGGAAAACAAACAAAAAAACAGTCACATTAGGTAAATTAAAACTATGTAGTGTGAGGAGAATCAAAATAAACGAAACATCATTAGAGCCTACGCGATGTGATGAAGGAAACCAGCTTTCACATAATAACAGCCCCGGCTGGGGAGAACAATGAGAAAGGGCAGAGAGAACCCTGTAAATAATACCACGCCAAATTCCCCAAATGAGTTAAAACACATAAAAGTACGAAGAGTGCTTCTTTTCAATTCAATGCCCTTGAATTCAGAATTAGAAAGTAAACCCAGATAGAGAATAGAAACATAGACGATACAGATGGAGAGAGTGTGGTGGGGAAGCAAGGGAAGGATGAAAGGAGGGGTGTAAAGGAAGGAAAAGAAAAAAGGAAGGGAGAGAGAGTGACAGATGTTCAAAGACACAGATACAAAGTCTACAATGGTTGTAGAGATAGGCATGTGCAAATTGTCGCAGGGAGTGTGGAAAAATATCGGAACCACGGAGACATAGGTGGAGTCAGAGAAAATATACAAACCCGCACAGAGAAATAAACATACGCAACCACAAACACACACGTGCTACTGTAAACACGAAAAGACACCAAGTCCCTGTCGGTACAAATCACAGATGTGCTTCCGAGTTACTGAGGCACGGTGCAAATTTGTCAGTGCCCTTAGCATCTGTGGCCCACGTGCACGGATATTCAGTGGAAGAAGCATTACACAGCCTGTATAATTCAGCACGATCTGTGATAATACCAGAAGAAGGGATCTCATGTGAAATCACTAGACTGAATTGCACGTAGGATTCAAGCAAGAAGCCCAGTCTGCTGCATCGACTCCGTGGGGTGGCAATATGGCTGAGCCACCAACCCATGGCACGCCCATCCATCGTAGACAGTTCCTGGTTTGCTACCTGCCTTGGAAAAACCTCCTCCCCTACCACCACTTTAAAAAAGGCTAGCTCCAAAACTAGCCCTGGCATCTATTTACGGTCATTTTCTTATCTATTTACCTCCTAGAAAAATCATTGCAAGACCCTTTCCTCAACATTTTCCTATGCCTTAAATTTGGGGCAACACGTTTTAAGACGACCTCGTTATAGGCAAGTCCCCAGACGTTTCCTAATCTGAGTTGCCCAGAGTGCACACACCAATCTGTTGCCCCATTGCCGCTATAGGGATACCGTACTGGACCACAGTGTCTTTGACATGCACACAGTAGGATAGAGGGCAGCTTGAGGGGGCCAAAGTGTTCCGACTGTTTTCAGAATAATTTGCTTAGAACACCTGTTTCTCCTGTGTTTGTGGGTCAGGGGGACGGTAGTCAGAGGAGGACAAGACTCCCGCTCCAGAGCTTCAGAGGTCTGCATAGGAGCAGGGACAAAACCGGGCGATAGATTTTCAAAGCTCAACTGCTTTGACACCGAGCAGGAGGGGTAGAATGCATATTGCAGGCACCACAACAGATTCAGGAACTTTGACTGTCAAACCCTCTTCCCTGAAACAACATAGCTCTTCTCACAGAAGCTGTGCTGACCGGAGTCTATACGGGACAGCAATGTTAGCACTCTAGTAGCGTGTGGTCAACATGGATGCTCGTGTTGGAACTGTTTCATCTGGGAACAGGAAAGAAAGTTCTGCCTCCGACACTGAAATCCTCCTGCCCCATCCTTGACAGAGGCAACCCCTTGTCTTGTGCAGACACACGTGTTCCTGGGAAGCAGCCTCCCACTCGCGAATGAAAGCTGTATGTTTTGTCCTCCTGTGTGAGGCTTGCAAAACATATTGCGCAACTATATTCGCTTTACGTTCTAAACCTTAGGCAAACTATGCTGAAGAGGCCACAGAAAATTTAGGGGCCCTGGGTCCAGATACAATCTGCAGTGCCAATCACGAGGGAGAATAGAGCCTCACTAGACTTTGCAAGAGCACAAAATGCACTCGTACTGTTGTTAGCTACATACGTTATTGGCTCCTCACCTAACACAGAATCTTGGAGAAAAGCTTAAAACAACTAAAGATGTAAACATCAACAAGAGTGTCCATATCCTGGGTCATCAAGTGACAAGAGAGTCCATGGATGGATTCTCCAACAATCTTATATTCCACTAATCCACCCCCTTTCCCCTCACTTCTGTAAGTTTCTGTTTTCCCTTAGTCATCTCTGCCAAAAGCGTATCCTGAATGCCTTCCCACATGCCTCTGTCACCTTTCCCACAGTCCCTCCATACACCTTACATGCCCATTTCTTCTCACGTTGATGTTTCAGAAGTCCTGAGAGGCTGATTGTCCCAGAAAAGGATCATGCATTCACCTTTAAAAGAACATGTGGATTCAACACGAAAGCGAACTTTAAGATTTCCATCATCCTGTGCTTAGCTACTGTGTATGATGATACCCAAAATGAAGGATTTTGGAGGTCCCAGCAAACTGGGCCCTGGAAACCCAGTAACCCCTTTCCTTGAACTATCTCTGCTTCCATAGGACGAAGTCAGCCTCCAACTAAGCTGTCTTTTGCTTTTACCTCTCCCACTCTGTCCTGTAGGAAGAATCCCAACACATCCCACACCCATTCACTCTACAACTTTAGAGGCCCAGCTCCAACGCAGACTGGTTATTTCCATGAAGAGAATAAAGCACGTGGATTGATCAATTCATTATGACACCCGAATAAAGTGGATAAACATACACACACAGACACACACACACACAAACACAAAGACACACACACACACACAGACACAGAGTCACACATCCTTGAGAATGTTTATTTTTCATTCCATACAATCCACATTTACCCCCTCTTCCTGAATTTTTGTGACTCGATCTCTTTTTCCTTTAGTTCCTGTGCATAAGACCATGCTGAGTACTGCCGTCCTGCATATGGCTGTAACTTTTTAGGAGTTCTGCTGTATTAGGTAAAATCTGATGCTCCATCATATTCAACTCAACAACTGGGAGTCCCCTAGAGAAACACAAACTCATGTTAAAACGCATTTTCTCTGAGCCATACTTTGAAATGTTTCAATTGTGGGGCCCGCTGAGAAAAGGATATCCCTTCCCCATTTGTGATCCCTTAAACTTCCTCCTACCACGTGTTACAAACTGTTCTGCGCAATCCCTGCCCCATTCCCAGTATTGTCTGTGAGGGGAGTCAGCTAACAAGATGCACTGGGCCCTAAAAGCACACACAAGTCTGATGGGGCAACAGCTTAAGGAAATCCATCAATCTAAACAGTCCTTTGTGGTTTGGGGCAAGGATGACCAGGACGCACATTCAGGGAGCCCAATCTCATGGGGTTGGTGGGATGACTGCCGGTGGGGTTGACAGCCGTGGAATCAAGTGCCACAGACTGAACTGAATGATTTTCAGCTTTACTTCTCATTGATTCTGGAAATGGACGATTCTTCACTGGGCTTAAGACTCCACAGCTATCACCCGCTTTGCAGTGCAGTCTCTAACGTGCCTTTTCAGCCCAATGCCATGAACGTCCTGGATTCTGTCACTCTCTGTCTTCCTCTCAAGGAATTTCTACATGTACGAAAGGAGCCTCAATTTCTACATTTCTGAAATGAGCACCCAGGCTCCCTGAATAGGCAGGTGTGTCAACCCCCTTATACTGGGCATCAAACAGCTCCAGTGCCAACTAACGGCTCACCTGACGTCTCTGTTCCCTCTTCAGGTGGCTTCATCCTCTTGTAGTATTGCAGGGGATTGCGCCACAGGTCCTTACATAGGATCTGTCAGGGGACTCAATCGGGAAAGGCCTCATCAGGGCTCAGAAAGGTGACCCAAGCAGCTGGGAACACACGGGGTCATTCCTCATGTTTCCCAGTGAGGACTCACCTCAGCAATCTTGTTAGATCCTGCGAAGTTGTGGTCAGAGAACCAGTTGAAGAAGTTAAGGCTGCTGTTGTGGTGTCTGCGGCGATAGGCCTCCACTTCATAATCCGGATACCACTCAATTGGAGTGGAATGAGAAGCCCTGTATTCTACAGAGACAGGAGTTTTTGTGGGAAGGGGGCTGGATCCCGTTGGCAATGATCCACCCACCATCTTCCTTCCACTACCCATCCTGGGAGCCACCTGTCACCTGTGATGTTCACCAGATATTCCTTGGTAATCACTTTATTCTGGAAGTAGGGGTTACTCCGAAAGAACAACATGATCTTGCAGAGATGAACAGGATGCTTCTCTTCTCCCACCTGTCAGGACAAGGTGGAGAAAGCTTAGATAGGTTTTCGGGTGAGGTGCTCACTCTTGCTTACAGGAATGAATTATTTCCCTTACCCTCCCCCGCTAAACCCTCTAGCCCCAGTCTTCCTGGCCTCACCTCCAGGCTGACCATGTAGCTCAGCATGTCTTCATCTTCGTCAGTGATCAGGGCTGACATCTGGGGGTGGTTTGCAATCTGATTTAGGTCAAAGAGACTTTACACACGATGGAAGGGAAAGCGAGGAGCAACAGGGAAGAAGGCCTAAGAGCACCCAGAGGCTGGGGTAGGGGATTTCTCAGATCTGCTTCCATGTATGATCTCCTTTCGCCTCCCCGTCCCCGTAAACTAAGGCCTCCTGTGTTCACAGAGGGTGTATGATTCTGAGGCTGACTGCACTGACATGGGGAGGCGCGATTTGCAGAGACTTGCTGGTGTCTGAGGAGTGGCAGAATCTGCTTATAGCCGAAGACGCCCAGTCCCAGATCGGACTAGCAAGGGGCAGCAATCACACTCCCTTAAAAATAGCTTCATTCACTGAAAAACCTCTTCCGCTCTGAACTCGCTTCTGCTCTTCAAAAAGATGCCCCAAACGTCTGCTGCTCGGCATCACCAAGGGTTTCTCTGCCGCATGCAGGACAATAGTACCCACGCCTGCTCCGGCTTTCCACAGCCACACTGGTCCGTGGCAACTCCCCTTTGTTCCCCAAAGAGTCACATCGACGCCGAGCTGCCCATCGGTCACTTACACTTCCCCGAGAGCACCTCTCCACTAGAAAGGCCGAAGAAACACTGAGAAGGATACAACATTGGCCCAGAAGCCAGGGACGCTCTGGATGACGGCGCCTCTGCGGTCTAGCTGGGGCTTGCGCCTCCGCTCCATCTTTTCCCGCTGCCGAGAAAAGGCCTTCCTGGCTTGGGCATTAACCGGCTCCAGCTCCACCTGAACGGCCAGCAGCTCCTCCAGTGCAGACTCTGGGGTCATGGGCCCAGGGCCAGGCACAGCCTGCTGTGCCCGCTGGGCCTCCTCCCGCCGCTCCACGAGGCCCTCCTCCTCCGCCACCACCTCCACCTCCGCCACCACCTCCACCTCCGCCATTATGTCATCCAACAGCAGCACCGCCTCCTCCCCCAAAGCCGCCTGCTCACTCTCCACCCCGGCCGCCCCCTCCTGTACAGCCTCCATCCTGAAGGCGGTGCCCTCCTTGGCACTCGCACACACCAAGGCCTGTGCTGCCCGACCCACGCCACAGAAACCCTGCCGCAGCCTCTCTGGCACCCGGTAGGTCAGCGAGCCCTCAGGGCGCATGCGCCGGGCTTCCAGGCGCCCCCTAAGGGACTGCGCGCGAAGGGCCGGGGGGCCGCACCCAGGCCGACTTCCTCCCGTCGTGGCCAGTCAATGGGAGGGCGGTGGGCGTCTCCCTGGGCGGCACAGCCACTGGCGGGCCTGCATCTCCAGCCCCCCCACCCCCCGCCTTCCCTGCCCAAGCCTCCTCCGAGAAGCCCTTGGAGCTTGTGCCGGGTAGCTAGGCATCCGGGCACACGCGGGCTGCGTGGCCTTTGGAATTGTGGGCATGGCAGCCCTGTGCCCTGACATCCTCAGTGTGGCAAGCCATGAACATCTCTATGTGTCATGAACACAGGAAACATCTCTCTTCGTTAGGCAGGCCAGGTAGATGGTACGGAGGTAATACAGCAGATGCAGAGAACTCTCTCTGGTTGCTGGGGCAAGGGCGGCAGGGGTGTCCTGGGGGAAGTGATCGGGGCGGGCACGTGGGAGGAAAGTCGCCTGCCGGTGCTGAGGTGGAATTGATCTGCTGTAGAGGCCAGAGCCCCGGCACACACTCTCACAGGTCGAGGCAAATAGAGGCTCCGAGTACCATGCTTCCTCCCTGAGGATGCTGTACTCCAAGGAGCATTCCAAAGGGCCTCTTGTCCTATGCCCTGGGCACACCAGAGGCCAGCCGCCAGGGTTGGCCATTGTCGGCCTGCGCGCACGCTGTTGTGCGCTGCCTTGACGACCCAGAGGCTCCCGCACCCGCAGCAGCGGTTGCGGTGCCTGTTGGTGGGGCTCTGCAAGCCCAGGGCCGGGGCCTCTGGCTCCCGAGCTCCTGTGCGCAGTTGAGCCTGCTGGGGACCGGAGCCCTTTGGCCAGTGCGGGATCTGCGGGTCCAGCGGAGCTCCTCAGGAAACCTGGGTCCACGTAGGTGTGGGACCAGGTTCTCAGCAGGGCGACGCCCGTGGGTCTTGCAGGGAGCGGGTCTGCTGGGGAGCGGGCCCCCAGAGCCTACGGGTGCGGGGCATGGGCTGGGCTGGGCTGGGCTGCGCAGGCCCAGGGTCTGTGGGAGCACCCAGGAGAAAACCGTGTTCAGGCTGGAGGCAATGCTGGAGAGGACGGCCGGGGTACAGAGCAAGGAGGCGGCCTTGGAAGAGGAGGCGGTGCTGAAGGTGGAAGACATCATGGCTGAGGTGGAGGTGGTGGTTGAGGTGGAGCCCGACGTGGGGTGGCAGAAGGAGGGCCAGCGGGCACAGCCTGGCCCTGGACCGAGCTCACCGGGGCCGTCAATGGACTCGCTGGAGGTCCTTCACTTGGAGCTGGGCTCCGTGAATGCCCCAGGCCACAGAGCATCTCCGCCTTGTGAGCCAGAGCCATATCCTTGCGGCTGCCGATTTGGGATGGCGGGCAGCAGGGGATAGTCATCGGGCCTCGGGGGGTATGGGGGCTGTTTGCGGGGAGGAGCCAGGTGGGAGGCACGTGGGGTCAGCCAGGAGGCAGGGGATGGGGGACAGCGTGGGAGCCGAGGCCACGTTCCCGCAGCTGTGAGGGCAGCTCGCTTGTAGCAGCCCTGGGAGCACGTGGTAGGGAAGGGGAGCCAGGGCCAGCACTGACAAGGGAGAATCGCGGCGCCAAGGTCCCTTTGCGCACAGCCCAAATTCGAAGGACGCGTTTCCCTGGGAACGTCCCTGGAGGACGGGGAATCTGTATGCCATTACCAGCCATTGAACCACCCCTGCTCTCGGTGCCTGTTTCCAGCAGGCTCACCCCAGAAACGCAAGGTGCTTAAGACGGGTTCGCGGCGCATGGGGCTGCCGACCACCTGACGGCGGGCACCAGCTCCGCAGATGCGCATTCATCCAACTGCAGGCGCTGCACTCAAAGGCGTGTAGGCCCTGAGCCTGTATAACTTCCTCTGGACCCACGCAATTCCCTTGGAGAGCGCCAGGCACGACCCTGCTGTGGCTTCTAACTACAAGGCTTCCCTCAGGTGGACAGGCCCACCCCTCAGGGAGACTAGGATAAGAGGACACCACACACCCGGACATCAGCGGAGCATGTCCAGCACCCAGCACACAAAGGCCTCCTGCATCTCAGAAACTCAGAGAAGCAGCCGCCTCACACCACCCCCGGTCCCTCCCGTCCCTCAGCTGCAACCACCTGCCCACTTTTTCTGCCTCCCGTCTCTGGTCAGCCCAGGCCGTCTTGGCCGGGGTCCACCCACTCCAAAAACCACCACAGTTGTGGCGTTGCCTCCTCGCCAGACAGAGATAGAGGGCCAACAATGAAGGGTGACTGGCCAAATGTCTGGGAGATGGCCCTGTTCCACATTGTCTGTGTTCTTGCGAAATTGCAAGGCGTCACGAGGCTTGCCCACCCAATCCTCTGGAGAGTTCTTGCGCAGAGGTAGATTGTTTGGCACACGAGATGTCGGCGTGGGTCGGAAAGCATGCGGAAGTCCTGCTTTGCTACGTGATGGATTTGCAGGTCAGGCTGGGGAGCCTGGGTCTGTGGGAGGAGTCCAGTGTCTGAGTCAGTTTGAGGTCCCCCTGGGGACCAGGGTTGTCTCAGTGGGAGAGCTGGGAAGGGGAAACTCATGGTTCACTACAGCTAGTAGGCCACCTCAGCCCGGCTAGTTGAGATGGTCCCATTGAATCCATCCTCTTTCTCCTTGATCCGGCAGGTGGAGGAACTCAGCCATCCCGGTTACCGGTGGCAGGATGATTTCCTTTCATCCCAACCTTTATTTCCACAGTGAAATCATCATGAAGGAGCACTGTGTTGGCATCCTCGGTAAGGAATGCCTCCCAGCATGGTAGGGGAGCTGGTGTGTGGGAGGGTGGGACTGGCATGAACCTTCCTGACTCCTCTCCCTGCAGGCTACAGGGTGTCTCATTCCACTGCAGTCCAGCGGTTCTGGGATCACGAAGGTCAAGCCTCCAGCTGCAGGCAGTACACCTCCTACCTGAGCTCATTCAGCTGTTTGGCTGAACATGACTGCCCGGGTTTTGGCAGGATTGCTGAGGTGGGGTTCGCCGTGGGGCATCATGGGAAAGGACCTAGCTGGTCATTCCTTGGTCTCTGGGGAATTGGCTTTGAACTGTCACCTGAACTGTCCTGGACCCACTTCTGCAGTCACCTAGATCATCAGCCAGGGCCTATGGCTCAATCCATTGCAGTTCTATCCCATGGAGAGAGGGTCAGCCCTAGAGGCGGAACAGAGAGGAGGCCAGGCGAGCAGCCTAGGGCTGGGAAGGGCTGGGAACTGAGAGGCCTTTTGACCTGGATCTGGGCCCCACATGGAGAACCCAAGGATCCGGGAGGAGACTGCAGTGAGCAATCCCAGGCAATCCGTGGGTTGGGGGAGAGAGGCCCATCAGGGACATGTAACACCCACATTTCAGGATCGGGGCACCTTAAGCCACTATGATGCATATGTGGCTAAAGTCAGTGGGTGACAAGCAGGGCTTAAGGGATAGCTGTCTCATCATTACTCGCCAGCTCCCTGCCCTGCGGTAAGACCTGCTACCACCTGGGGCTCATTTTGAGATCAACCAGGGCCCCCTTTTTCTCCACGAGGATGTCCACCTGAGGCCCACCTAGGTCTGTGTCCTTTCACAGTGTTTCTCCCAGGCCAGTCATGTTTTGTTTCCATGACCCCGGCTGCCTTGACATGTGTAATCCTCTCTGCCATCCTCACTCCCGCTGCCCTGCCTTCCCATATAAGTTAGTCCACCTCACACGGAATCTGGAGGACCACACTGGGCTCCAGTGTGAGGCAATGTTTTATTTTCTTCAGGTACATGTATTTTAGGGCTACCTCCAGGGCTGGGAATGTGAAGAGATTGCCAAATGGCTGGGGACCTTCAGTGTGTGTCCAGGGAGGGAACCCGGCTGGGAATTAAGGCCCACCTGAGTAATGGTATGGACATCCAGTGTCAGTTATCTTGATAAAGGCCTGCTTTCTTACATCACCTACTATTAATATAAAAGTTAATTCCTTAGAATATTGAAAAAACAAATCTATGTATGAAGAAATATAATTTGTTCATAATTGTATGGAAAAAGCTGCCGACCGATCCATTTTCCATTACAATTCTTATGGGAGACTTGAAGGGTTTAGCAAGTTTTAAGATGCATTTCTATTCGTCTACTCCTGCCAGTTTTTATGATCATTTTTGTAATACAAGGACATGGCCTCTGGAAAGTTTTTGAGGGACTTTCAGCTTCTTTTAGGGTAGATACTTGTAAATTTTGAATTGTTTTCCCCTGCGGTTCTTTTGAGGTTACTCTTTGTACTTTCTTTGGGGGGTGTTAAATTTGTTTTCTTCTTTTGCCCTTGTGGAACTTTCGTTTTCAAGGAATTGTGTGTGTGTGTGTGTGTGTGTGTGTGTGTGTCTGTGTGTTAGATATGGGAGATAGCCTGTGAGCATGTTTTCGAATATGGATTTTTTTTTTACTTATCAATTTTGGGGGTGTGTGTGTGTGTGTGTGTGTGTGTGTGTGTGTGTGTGTGTTTGTTTCTTTTCAGTTGGAGTCTCACTGTGTCATCCAGGCTGCAGTCAAGTGGCAAACTCTCAGATCACTGCAACCTCTCCCTCCAGCTTCAAAGGATTCCTCTGCCTGCTGATGCTGCTTTTCCCCCACATGAGGAGAACATGCAGACAGTTATAAAAAATTCTGTGCCTGGGTAGGTATGAAAATATAATTTCAATGAATGGTAAATTTCACAAATACAGTTTCACATTTGTATTTTGCAACATTTTGAAAATTTTAGTTGCTGACACATGAAATTCTGTGTTGACTTTCATGTTAAATGTACACTTTTGAATCAATTTCAACAGTGACAACTAGCGAAGGCCAAGCGTTAGTTCAGGAAGCTGAAAGCAGTCGTTCTGTAAAAAAAACCATATTTATTGAAGGTATATTTAGAGAGATTTTAGAAGGCTTCAGTCAATATTTTTGTTTCTGTTGCTCTGGTGTTTTATCATACAGGGACCAGACTGTAGCATCAGTAGCTATAGTTACAAGGCTACCAAAGACTCAGTGCTATAGAAATTATTATTGTGGAAATTGGCAGCCTGGCTGTCTGTTTGAGGAGACTAGAGGACTTAGGAGTTTCCACCCAAAGTACAAGGGCCTGGTTTAGTGGGTGGCCTTCTTTTGCTGAAGTAGATAAGATCCAGGAGAAGGGTGGATTCACTGTAGTAGCCAGGGCTTTGAGACTGGTAAAGCTTATTTGTCTCCTAGTGCCATTGCCAGATATTGGTCTGTGCATAAAGGCACTTCCCGGACTCGCTGACTCCTGTAAATTCAAATGTAGAATTTAGATTTAAATCCCTATTCCAACTTCTTAAACTTAGATCTAATAGGTGGGTAATAAAATATGTATTCAGAAGAAAGGGAGACGTCAGGTAGGTATATAAGCAAATCATCCTGGTCAAATACCTTCAAAAATATTACTACAAAAAATTACTGAAGATTAAACCTTAAAAAAGTTATTTTAATTGGAGAAACAGAAAAAGGTTGGAGTCATTTTAAACCCTGAGGTGTAAAGGTACTGTTATTAGATTACAGGAATTATATACAATGAATAATTTGTGGGAAGAGCAGCATACTATCTCTTTAGTATGGCTAGAGATTCATAAGCCGTGTAAGAAAACTCAGAGATTGAGAAGAAAATGTTTTCAGGGATTTTGTTCTGTTATGAAAGACTTTTAAAATGGTTTCCTACTGATCAATGATTCACTTATATTTATCACTGAGGCATATGCTATATACCCTTCTATATAGGGATGAAGTTATAGTTTCTATCATGTAGATACAAAAACATGTGACTCTGTACCACATTTGCATTAGAGCCTTTGGCATGATTAATGAAGCAAACGGTGGAACTGTCTACGTCAGGTTACAGGTGGGCACAGCTGGAAGCTTCCGTCCCTTGCACTTTAACATTTCTGCATTCTCATCTGTCTCTCCTGGAAAGAAAACGGACTATAACTATCCTAAAGGACATATGTTACATGAAGACACTAAGTATTGAGATAAGACCATGAGTTGTCTTATCAGTGTCTTGGCATTACATTTATATGTATAACTTATACAAAAAATCCAGTTTATTTTATCACGATTACATATTACATCCCACATTTATGTATTTTATTATCTTTCCAGTGACTGTTTTGTTTTGTTTTGTTTTGTTTTGTTTTGAAATCTCGTTCCACTCTGTCACTCAGTCTGGAATGCAGTGGCCTGATCTCAGCTCACTGCAACCTCCATCTCTTGGGTTCAAGGATTTTAAAAATTAGTAAAGAATTTTCAATTGAGTTAGCAGAAGTAAAAATAAACTTAAGTGGAAATAGAACAACAAAATTGTAAACACTATTTCTCAGCAATTCATAGATTATCATACTAGGAATTGAAATGTACTTAGAACTCAATGATACCGCCAATATTAAAGATTAAATCTGTGAGTAGCAAGAAAAGTGATATTACAATAGGAGTTTACAGACAAATATTTCTCTAATAACTTGAAAATTAATGTACTAGATATTTCAATAAAGAATTAGAAAAGAAACAACAGAATCAATTCTGAAAAACTAAAGTGTGGGAATAATGATGTAGACAAAATTAGTAAAACATACAAAGCTAACCTTTGCTTGTTGGAGAAATATAATAAATGATGCAACCGTCAGTCAAGTTTAGAAAAAAAGGGAGAAAACATAGATAAAACTAAGAATTTAAAAGGTACACAACCATAGATACAGCATAGATTAAGAAGCTAATAAGGAAATATCGTTAACACCTTAACCTACAAATTTGAAAACTTAGGTCAAATAGACAGATATTTATAATCTGTCTATATATATAGACATATATATCGCTTTCTATATATATTTTCATATTTATACATAATTTTTATATTTGTATCTTACATTTATATATATAATATATAAACATAAGCTATGTATATAGCTTAGTAAAATTGATACAAGAAGACATATATAATCTGTATAGTCTCATAAATGTTCAAGGAAATAAAGGATTCTTCCTAGAGATAAAACGCTAGGCTCAGATTTTTTTCCCCAGGCAGAGCATTTCAATATATATGAAGAATTCTATAGAATAAAAAAGGGAAAATCCTAAACTCATTGTGTGAAGCAAGCAGAACTTTGACGCCAACAAGACATAAACTGAGTGTAGAAAAAGATATGAAAATTAAGGCCATTCTCATTCCTGAAGCAAATCGTAAAATCCCAAATGTAACAAGATTTATGTGGATTCTTTGAGGGTTAGAAGGAAATTTCCTTCTGCCAGATCCTGCTACTCTGGGACAACCCACACACAAATTTATGTTTTGAGATTTTCTGTAATACCCATGCAATATGGAACTGGCTTGACAATCTGTGTGATAGCCAGCCTGTGGCCATGACTTCTTAGGGACACAAATCTTTTCTGTTTGCCTCCTTGTTCTGCTCAGCTCCAAGAGAACTTTGACCAAAGTTCCTTGAGCTTGGAAATAGGAATGGGTTTGCTTCTGTTTCACCCTTACTGTGAAGATACAGTCCGGTGGAATCCAGATCCACTGGGAGAGAGTCGGCTATTAAACTCTTTTCATGAGTAGTCCCTAGGCCTTGACTGGAGTCTTTCTTGAGATATGAGGCTAATAGTTCCTTCTTGGTCCACCACTTTTTGATATAATTAATGCTTCTTCTATTGGGAATTTTTAATTGTTTGGGAAGTGACATGGTTTGGTGTGTCTCCATTCAAATCTCAGCTTCAATTGTATCTCCCAGAATTCCCTCGTGTTGCGGGTGGGACCCAGGGGGAGGTAATTGAATCATGGGGGTCGGTCTTTCTCATGCTATTCTTGTGACAGTGAAGAAGTCTCACGGGATCTGATGGGTTTTTCAGGGGTTTCTGCCTCAGGTTCTTCCTCATTCTCTCTTGGCATTGCCATGTAAGAAGTGCCTTTATTCGTATACCATGATTCTGAGGCCTCCACAGCCATGTGGAACTGTCAGTCCAATTAAACCTCCTTTTATTCCCAGTTTCAGGTATGTCTTCTTCAGCAGCGTGAAAATGAACTAAGACAGGAGGTTTGGTCCAAATAACCTTGGCTTCCATGACAGAAGATAGAAGTTGCTGAAATGTTTAATCTTTTCTGTGGCAACCTTTTGCAGTGGGTCTTATTTTTCTCATTTTTTTTTTCTTGTTCTCTTCACCTTTGTTTCTCACAGGGTACTCTCGCTCTGTAGACCAGGCTGGAGCGCAGTGGCAGGATCTCAGCTCAACACATCCTCCGCCTCCCAGGTTCAGCCTCTGCAGTAGCTGGGATTACAAGCATGCATCACCACGCTCAGCTAATGTTTTGTATTTTTAGTAGAAGCCAGGCTTCACCATGTTGGCCAGGCTGCTCTCCTACTACAGATCTCAGGTGACCCGCCCGACTCAGCTTCCCAAAATCCAAAGTGCTGGGAATACAGGTGTGAGCCACCGAGCCCAGCCAACTCCAGTACTTTTTACCTAAGCCAGTGGACGAGTGGAGTTGCCTTTATTTTTTTTTTTCTTTTTTCAGTCATGGTCTCGCTGTGTCATCCAGGCTGGAGTGCAGTAGTCTGATCTTGGCTTACTATACAATCTCTGCCACCCATGTTCAGGTGGTTCTCCTGCCTCAGCCTCCCAAGTAGCTGGGACCACAGGAAAGTGCCACTAGGTCTGGCTAATTTTTGTATTTTTGGTAGAGACAGCTTTTTGCCATGTTGCCCATGCTGGTCTCCAACTCCTGACCTCAAGTGACCCACCAACCTCGGCCTCCCAAAATGTAGAAATTACAACAAGAGCCACGAAGCCTGGCCTGGAGTTGTGGCTTTTTGACATAAGAAATCTGTGGAGGGAAAAGCTTGGTTTGTGGGAGCACCTGAGCTCAGTTTGGCTCAAAGGTTTGGGATACCTATTATTGAGTGGCAGTGATGGTATGTTGTTAATGTACAATATGTTCCTGTATATAGCATACGTCTATGCTCATCAGATATTTTCAGGTAAAAAAAGATAGTCTTTCCAGTAGTTTGAGCCATTATAGCAATTTCCACCAGGGGATTTCAAAGTCCAATTCCAGTTGTGGGCAACAGTGATTAACATAATGGTAATTAATGAGAAGAGATTTTGAGACGTCCAGCCACGTTTCCATGTCAGTGCCTTGTTTGCAGTATTATGAAGAAAGAGTGCATTGGACTAGATACTAAGAAAAACATTGAATTATTTTTCTTGCCTCTATAACATCAAAGGACAATTAGAGATATAGAAACTATGGAACATTTCACAGCATGGCTTGACATTTCACTGAACTTTTATCCTTTTAACCATGTACAAAGTTTGTTACCTATGCAAAGGTAGGACTGCAAAAGGAAGACAGAGGTGGAGTCAGAGGTCACAATCCACAGCAAGGTGACACTCTTGTTGATCGCACCTTGAAAGCCAAATTAGAGCGAGAATTAACTTTCCGGTTGCCGTAAGAGAACAAGGAGAATGAAGCTACCAGCAGTTAACAGTATTGGATTAATTGAAATGAAGGTGGACAGAGTTTTTTGGCTTTCCATCAAATTGAGTAAAGAAAAGGTAACCGCTTATCTAATTTCACACACATACAATTATGGATTAATTAAAAGATTACACAACCCATATATTATGGGTTTCTCATATAAGTGTATATATACATGGGCAAACTCACAGTGTGCCAGTATGTGTCTATATCCAAATATATACAAATCCATGTCCAACAGTTAGCAAGTGAGAAATTCTCTTCCATTTCACCATTCCCTTTCCTAGAATTTTTTCATAAATATAATTTTTCCATATATTTGAAGCCTACTCTCTGGAGGCATGTAATGCATGCATGCAGTAAACCTGTGCGATATCACAATGTTGGTGTCAGAGAAAACTATAACACCGATGTTATAAAAGATTAATTGTGAGGAGAAAGTTATGCTTCGCATTACTACAAATACACAAGTATGATTTCATCCAAAGCTGAAATCAGTCAATATAATTTGTTTTTAATGTTTTATTTAAAATCCTTAATTTCAACAGGATTACTCAAGAAAAATAACGTTATTGGTATTAAATAATGTTGACGTATTCCCTTTAATTGTTGATTATTTAAAATGTCAGTAAAATAGTAAATGGCACTGTACAATGTAGTTTCATGAAGCATTCTTTATAGTTTTCATAAAATTGATAGTCTCCATGGAATATTTTAAGACTGAGGAAGTTCCATATATCATTTGATTGTACTTTCACTTTATTACTTGCTTGCATGTCATAACTGATGGAAATAAAACTATGTATATTTACAAATATGAAAAACATGGATTTTTGTTTACGTTTTCTAGTGAGACACAGTTACCAATAATTTTATCTATATAGGAAAATTTTTACAAACCCAAAGTTCTAATGTTTCTTTTCTTTGAAGTTTCGTATTTCAGTCTAGGTATGTAATGGAATTGGCTGTGATCATTCTTTGATTTCACTGTTATTTGTGAGTTTCTGATATGCTTTTAGGAATGAATAGAGTTTAACGCTTGCTTTCTTCTTCTTCCTCTACCTTTGGACCTGTATATGCGATGTCTGCAGTAATGTGCAGTGCTATCTGACATACGGTTGCTGAAAGATACAAGCATATATAGAATTCTTCGTTTCAGTGAATCTTTAGGAACAGACAAGTAACCTGAGAGATAATTACGGTATGAATGTAAGCAAGCAGTTTATCATAGAGGTACAATAAGGGTGAAAATAAATTTAAAAATACATGCCTCATCCAAAACATGAGGTAGTAAAAATGAAAAATTTAAGTTGGCATAAAGAACACTTTAAAAGTTCTGATTCTTTCTGGTGAGAGCAAGGAGCTCAGAAACCATGAGAAAGTCCTTCAAAGCTGCATGTTGGATTTGCAGGTCAGGATGGAAAGCCTGGGTCTGGGGGAGGGTGCTAAGGTCCTGGTCAGGTTGAGGTCCTTCTGGGGCTCAGGTGTGTCTCAGCGGGAAAGCTGGGAAGGGGAAACGCATGCTTCACCCCGGCTAGAGTGCCACCTCAGCCCACCTAGATGAAATTGCCCCTTCACAGCCCTGTTTCTCCTTCTTGGACAGGCAGGTGGAGGAACTCGGCCACCCTGAATACAAGGGGTAGGAAGAAGTTTGCCTTTCATCACAACATTTACTTCGGAAACAAAGTGATGACTAAGGAGTATTGCGTTGGCATCCTCCCTGAGGAGTAGAGGGGGTAGTACCTCGGGAGCTGGGCCTGGCGTGCGCCTTCCTGACTCGTCTCCCTCCAGGATACAGGGCGACTGGCTCCACTGCAGTCCAGTGGTTCTAGGGTCATGCAGGTGAAAGCCCGAGTTTCCCGCAGGTCACTGCCTGAGCTTCTTCAGCTGGTTGTCTGACTGTGAGGGCCCAGGTTACGGCACGATTGCTGAGGTGGGACAGCTATGGGACATCATGGCAAAGGACCTTCTTCGACATTCCTTGGCATCGGAGGAATTGGCTTTGAACCAGAACCTGACCTGTCACGACCAATTTGCCCAGTCCACCAGATCATCAGCCAGGGCCTGTGGCTCTATATTCTGCAGCACTACCCAAGGGAGTTAGGCCCTCAGAGAGGGAACAGAGAAGAGGCCAGGGAAGCAGCCCAGGGCTGGGGGTTGACAGGCCTGTGGGTCCTGGAGTTAGGACACACATAGAGAAGCCAAGGCTCAGGGAGGAGACTGCAGTAAGGAAACTCAGGCCATCATGGGCTGGTGGAGAAATGCCCATCAGGGAACTGTGGTACCCACATTTCACGATGGGGGAACCGTAATCTGCTTAATAGGCATAAGTAGCTAAGGTCAATGGGTGGGAAGCCAGGGTCAAGAGATAGCTGCCTCATCATCCCTTGCTAGCTACTTCCCTGTCCTGAGGCTTGCTTCTACCTGGGGTTCAGTTTGGGCTCAACCAGGGATCTCTCACCCTCCACACAGATGCCCACCTGAGGCCTCTCTAGGTCTGCGTCCTCCCAGAATGACTCTCCCAGGCCTGCTAAGTACCGTTTGGATGACACCACGCTCCACTGACATGCTTGGTTCCCTCCGCCATCCTCATTCACCCAGCAACTCCCCACCCCAAAAAAGGCAGGCCACCGCACAGGGAATCTGGAGGACCACACAGGGCTCACAGGGGAGGAAATGTGAAGAGATGGCAAAACAGAACAGGACATTCCGTGTGTTTCCAGAAGGCAATCTGGCTGGATATTAAGGCCCACCTCAGTATTGGTGAGGACACCCAGTGTCTCTTGGCCCTGAGCTTGTGCACACAAACACGCACATTGTCTAAACGGCATTGACATCACTACTACCTGAGTCATCCTCAGATTCTATACAACCCCTGTAAAAATATCAATGACACATTCTTCTTAGAAAAACAATCTGGGAATCCCAAATTTGCTATGAAATGGCAGAAGATCCTGAAAACCCAGAGCAATCCAGTAAAAAGCACAAAGCTGGAGCCACCCCACTACCTAACTTCATGATATACTACTACAAAACTTTTTGTACCAAAATACAATAGCACTGGCAGAAAAGCAGAGACTAGAGCTTAGGAAAAACAACAGGAGCCCAGAACTAAGTCACTGCATTTGCAGCTCACAGCCTTTTCCCAAAGAAGCAAGAACGACCAATGCAAAATCAAGTATCTTCTATAAACTAGGTTGGGGAAATCTGAATAGCCACACAAAGGATTTTACAAGTGGATTATTTATCACCAAACTCCAGTGTCAGATGTGAAACGATAAAAATAGCAGAAGAGATCACAAGGAAGAAGCTCCATGGCGTCCGTGTGTGCAATGATGGTCTCAAAGTGACTGCAAGAACACAGTAAACACCATCAAAAATAGAGAATGGAATCATATCAAACTAAAGTGCTTCACCACACCATAGAAAACTCAACATACAGAAGGGGCATCCTACAGGATGGGAGCAATGATTGGATCACCATACATCTGTTCATGGGGGAATAGTCACAGTACATAAGGAACTCCCAACAACTCAATAGCATGAAAACAAATGGGCGAAGGCTGCGAAGACTCATTTGTGAAACTGAGACATACAGTTGCCCAGAAGACACACTAAAAATTCCTCATTATCCCCAATCCATCACGAAAATGCAAATCAAAAACACAATGAGATTTCTTCTCACTTCAGTCAGAATGCATATTATCCGAAAGACAAACAAACAAAAAAAAAAAAAGAAAGAAAAGAAAACCCTAATCTCTGGTGAGGAGGCAGAGAAAACGAATTCCCTGCTCACTTTTGGGGAGAATGTAAATTAGTGCTGGCATTAAAGAAGCTTTATGGCTCTTATTTAAGTATAAACAGCCTTCAGAAATCTACAAGTAGAACCACCCACTATATGATCCAGCAAATCAGAATACCCGGGCACGCCCGCCAGTACACAGATCAGTATGTTGAAGCGGTGCGCGCACCCATGCAATTATTGCTGCACTCATTACATTTTTGCTGTAGCCAAAATGCGGAAGCAACCTGAGTGTCCCTCCATTGATAAGTGGATTAAAAAATGGGGCAAAAACGCATATGCGCAACGGAAATATGCGCTGCAATAAGAAATCAGGAAATCCTGCCAGTTGTGAGAATGTGTGGGAATCTGCTGAATGTGTGCATGCCATTCTGTTAAGTGACATAAGCCAGGTATCAGAAAGGAAAATAGCACATGATCTCATTCTTATATGAAATCAAAAAAGCGGACTTCACAGAAGTAGTGACTCCAATGACTGCGGTGAAGAGGGTGCACTGACGAGATGCTGGATGAAGAACTCATACTTCTAGTTATAAAGGAGGAATAGGTTAAAAATATTTTCTTCAGCATGCTCACTATAACTAGTGGTAACATATTCTTTCTCTAAAAATATTCGAATACAGTGCAGGTCAAGTTTTTTCACAACAAAAATGACAACTATGTGAGGTCACACATATGTTGATTGGCTGGATGTATCCAATGCATAATGTATATGACCTGTTGAACATCACGCCTTAAGTTGTAAATATGTATCATTTCATATGACATTTTTTAAACAAACATACAATTTTTAAAATGCCTTAACAAAATAAATGCAAATAAAATATTTTATTATAAAGCAGTGCTTTTCTTTTCTAGCAAAGTCTTTTTCATGACACAGGAAAGAATGCAAGCCGTTTCGTAACTTGAGAAATAAATACATATGTGTACATGTATATATATACGTATATACATGTATATACGTATATAAATGTGCATATATACGTATATACATGTATATACGTATATATGTGTGTACATAGGTATTCTTATATAGGTGTATATATATATGAAAATCCCAATGAATGCTGATGATGAGTTGAAAGATAGAAATTCCAGGCACAGAGACTATAGTCCATGAATTGAAACCTTCAGTGCATGTTTCAAAACAAGACGTGAGGAGGAGGAAGAAAAAAGCAAAAAACACAAAGCCATGGCAGGGCCATGGGTCACACCTGTCATCCCAGCACTTTGATAAGCTGAGGTGGGAGGATTGCCTGCACTCAGGAGTTCCAGATGAGCCTGGGGCAACATGGACCCACATTCAAAAAGTAAGTATTTAGTTAATTAATACATAGCTTGGAGGGGTGGCATGCACCTGTACTGCCAGGTGTGTGAGAGTCTGAGTTGACAGGATCACATGGGTGTGTGGTGCCTGGGCTGCAGTGGGCTGAGATCGTGGGGCTGCTGTCCAACCTAGAAGACAGAGTAAGACCCATTCTCGGAAAACAAACAAAAAAACAGTCACATTAGGTAAATTAAAACTATGTAGTGTGAGGAGAATCAAAATAAACGAAACATCATTAGAGCCTACGCGATGTGATGAAGGAAACCAGCTTTCACATAATAACAGCCCCGGCTGGGGAGAACAATGAGAAAGGGCAGAGAGAACCCTGTAAATAATACCACGCCAAATTCCCCAAATGAGTTAAAACACATAAAAGTACGAAGAGTGCTTCTTTTCA
The DNA here is from genome assembly GCF_000001405.40 of Homo sapiens. Classification (NCBI taxonomy): domain Eukaryota; kingdom Metazoa; phylum Chordata; class Mammalia; order Primates; family Hominidae; genus Homo; species Homo sapiens. Next base: position 473,799 of record NW_025791821.1, on the reverse strand, counting down.
ATTCAATGCCCTTGAATTCAGAATTAGAAAGTAAACCCAGATAGAGAATAGAAAGATAGACGATACAGATGGAGAGAGTGTGGTGGGGAAGCAAGGGAAGGATGAAAGGAGGGGTGTAAAGGAAGGAAAAGAAAAAAGGAAGGGAGAGAGAGTGACAGATGTTCAAAGACACAGATACAAAGTCTACAATGGTTGTAGAGATAGGCATGTGCAAATTGTCGCAGGGAGTGTGGAAAAATATCGGAACCACGGAGACACAGGTGGAGTCAGAGAAAATATACAAACCCGCACAGAGAAATAAACATACGCAACCACAAACACACACGTGCTACTTTAAACACGAAAAGACACCAAGTCCCTGTCGGTACAAATCACAGATGTGCTTCCGAGTTACTGAGGCACGGTGCAAATTTGTCAGTGCCCTTAGCATCTGTGGCCCACGTGCACGGATATTCAGTGGAAGAAGCATTACACAGCCTGTATAATTCAGCACGATCTGTGATAATACCAGAAGAAGGGATCTCATGTGAAATCACTAGACTGAATTGCACGTAGGATTCAAGGAAGAAGCCCAGTCTGCTGCATTCACTCGGTGGGGTGGCAATATGGCTGAGCCACCAACCCGTGGCACGCCCATCCATCGTAGACAGTTCCTGGTTTGCTACCTGCCTTGGAAAAAGCTCCTCCCCTACCACCACTTTAAAACAGGCTAGCTCCAAAACTAGCCCTGGCATCTATTTACGGTCATTTTCTTATCTATTTACCTCCTAGAAAAATCATTGCAAGACCCTTTCCTCAACATTTTCCTATGCCTTAAATTTGGGGCAACACGTTTTAAGACGACCTCGTTATAGGCAAGTCCCCAGACGTTTCCTAATCTGAGTTGCCCAGAGTGCACACACCAATCTGTTGCCCCATTGCCGCTATAGGGATACCGTACTGGACCACAGTGTCTTTGACATGCACACAGTAGGATACAGGGCAGCTTGAGGGGGCCAAAGGGTTCCGACTGTTTTCAGAATAATTTGCTTAGAACACCTGTTTCTCCTGTGTTTGTGGGTCAGGGGGACGGTAGTCAGAGGAGGACAAGACTCCCGCTCCAGAGCTTCAGAGTTCTGCATAGGAGCAGGGACAAAACCGGGCGATAGATTTTCAAAGCTCAACTGCTTTGACACCGAGCAGGAGGGGTAGAATGCATATTGCAGGCACCACAACAGATTCAGGAACTTTGACTGTCAAACCCTCTTCCCTGAAACAACATAGCTCTTCTCACAGAAGCTGTGCTGACCAGAGTCTATACGGGACAGCAATGTTAGCACTCTAGTAGCGTGTGGTCAACATGGATGCTCGTGTTGGAACTGTTTCATCTGGGAACAGGAAAGAAAGTTCTGCCTCCGACACTGAAATCCTCCTGCCCCATCCTTGACAGAGGCAACCCCTTGTCTTGTGCAGACACACGTGTTCCTGGGAAGCAGCCTCCCACTCGCGAATGAAAGCTGTATGTTTTGTCCTCCTGTGTGAGGCTTGCAAAACATATTCCGCAACTATATTCGCTTTACGTTCTAAACCTTAGGCAAACTATGCTGAAGAGGCCACAGAAAATTTAGGGGCCCTGGGTCCAGATACAATCTGCAGTGCCAATCACGAGGGAGAATAGAGCCTCACTAGACTTTGCAAGAGCACAAAATGCACTCGTACTGTTGTTAGCTACATACGTTATTGGCTCCTCACCTAACACAGAATCTTGGAGAAAAGCTTAAAACAACTAAAGATGTAAACATCAACAAGAGTGTCCATATCCTGGGTCATCAAGTGACAAGAGAGTCCATGGATGGATTCTCCAACAATCTTATATTCCACTAATCCACCCCCTTTCCCCTCACTTCTGTAAGTTTCTGTTTTCCCTTAGTCATCTATGCCAAAAGCGTATCCTGAATGCCTTCCCACATGCCTCTGTCACCTTTCCCACAGTCCCTCCATACACCTTACATGCCCATTTCTTCTCACGTTGATGTTTCAGAAGTCCTGAGAGGCTGATTGTCCCAGAAAAGGATCATGCATTCACCTTTAAAAGAACATGTGGATTCAACACGAAAGCGAACTTTAAGATTTCCATCATCCTGTGCTTAGCTACTGTGTATGATGATACCCAAAATGAAGGATTTTGGAGGTCCCAGCAAACTGGGCCCTGGAAACCCAGTAACCCCTTTCCTTGAACTATCTCTGCTTCCACAGGACGAAGTCAGCCTCCAACTAAGCTGTCTTTTGCTTTTACCTCTCCCACTCTGTCCTGTAGGAAGAATCCCAACACATCCCACACCCATTCACTCTACAACTTTAGAGGCCCAGCTCCAACGCAGACTGGTTATTTCCATTAAGAGAATAAAGCACGTGGATTGATCAATTCATTATGACACCCGAATAAAGTGGATAAACATACACACACACACACACACACAAACTCAAAGACACACACACACACACACAGACACACAGAGTCACACATCCTTGAGAATGTTTATTTTTCATTCCATACAATCCACATTTACCCCCTCTTCCTGAATTTTTGTGACTCGATCTCTTTTTCCTTTAGTTCCTGTGCATAAGACCATGCTGAGTACTGCCGTCCTGCATATGGCTGTAACTTTTTAGGAGTTCTGCTGTATTAGGTAAAATCTGATGCTCCATCATATTCAACTCAACAACTGGGAGTCCCCTAGAGAAACACAAACTCATGTTAAAACGCATTTTCTCTGAGCCATACTTTGAAATGTTTCAATTGTGGGGCCCGCTGAGAAAAGGATATCCCTTCCCCATTTGTGATCCCTTAAACTTCCTCCTACCACGTGTTACAAACTGTTCTGCGCAATCCCTGCCCCATTCCCAGTATTGTCTGTGAGGGGAGTCAGCTAACAAGATGCACTGGGCCCTAAAAGCACACACAAGTCTGATGGGGCAACAGCTTAAGGAAATCCATCAATCTAAACAGTCCTTTGTGGTTTGGGGCAAGGATGACCAGGACGCACATTCAGGGAGCCCAATCTCATGGGGTTGGTGGGATGACTGCCGGTGGGGTTGACAGCCGTGGAATCAAGTGCCACAGACTGAACTGAATGATTTTCAGCTTTACTTCTCATTGATTCTGGAAATGGACGATTCTTCACTGGGCTTAAGACTCCACAGCTATCACCCGCTTTGCAGTGCAGTCTCTAACGTGCCTTTTCAGCCCAATGCCATGAACGTCCTGGATTCTGTCACTCTCTGTCTTCCTCTCAAGGAATTTCTACATGTACGAAAGGAGCCTCAATTTCTACATTTCTGAAATGAGCACCCAGGCTCCCTGAATAGGCAGGTGTGTCAACCCCCTTATACTGGGCATCAAACAGCTCCAGTGCCAACTAACGGCTCACCTGACGTCTCTGTTCCCTCTTCAGGTGGCTTCATCCTCTTGTAGTATTGCAGGGGATTGCGCCACAGGTCCTTACATAGGATCTGTCAGGGGACTCAATCGGGAAAGGCCTCATCAGGGCTCAGAAAGGTGACCCAAGCAGCTGGGAACACACGGGGTCATTCCTCATGTTTCCCAGTGAGGACTCACCTCAGCAATCTTGTTAGATCCTGCGAAGTTGTGGTCAGAGAACCAGTTGAAGAAGTTAAGGCTGCTGTTGTGGTGTCTGCGGCGATAGGCCTCCACTTCATAATCCGGATACCACTCAATTGGAGTGGAATGAGAAGCCCTGTATTCTACAGAGACAGGAGTTTTTGTGGGAAGGGGGCTGGATCCCGTTGGCAATGATCCACCCACCATCTTCCTTCCACTACCCATCCTGGGAGCCACCTGTCACCTGTGATGTTCACCAGATATTCCTTGGTAATCACTTTATTCTGGAAGTAGGGGTTACTCCGAAAGAACAACATGATCTTGCAGAGATGAACAGGATGCTTCTCTTCTTCCACCTGTCAGGACAAGGTGGAGAAAGCTTAGATAGGTTTTCGGGTGAGGTGCTCACTCTTGCTTACAGGAATGAATTATTTCCCTTACCCTCCCCCGCTAAACCCTCTAGCCCCAGTCTTCCTGGCCTCACCTCCAGGCTGACCATGTAGCTCAGCATGTCTTCATCTTCGTCAGTGATCAGGGCTGACATCTGGGGGTGGTTTGCAATCTGATTTAGGTCAAAGAGACTTTACACACGATGGAAGGGAAAGCGAGGAGCAACAGGGAAGAAGGCCTAAGAGCACCCAGAGGCTGGGGTAGGGGATTTCTCAGATCTGCTTCCATGTATGATCTCCTTTCGCCTCCCCGTCCCCGTAAACTAAGGCCTCCTGTGTTCACAGAGGGTGTATGATTCTGAGGCTGACTGCACTGACATGGGGAGGCGCGATTTGCAGAGACTTGCTGGTGTCTGAGGAGTGGCAGAATCTGCTTATAGCCGAAGACGCCCAGTCCCAGATCGGACTAGCAAGGGGCAGCAATCACACTCCCTTAAAAATAGCTTCATTCACTGAAAAACCTCTTCCGCTCTGAACTCGCTTCTGCTCTTCAAAAAGATGCCCCAAACGTCTGCGGCTCGGCATCACCAAGGGTTTCTCTGCCGCATGCAGGACAATAGTACCCACGCCTGCTCCGGCTTTCCACAGCCACATTGGTCCGTGGCAACTCCCCTTTGTTCCCCAAAGAGTCACATCGACGCCGAACTGCCCATCGGTCACTTACACTTCCCCGAGAGCACCTCTCCACTAGAAAGGCCGAAGAAACACTGAGAAGGATACAACATTGGCCCAGAAGCCAGGGACGCTCTGGATGACGGCGCCTCTGCGGTCTAGGTGGGGCTTGCGCCTCCGCTCCATCTTTTCCCGCTGCCGAGAAAAGGCCTTCCTGGCTTGGGCATTAACCGGCTCCAGCTCCACCTGAACGGCCAGCAGCTCCTCCAGTGCAGACTCTGGGGTCATGGGCCCAGGGCCAGGCACAGCCTGCTGTGCCCGCTGGGCCTACTCCCGCCGCTCCACGAGGCCCTCCTCCTCCGCCACCACCTCCACCTCCGCCATTATGTCATCCAACAGCAGCACCGCCTCCTCCCCCAAAGCCGCCTGCTCACTCTCCACCCCGGCCGCCCCCTCCTGCACAGCCTCCATCCTGAAGGCGGTGCCCTCCTTGGCACTCGCACACACCAAGGCCTGTGCTGCCCGACCCACGCCACAGAAACCCTGCCGCAGCCTCTCTGGCACCCGGTAGGTCAGCGAGCCCTCAGGGCGCATGCGCCGGGCTTCCAGGCGCCCCCTAAGGGACTGCGCGCGAAGGGCCGGGGGGCCGCACCCAGGCCGACTTCCTCCGGTCGTGGCCAATCAATGGGAGGGCGGTGGGCGTCTCCCTGGGCGGCACAGCCACTGGCGGGCCTGCATCTCCAGCCCCCCCACCCCCCGCCTTCCCTGCCCAAGCCTCCTCCGAGAAGCCCTTGGAGCTTGTGCCGGGTAGCTAGGCATCCGGGCACACGCGGGCTGCGTGGCCTTTGGAATTGTGGGCATGGCAGCCCTGTGCCCTGACATCCTCAGTGTGGCAAGCCATGAACATCTCTATGTGTCATGAACACAGGAAACATCTCTCTTCGTTAGGCAGGCCAGGTAGATGGTACGGAGGTAATACAGCAGATGCAGAGAACTCTCTCTGGTTGCTGGGGCTAGGGCGGCAGGGGTGTCCTGGGGGAAGTGATCGGGGCGGGCACGTGGGAGGAAAGTCGCCTGCCGGTGCTGAGGTGGAATTGATCTGCTGTAGAGGCCAGAGCCCCGGCACACACTCTCACAGGTCGAGGCAAATAGAGGCTCCGAGTACCATGCTTCCTCCCTGAGGATGCTGTACTCCAAGGAGCATTCCAAAGGGCCTCTTGTCCTATGCCCTGGGCACACCAGAGGCCAGCCGCCAGGGTTGGCCATTGTCGGCCTGCGCGCACGCTGTTGTGCGCTGCCTTGACGACCCAGAGGCTCCCGCACCCGCAGCAGCGGTTGCGGTGCCTGTTGGTGGGGCTCTGCAAGCCCAGGGCCGGGGCCTCTGGCTCCCGAGCTCCTGTGCGCAGTTGAGCCTGCTGGGGACCGGAGCCCTTTGGCCAGTGCGGGATCTGCGGGTCCAGCGGAGCTCCTCAGGAAACCTGGGTCCACGTAGGTGTGGGACCAGGTTCACAGCAGGGCGACGCCCGTGGGTCTTGCAGGGAGCGGGTCTGCTGGGGAGCGGGCCCCCAGAGCCTACGGGTGCGGGGCATGGGCTGGGCTGGGCTGGGCTGCGCAGGCCCAGGGTCTGTGGGAGCACCCAGGAGAAAACCGTGTTCAGGCTGGAGGCAATGCTGGAGAGGACGGCCGGGGTACAGAGCAAGGAGGCGGCCTTGGAAGAGGAGGCGGTGCTGAAGGTGGAAGACATCATGGCTGAGGTGGAGGTGGTGGTTGAGGTGGAGCCCGACGTGGGGTGGCAGAAGGAGGGCCAGCGGGCACAGCCTGGCCCTGGACCGAGCACACCGGGGCCGTCAATGGACTCGCTGGAGGTCCTTCACTTGGAGCTGGGCTCCGTGAATGCCCCAGGCCACAGAGCATCTCCGCCTTGTGAGCCAGAGCCATATCCTTGCGGCTGCCGATTTGGGATGGCGGGCAGCAGGGGATAGTCATCGGGCCTCGGGGGGTATGGGGGCTGTTTGGGGGGAGGAGCCAGGTGGGAGGCACGTGGGGTCAGCCAGGAGGCAGGGGATGGGGGACAGCGTGGGAGCCGAGGCCACGTTCCCGCAGCTGTGAGGGCAGCTCGCTTGTAGCAGCCCTGGGAGCACGTGGTAGGGAAGGGGAGCCAGGGCCAGCACTGACAAGGGAGAATCGCGGCGCCAAGGTCCCTTTGCGCACAGCCCAAATTCGAAGGACGCGTTTCCCTGGGAACGTCCCTGGAGGACGGGGAATCTGTATGCCATTACCAGCCATTGAACCACCCCTGCTCTCGGTGCCTGTTTCCAGCAGGCTCACCCCAGAAACACAAGGTGCTTAAGACGGGTTCGCGGCGCATGGGGCTGCCGACCACCTGACGGCGGGCACCAGCTCCGCAGATGCGCATTCATCCAACTGCAGGCGCTGCACTCAAAGGCGTGTAGGCCCTGAGCCTGTATAACTTCCTCTGGACCCACGCAATTCCCTTGGAGAGCGCCAGGCACGACCCTGCTGTGGCTTCTAACTACAAGGCTTCCCTCAGGTGGACAGGCCCACCCCTCAGGGAGACTAGGATAAGAGGACACCACACACCCGGACATCAGCGGAGCATGTCCAGCACCCAGCACACAAAGGCCTCCTGCATCTCAGAAACTCAGAGAAGCAGCCGCCTCACACCACCCCCGGTCCCTCCCGTCCCTCAGCTGCAACCACCTGCCCACTTTTTCTGCCTCCCGTCTCTGGTCAGCCCAGGCCGTCTTGGCCGGGGTCCACCCACTCCAAAAACCACCACAGTTGTGGCGTTGCCTCCTCGCCAGACAGAGATAGAGGGCCAACAATGAAGGGTGACTGGCCAAATGTCTGGGAGATGGCCCTGTTCCACATTGTCTGTGTTCTTGCGAAATTGCAAGGCGTCACGAGGCTTGCCCACCCAATCCTCTGGAGAGTTCTTGCGCAGAGGTAGATTGTTTGGCACACGAGATGTCGGCGTGGGTCGGAAAGCATGCGGAAGTCCTGCTTTGCTACGTGATGGATTTGCAGGTCAGGCTGGGGAGCCTGGGTCTGTGGGAGGAGTCCAGTGTCTGAGTCAGTTTGAGGTCCCCCTGGGGACCAGGGTTGTCTCAGTGGGAGAGCTGGGAAGGGGAAACTCATGGTTCACTACAGCTAGTAGGCCACCTCAGCCCAGCTAGTTGAGATGGTCCCATTGAATCCATCCTCTTTCTCCTTGATCCGGCAGGTGGAGGAACTCAGCCATCCCGGTTACCGGTGGCAGGATGATTTCCTTTCATCCCAACCTTTATTTCCACAGTGAAATCATCATGAAGGAGCACTGTGTTGGCATCCTCGGTAAGGAATGCCTCCCAGCATGGTAGGGGAGCTGGTGTGTGGGAGGGTGGGACTGGCATGAACCTTCCTGACTCCTCTCCCTGCAGGCTACAGGGTGTCTCATTCCACTGCAGTCCAGCGGTTCTGGGATCACGAAGGTCAAGCCTCCAGCTGCAGGCAGTACACCTCCTACCTGAGCTCATTCAGCTGTTTGGCTGAACATGACTGCCCGGGTTTTGGCAGGATTGCTGAGGTGGGGTTCGCCATGGGGCATCATGGGAAAGGACCTAGCTGGTCATTCCTTGGTCTCTGGGGAATTGGCTTTGAACTGTCACCTGAACTGTCCTGGACCCACTTCTGCAGTCCCCTAGATCATCAGCCAGGGCCTATGGCTCAATCCATTGCAGTTCTATCCCATGGAGAGAGGGTCAGCCCTAGAGGCGGAACAGAGAGGAGGCCAGGCGAGCAGCCTAGGGCTGGGAAGGGCTGGGAACTGAGAGGCCTTTTGACCTGGATCTGGGCCCCACATGGAGAACCCAAGGATCCGGGAGGAGACTGCAGTGAGCAATCCCAGGCAATCCGTGGGTTGGGGGAGAGAGGCCCATCAGGGACATGTAACACCCACATTTCAGGATCGGGGCACCTTAAGCCACTATGATGCATATGTGGCTAAAGTCAGTGGGTGACAAGCAGGGCTTAAGGGATAGCTGTCTCATCATTACTCGCCAGCTCCCTGCCCTGCGGTAAGACCTGCTACCACCTGGGGCTCATTTTGAGATCAACCAGGGCCCCCTTTTTCTCCACGAGGATGTCCACCTGAGGCCCACCTAGGTCTGTGTCCTTTCACAGTGTTTCTCCCAGGCCAGTCATGTTTTGTTTCCATGACCCCGGCTGCCTTGACATGTGTAATCCTCTCTGCCATCCTCACTCCCGCTGCCCTGCCTTCCCATATAAGTTAGTCCACCTCACACGGAATCTGGAGGACCACACTGGGCTCCAGTGTGAGGCAATGTTTTATTTTCTTCAGGTACATGTATTTTAGGGCTACCTCCAGGGCTGGGAATGTGAAGAGATTGCCAAATGGCTGGGGACCTTCAGTGTGTGTCCAGGGAGGGAACCCGGCTGGGAATTAAGGCCCACCTGAGTAATGGTATGGACATCCAGTGTCAGTTATCTTGATAAAGGCCTGCTTTCTTACATCACCTACTATTAATATAAAAGTTAATTCCTTAGAATATTGAAAAAACAAATCTATGTATGAAGAAATATAATTTGTTCATAATTGTATGGAAAAAACTGCCGACTGATCCATTTTCCATTACAATTCTTATGGGAGACTTGAAGTGTTCAGCAAGTTTTAAGATGCATTTCTATTCGTCTACTCCTGCCAGTTTTTATGATCATTTTTGTAATACAAGGACATGGCCTCTGGAAAGTTTTTGAGGGACTTTCAGCTTCTTTTAGGGTAGATACTTGTAAATTTTGAATTGTTTTCCCCTGCGGTTCTTTTGAGGTTACTCTTCGTACTTTCTTTGGGGGGTGTTAAATTTGTTTTCTTGTTTCGCCCTTGTGGAACTTTCGTTTTCAAGGAATTGTGTGTGTGTGTGTGTGTGTGTGTGTGTGTGTGTGTGTGTTAGATATGGGAGTTAGCCTGTGAGCATGTTTTCGAATATGGATTTTTTTTTTACTTATCAATTTTGGGGGTGTGTGTGTGTGTGTGTGTGTGTGTGTGTGTGTTTGTTTCTTTTCAGTTGGAGTCTCACTGTGTCATCCAGGCTGCAGTCAAGTGGCAAACTCTCAGATCACTGCAACCTCTCCCTCCAGCTTCAAAGGATTCCTCTGCCTGCTGATGCTGTTTTTCCCCCACATGAGGAGAACATGCAGACAGTTATAAAAAATTCTGTGCCTGGGTAGGTATGAAAATATAATTTCAATGAATGGTAAATTTCACAAATACAGTTTCACATTTGTATTTTGCAACATTTTGAAAATTTTAGTTGCTGACACATGAAATTCTGTGTTGACTTTCATGTTAAATGTACACTTTTGAATCAATTTCAACAGTGACAACTAGCGAAGGCCAAGCGTTAGTTCAGGAAGCTGAAAGCAGTCGTTCTGTAAAAAAAACCATATTTATTGAAGGTATATTTAGAGAGATTTTAGAAGGCTTCAGTCAATATTTTTGTTTCTGTTGCTCTGGTGTTTTATCATACAGGGACCAGACTGTAGCATCAGTAGCTATAGTTACAAGGCTACCAAAGACTCAGTGCTATAGAAATTATTATTGTGGAAATTGGCAGCCTGGCTGTCTGTTTGAGGAGACTAGAGGACTTAGGAGTTTCCACCCAAAGTACAAGGGCCTGGTTTAGTGGGTGGCCTTCTTTTGCTGAAGTAGATAAGATCCAGGAGAAGGGTGGATTCACTGTAGTAGCCAGGGCTTTGAGACTGGTAAAGCTTATTTGTCTCCTAGTGCCATTGCCAGATATTGGTCTGTGCATAAAGGCACTTCCCCGACTCGCTGACTCCTGTAAATTCAAATGTAGAATTTAGATTTAAATCCCTATTCCAACTTCTTAAACTTAGATCTAATAGGTGGGTAATAAAATATGTATTCAGAAGAAAGGGAGACGTCAGGTAGGTATATAAGCAAATCATCCTGGTCAAATACCTTCAAAAAATATTACTACAAAAAATTACTGAAGATTAAACCTTAAAAAAGTTATTTTAATTGGAGAAACAGAAAAAGGTTGGAGTCATTTTAAACCCTGAGGTGTAAAGGTACTGTTATTAGATTACAGGAATTATATACAATGAATAATTTGTGGGAAGAGCAGCATACTATCTCTTTAGTATGGCTAGAGATTCATAAGCCGTGTAAGAAAACTCAGAGATTGAGAAGAAAATGTTTTCAGGGATTTTGTTCTGTTATGAAAGACTTTTAAAATGGTTTCCTACTGATCAATGATTCACTTATATTTATCACTGAGGCATATGCTATATACCCTTCTATATAGGGATGAAGTTATAGTTTCTATCATGTAGATACAAAAACATGTGACTCTGTACCACATTTGCATTAGAGCCTTTGGCATGATTAATGAAGCAAACGGTGGAACTGTCTACGTCAGGTTACAGGTGGGCACAGCTGGAAGCTTCCGTCCCTTGCACTTTAACATTTCTGCATTCTCATCTGTCTCTCCTGGAAAGAAAACGGACTATAACTATCCTAAAGGACATATGTTACATGAAGACACTAAGTATTGAGATAAGACCATGAGTTGTCTTATCAGTGTCTTGGCATTACATTTATATGTATAACTTATACAAAAAATCCAGTTTATTTTATCACGATTACATATTACATCCCACATTTATGTATTTTATTATCTTTCCAGTGACTGTTTTGTTTTGTTTTGTTTTGTTTTGTTTTGAAATCTCGTTCCACTCTGTCACTCAGTCTGGAATGCAGTGGCCTGATCTCAGCTCACTGCAACCTCCATCTCTTGGGTTCAAGGATTTTAAAAATTAGTAAAGAATTTTCAATTGAGTTAGCAGAAGTAAAAATAAACTTAAGTGGAAATAGAACAACAAAATTGTAAACACTATTTCTCAGCAATTCATAGATTATCATACTAGGAATTGAAATGTACTTAGAACTCAATGATACCGCCAATATTGAAGATTAAATCTGTGAGTAGCAAGAAAAGTGATATTACAATAGGAGTTTACAGACAAATATTTCTCTAATAACTTGAAAATTAATGTACTAGATATTTCAATAAAGAATTAGAAAAGAAACAACAGAATCAATTCTGAAAAACTAAAGTGTGGGAATAATGATGTAGACAAAATTAGTAAAACATACAAAGCTAACCTTTGCTTGTTGGAGAAATATAATAAATGATGCAACCGTCAGTCAAGTTTAGAAAAAAAGGGAGAAAACATAGATAAAACTAAGAATTTAAAAGGTACACAACCATAGATACAGCATAGATTAAGAAGCTAATAAGGAAATATCATTAACACCTTAACCTACAAATTTGAAAACTTAGATCAAATAGACAGATATTTATAATCTGTCTATATATATAGACATATATATCGCTTTCTATATATATTTTCATATTTATACATAATTTTTATATTTGTATCTTACATTTATATATATAATATATAAACATAAGCTATGTATATAGCTTAGTAAAATTGATACAAGAAGACATATATAATCTGTATAGTCTCATAAATGTTCAAGGAAATAAAGGATTCTTCCTAGAGATAAAACGCTAGGCTCAGATTTTTTTCCCCAGGCAGAGCATTTCAATATATATGAAGAATTCTATAGAATAAAAAAGGGAAAATCCTAAACTCATTGTGTGAAGCAAGCAGAACTTTGACGCCAACAAGCCATAAACTGAGTGTAGAAAAAGATATGAAAATTAAGGCCATTCTCATTCCTGAAGCAAATCGTAAAATCCCAAATGTAACAAGATTTATGTGGATTCTTTGAGGGTTAGAAGGAAATTTCCTTCTGCCAGATCCTGCTACTCTGGGACAACCCACACACAAATTTATGTTTTGAGATTTTCTGTAATACCCATGCAATATGGAACTGGCTTGACAATCTGTGTGATAGCCAGCCTGTGGCCATGACTTCTCAGGGACACAAATCTTTTCTGTTTGCCTCCTTGTTCTGCTCAGCTCCAAGAGAACTTTGACCAAAGTTCCTTGAGCTTGGAAATAGGAATGGGTTTGCTTCTGTTTCACCCTTACTGTGAAGATACAGTCCGGTGGAATCCAGATCCACTGGGAGAGAGTCGGCTATTAAACTCTTTTCATGAGTAGTCCCTAGGCCTTGACTGGAGTCTTTCTTGAGATATGAGGCTAATAGTTCCTTCTTGGTCCACCACTTTTTGATATAATTAATGCTTCTTCTATTGGGAATTTTTAATTGTTTGGGAAGTGACATGGTTTGGTGTGTCTCCATTCAAATCTCAGCTTCAATTGTATCTCCCAGAATTCCCTCGTGTTGCGGGTGGGACCCAGGGGGAGGTAATTGAATCATGGGGGTCGGTCTTTCTCATGCTATTCTTGTGACAGTGAAGAAGTCTCACGGGATCTGATGGGTTTTTCAGGGGTTTCTGCCTCAGGTTCTTCCTCATTCTCTCTTGGCATTGCCATGTAAGAAGTGCCTTTATTCGTATACCATGATTCTGAGGCCTCCACAGCCATGTGGAACTGTCAGTCCAATTAAACCTCCTTTTATTCCCAGTTTCAGGTATGTCTTCTTCAGCAGCGTGAAAATGAACTAAGACAGGAGGTTTGGTCCAAATAACCTTGGCTTCCATGACAGAAGATAGAAGTTGCTGAAATGTTTAATCTTTTCTGTGGCAACCTTTTGCAGTGGGTCTTATTTTTCTCATTTTTTTTTCTTGTTCTCTTCACCTTTGTTTCTCACAGGGTACTCTCGCTCTGTAGACCAGGCTGGAGCGCAGTGGCAGGATCTCAGCTCAACACATCCTCCGCCTCCCAGGTTCAGCCTCTGCAGTAGCTGGGATTACAAGCATGCATCACCACGCTCAGCTAATGTTTTGTATTTTTAGTAGAAGCCAGGCTTCACCATGTTGGCCAGGCTGCTCTCCTACTACAGATCTCAGGTGACCCGCCCGACTCAGCTTCCCAAAATCCAAAGTGCTGGGAATACAGGTGTGAGCCACCGAGCCCAGCCAACTCCAGTACTTTTTACCTAAGCCAGTGGACGAGTGGAGTTGCCTTTATTTTTTTTTTTTCTTTTTTCAGTCATGGTCTCGCTGTGTCATCCAGGCTGGAGTGCAGTAGTCTGATCTTGGCTTACTATACAATCTCTGCCACCCATGTTCAGGTGGTTCTCCTGCCTCAGCCTCCCAAGTAGCTGGGACCACAGGAAAGTGCCACTAGGTCTGGCTAATTTTTGTATTTTTGGTAGAGACAGCTTTTTGCCATGTTGCCCATGCTGGTCTCCAACTCCTGACCTCAAGTGACCCACCAACCTCGGCCTCCCAAAATGTAGAAATTACAACAAGAGCCACGAAGCCTGGCCTGGAGTTGTGGCTTTTTGACATAAGAAATCTGTGGAGGGAAAAGCTTGGTTTGTGGGAGCACCCGAGCTCAGTTTGGCTCAAAGGTTTGGGATACCTATTATTGAGTGGCAGTGATGGTATGTTGTTAATGTACAATATGTTCCTGTATATAGCATACGTCTATGCTCATCAGATATTTTCAGGTAAAAAAAAGATAGTCTTTCCAGTAGTTTGAGCCATTATAGCAATTTCCACCAGGGGATTTCAAAGTCCAATTCCAGTTGTGGGCAACAGTGATTAACATAATGGTAATTAATGAGAAGAGATTTTGAGACGTCCAGCCACGTTTCCATGTCAGTGCCTTGTTTGCAGTATTATGAAGAAAGAGTGCATTGGACTAGATACTAAGAAAAACATTGAATTATTTTTCTTGCCTCTATAACATCAAAGGACAATTAGAGATATAGAAACTATGGAACATTTCACAGCATGGCTTGACATTTCACTGAACTTTTATCCTTTTAACCATGTACAAAGTTTGTTACCTATGCAAAGGTAGGACTGCAAAAGGAAGACAGAGGTGGAGTCAGAGGTCACAATCCACAGCAAGGTGACACTCTTGTTGATCGCACCTTGAAAGCCAAATTAGAGCGAGAATTAACTTTCCGGTTGCCGTAAGAGAACAAGGAGAATGAAGCTACCAGCAGTTAACAGTATTGGATTAATTGAAATGAAGGTGGACAGAGTTTTTTGGCTTTCCATCAAATTGAGTAAAGAAAAGGTAACCGCTTATCTAATTTCACACACATACAATTATGGATTAATTAAAAGATTACACAACCCATATATTATGGGTTTCTCATATAAGTGTATATATACATGGGCAAACTCACAGTGTGCCAGTATGTGTCTATATCCAAATATATACAAATCCATGTCCAACAGTTAGCAAGTGAGAAATTCTCTTCCATTTCACCATTCCCTTTCCTAGAATTTTTTCATAAATATAATTTTTCCATATATTTGAAGCCTACTCTCTGGAGGCATGTAATGCATGCATGCAGTAAACCTGTGCGATATCACAATGTTGGTGTCAGAGAAAACTATAACACCGATGTTATAAAAGATTAATTGTGAGGAGAAAGTTATGCTTCGCATTACTACAAATACACAAGTATGATTTCATCCAAAGCTGAAATCAGTCAATATAATTTGTTTTTAATGTTTTATTTAAAATCCTTAATTTCAACAGGATTACTCAAGAAAAATAACGTTATTGGTATTAAATAATGTTGACGTATTCCCTTTAATTGTTGATTATTTAAAATGTCAGTAAAATAGTAAATGGCACTGTACAATGTAGTTTCATGAAGCATTCTTTATAGTTTTCATAAAATTGATAGTCTCCATGGAATATTTTAAGACTGAGGAAGTTCCATATATCATTTGATTGTACTTTCACTTTATTACTTGCTTGCATGTCATAACTGATGGAAATAAAACTATGTATATTTACAAATATGAAAAACATGGATTTTTGTTTACGTTTTCTAGTGAGACACAGTTACCAACAATTTTATCTATATAGGAAAATTTTTACAAACCCAAAGTTCTAATGTTTCTTTTCTTTGAAGTTTCGTATTTCAGTCTAGGTATGTAATGGAATTGGCTGTGATCATTCTTTGATTTCACTGTTATTTGTGAGTTTCTGATATGCTTTTAGGAATGAATAGAGTTTAACGCTTGCTTTCTTCTTCTTCCTCTACCTTTGGACCTGTATATGCGATGTCTGCAGTAATGTGCAGTGCTATCTGACATACGGTTGCTGAAAGATACAAGCATATATAGAATTCTTCGTTTCAGTGAATCTTTAGGAACAGACAAGTAACCTGAGAGATAATTACGGTATGAATGTAAGCAAGCAGTTTATCATAGAGGTACAATAAGGGTGAAAATAAATTTAAAAATACATGCCTCATCCAAAACATGAGGTAGTAAAAATGAAAAATTTAAGTTGGCATAAAGAACACTTTAAAAGTTCTGATTCTTTCTGGTGAGAGCAAGGAGCTCAGAAACCATGAGAAAGTCCTTCAAAGCTGCATGTTGGATTTGCAGGTCAGGATGGAAAGCCTGGGTCTGGGGGAGGGTGCTAAGGTCCTGGTCAGGTTGAGGTCCTTCTGGGGCTCAGGTGTGTCTCAGCGGGAAAGCTGGGAAGGGGAAACGCATGCTTCACCCCGGCTAGAGTGCCACCTCAGCCCACCTAGATGAAATTGCCCCTTCACAGCCCTGTTTCTCCTTCTTGGACAGGCAGGTGGAGGAACTCGGCCACCCTGAATACAAGGGGTAGGAAGAAGTTTGCCTTTCATCACAACATTTACTTCGGAAACAAAGTGATGACTAAGGAGTATTGCGTTGGCATCCTCCCTGAGGAGTAGAGGGGGTAGTACCTCGGGAGCTGGGCCTGGCGTGCGCCTTCCTGACTCGTCTCCCTCCAGGATACAGGGCGACTGGCTCCACTGCAGTCCAGTGGTTCTAGGGTCATGCAGGTGAAAGCCCGAGTTTCCCGCAGGTCACTGCCTGAGCTTCTTCAGCTGGTTGTCTGACTGTGAGGGCCCAGGTTACGGCACGATTGCTGAGGTGGGGCAGCTATGGGGCATCATGGCAAAGGACCTTCTTCGACATTCCTTGGCATCGGAGGAATTGGCTTTGAACCAGAACCTGACCTGTCACGACCAATTTGCCCAGTCCACCAGATCATCAGCCAGGGCCTGTGGCTCTATATTCTGCAGCACTACCCAAGGGAGTTAGGCCCTCAGAGAGGGAACAGAGAAGAGGCCAGGGAAGCAGCCCAGGGCTGGGGGTTGACAGGCCTGTGGGTCCTGGAGTTAGGACACACATAGAGAAGCCAAGGCTCAGGGAGGAGACTGCAGTAAGGAAACTCAGGCCATCATGGGCTGGTGGAGAAATGCCCATCAGGGAACTGTGGTACCCACATTTCACGATGGGGGAACCGTAATCTGCTTAATAGGCATAAGTAGCTAAGGTCAATGGGTGGGAAGCCAGGGTCAAGAGATAGCTGCCTCATCATCCCTTGCTAGCTACTTCCCTGTCCTGAGGCTTGCTTCTACCTGGGGTTCAGTTTGGGCTCAACCAGGGATCTCTCACCCTCCACACAGATGCCCACCTGAGGCCTCTCTAGGTCTGCGTCCTCCCAGAATGACTCTCCCAGGCCTGCTAAGTACCGTTTGGATGACACCACGCTCCACTGACATGCTTGGTTCCCTCCGCCATCCTCATTCACCCAGCAACTCCCCACCCCAAAAAAGGCAGGCCACCGCACAGGGAATCTGGAGGACCACACAGGGCTCACAGGGGAGGAAATGTGAAGAGATGGCAAAACAGAACAGGACATTCCGTGTGTTTCCAGAAGGCAATCTGGCTGGATATTAAGGCCCACCTCAGTATTGGTGAGGACACCCAGTGTCTCTTGGCCCTGAGCATGTGCACACAAACACGCACATTGTCTAAACGGCATTGACATCACTACTACCTGAGTCATCCTCAGATTCTATACAACCCCTGTAAAAATATCAATGACACATTCTTCTTAGAAAAACAATCTGGGAATCCCAAATTTGCTATGAAATGGCAGAAGATCCTGAAAACCCAGAGCAATCCAGTAAAAAGCACAAAGCTGGAGCCACCCCACTACCTAACTTCATGATATACTACTACAAAACTTTTTGTACCAAAATACAATAGCGCTGGCAGAAAAGCAGAGACTAGAGCTTAGGAAAAACAACAGGAGCCCAGAACTAAGTCACTGCATTTGCAGCTCACAGCCTTTTCCCAAAGAAGCAAGAACGCCCAATGCAAAATCAAGTATCTTCTATAAACTAGGTTGGGGAAATCTGAATAGCCACACAAAGGATTTTACAAGTGGATTATTTATCACCAAACTCCAGTGTCAGATGTGAAACGACAAAAATAGCAGAAGAGATCACAAGGAAGCAGCTCCATGGCGTCCGTGTGTGCAATGATGGTCTCAAAGTGACTGCAAGAACACAGTAAACACCATCAAAAATAGAGAATGGAATCATATCAAACTAAAGTGCTTCACCACACCATAGAAAACTCAACATACAGAAGGGGCATCCTACAGGATGGGAGCAATGATTGGATCACCATACATCTGTTCATGGGGGAATAGTCACAGTACATAAGGAACTCCCAACAACTCAATAGCATGAAAACAAATGGGCGAAGGCTGCGAAGACTCATTTGTGAAACTGAGACATACAGTTGCCCAGAAGACACACTAAAAATTCCTCATTATCCCCAATCCATCACGAAAATGCAAATCAAAAACACAATGAGATTTCTTCTCACTTCAGTCAGAATGCATATTATCCGAAAGACAAACAAACAAAAAAAAAAAGAAAGAAAAGAAAACCCTAATCTCTGGTGAGGAGGCAGAGAAAACGAATTCCCTGCTCACTTTTGGGGAGAATGTAAATTAGTGCTGGCATTAAAGAAGCTTTATGGCTCTTATTTAAGTATAAACAGCCTTCAGAAATCTACAAGTAGAACCACCCACTATATGATCCAGCAAATCAGAATACCCGGGCACGCCCGCCAGTACACAGATCAGTATGTTGAAGCGGTGCGCGCACCCATGCAATTATTGCTGCACTCATTACATTTTTGCTGTAGCCAAAATGCGGAAGCAACCTGAGTGTCCCTCCATTGATAAGTGGATTAAAAAATGGGGCAAAAACGCATATGCGCAACGGAAATATGCGCTGCAATAAGAAATCAGGAAATCCTGCCAGTTGTGAGAATGTGTGGGAATCTGCTGAATGTGTGCATGCCATTCTGTTAAGTGACATAAGCCAGGTATCAGAAAGGAAAATAGCACATGATCTCATTCTTATATGAAATCAAAAAAGCGGACTTCACAGAAGTAGTGACTCCAATGACTGCGGTGAAGAGGGTGCACTGACGAGATGCTGGATGAAGAACTCATACTTCTAGTTATAAAGGAGGAATAGGTTAAAAATATTTTCTTCAGCATGCTCACTATAACTAGTGGTAACATATTCTTTCTCTAAAAATATTCGAATACAGTGCAGGTCAAGTTTTTTCACAACAAAAATGACAACTATGTGAGGTCACACATATGTTGATTGGCTGGATGTATCCAATGCATAATGTATATGACCTGTTGAACATCACGCCTTAAGTTGTAAATATGTATCATTTCATATGACATTTTTTAAACAAACATACAATTTTTAAAATGCCTTAACAAAATAAATGCAAATAAAATATTTTATTATAAAGCAGTGCTTTTCTTTTCTAGCAAAGTCTTTTTCATGACACAGGAAAGAATGCAAGCCGTTTCGTAACTTGAGAAATAAATACATATGTGTACATGTATATATATACGTATATACATGTATATACGTATATAAATGTGCATATATACGTATATACATGTATATACGTATATATGTGTGTACATAGGTATTCTTATATAGGTGTATATATATATGAAAATCCCAATGAATGCTGATGATGAGTTGAAAGATAGAAATTCCAGGCACAGAGACTATAGTCCATGAATTGAAACCTTCAGTGCATGTTTCAAAACAAGACGTGAGGAGGAGGAAGAAAAAAGCAAAAAACACAAAGCCATGGCAGGGCCATGGGTCACACCTGTCATCCCAGCACTTTGATAAGCTGAGGTGGGAGGATTGCCTGCACTCAGGAGTTCCAGATGAGCCTGGGGCAACATGGACCCACATTCAAAAAGTAAGTATTTAGTTAATTAATACATAGCTTGGAGGGGTGGCATGCACCTGTACTGCCAGGTGTGTGAGAGTCTGAGTTGACAGGATCACATGGGTGTGTGGTGCCTGGGCTGCAGTGGGCTGAGATCGTGGGGCTGCTGTCCAACCTAGAAGACAGAGTAAGACCCATTCTCGGAAAACAAACAAAAAAACAGTCACATTAGGTAAATTAAAACTATGTAGTGTGAGGAGAATCAAAATAAACGAAACATCATTAGAGCCTACGCGATGTGATGAAGGAAACCAGCTTTCACATAATAACAGCCCCGGCTGGGGAGAACAATGAGAAAGGGCAGAGAGAACCCTGTAAATAATACCACGCCAAATTCCCCAAATGAGTTAAAACACATAAAAGTACGAAGAGTGCTTCTTTTCAATTCAATGCCCTTGAATTCAGAATTAGAAAGTAAACCCAGATAGAGAATAGAAAGATAGACGATACAGATGGAGAGAGTGTGGTGGGGAAGCAAGGGAAGGATGAAAGGGGTGTAAAGGAAGGAAAAGAAAAAAGGAAGGGAGAGAGAGTGACAGATGTTCAAAGACACAGATACAAAGTCTACAATGGTTGTAGAGATAGGCATGTGCAAATTGTCGCAGGGAGTGTGGAAAAATATCGGAACCACGGAGACACAGGTGGAGTCAGAGAAAATATACAAACCCGCACAGAGAAATAAACATACGCAACCACAAACACACACGTGCTACTTTAAACACGAAAAGACACCAAGTCCCTGTCGGTACAAATCACAGATGTGCTTCCGAGTTACTGAGGCACGGTGCAAATTTGTCAGTGCCCTTAGCATCTGTGGCCCACGTGCACGGATATTCAGTGGAAGAAGCATTACACAGCCTGTATAATTCAGCACGATCTGTGATAATACCAGAAGAAGGGATCTCATGTGAAATCACTAGACTGAATTGCACGTAGGATTCAAGGAAGAAGCCCAGTCTGCTGCATTCAGTCGGTGGGGTGGCAATATGGCTGAGCCACCAACCCGTGGCACACCCATCCATCGTAGACAGTTCCTGGTTTGCTACCTGCCTTGGAAAAAGCTCCTCCCCTACCACCACTTTAAAACAGGCTAGCTCCAAAACTAGCCCTGGCATCTATTTACGGTCATTTTCTTATCTATTTACCTCCTAGAAAAATCATTGCAAGACCCTTTCCTCAACATTTTCCTATGCCTTAAATTTGGGGCAACACGTTTTAAGACGACCTCGTTATAGGCAAGTCCCCAGACGTTTCCTAATCTGAGTTGCCCAGAGTGCACACACCAATCTGTTGCCCCATTGCCGCTATAGGGATACCGTACTGGACCACAGTGTCTTTGACATGCACACAGTAGGATACAGGGCAGCTTGAGGGGGCCAAAGGGTTCCGACTGTTTTCAGAATAATTTGCTTAGAACACCTGTTTCTCCTGTGTTTGTGGGTCAGGGGGACGGTAGTCAGAGGAGGACAAGACTCCCGCTCCAGAGCTTCAGAGGTCTGCATAGGAGCAGGGACAAAACCGGGCGATAGATTTTCAAAGCTCAACTGCTTTGACACCGAGCAGGAGGGGTAGAATGCATATTGCAGGCACCACAACAGATTCAGGAACTTTGACTGTCAAACCCTCTTCCCTGAAACAACATAGCTCTTCTCACAGAAGCTGTGCTGACCAGAGTCTATACGGGACAGCAATGTTAGCACTCTAGTAGCGTGTGGTCAACATGGATGCTCGTGTTGGAACTGTTTCATCTGGGAACAGGAAAGAAAGTTCTGCCTCCGACACTGAAATCCTCCTGCCCCATCCTTGACAGAGGCAACCCCTTGTCTTGTGCAGACACACGTGTTCCTGGGAAGCAGCCTCCCACTCGCGAATGAAAGCTGTATGTTTTGTCCTCCTGTGTGAGGCTTGCAAAACATATTCCGCAACTATATTCGCTTTACGTTCTAAACCTTAGGCAAACTATGCTGAAGAGGCCACAGAAAATTTAGGGGCCCTGGGCTCCAGATACAATCTGCAGTGCCAATCACGAGGGAGAATAGAGCCTCACTAGACTTTGCAAGAGCACAAAATGCACTCGTACTGTTGTTAGCTACATACGTTATTGGCTCCTCACCTAACACAGAATCTTGGAGAAAAGCTTAAAACAACTAAAGATGTAAACATCAACAAGAGTGTCCATATCCTGGGTCATCAAGTGACAAGAGAGTCCATGGATGGATTCTCCAACAATCTTATATTCCACTAATCCACCCCCTTTCCCCTCACTTCTGTAAGTTTCTGTTTTCCCTTAGTCATCTATGCCAAAAGCGTATCCTGAATGCCTTCCCACATGCCTCTGTCACCTTTCCCACAGTCCCTCCATACACCTTACATGCCCATTTCTTCTCACGTTGATGTTTCAGAAGTCCTGAGAGGCTGATTGTCCCAGAAAAGGATCATGCATTCACCTTTAAAAGAACATGTGGATTCAACACGAAAGCGAACTTTAAGATTTCCATCATCCTGTGCTTAGCTACTGTGTATGATGATACCCAAAATGAAGGATTTTGGAGGTCCCAGCAAACTGGGCCCTGGAAACCCAGTAACCCCTTTCCTTGAACTATCTCTGCTTCCACAGGACGAAGTCAGCCTCCAACTAAGCTGTCTTTTGCTTTTACCTCTCCCACTCTGTCCTGTAGGAAGAATCCCAACACATCCCACACCCATTCACTCTACAACTTTAGAGGCCCAGCTCCAACGCAGACTGGTTATTTCCATGAAGAGAATAAAGCACGTGGATTGATCAATTCATTATGACACCCGAATAAAGTGGATAAACATACACACACACACACACACACACACACACACAAACACAAAGACACACACACACACACACAGACACAGAGTCACACATCCTTGAGAATGTTTATTTTTCATTCCATACAATCCACATTTACCCCCTCTTCCTGAATTTTTGTGACTCGATCTCTTTTTCCTTTAGTTCCTGTGCATAAGACCATGCTGAGTACTGCCGTCCTGCATATGGCTGTAACTTTTTAGGAGTTCTGCTGTATTAGGTAAAATCTGATGCTCCATCATATTCAACTCAACAACTGGAAGTCCCCTAGAGAAACACAAACTCATGTTAAAACGCATTTTCTCTGAGCCATACTTTGAAATGTTTCAATTGTGGGGCCCGCTGAGAAAAGGATATCCCTTCCCCATTTG
Source organism: Homo sapiens (assembly GCF_000001405.40). Classification (NCBI taxonomy): domain Eukaryota; kingdom Metazoa; phylum Chordata; class Mammalia; order Primates; family Hominidae; genus Homo; species Homo sapiens. Next base: position 450,691 of record NW_025791821.1, on the reverse strand, counting down.
TGATCCCTTAAACTTCCTCCTACCACGTGTTACAAACTGTTCTGCGCAATCCCTGCCCCATTCCCAGTATTGTCTGTGAGGGGAGTCAGCTAACAAGATGCACTGGGCCCTAAAAGCACACACAAGTCTGATGGGGCAACAGCTTAAGGAAATCCATCAATCTAAACAGTCCTTTGTGGTTTGGGGCAAGGATGACCAGGACGCACATTCAGGGAGCCCAATCTCATGGGGTTGGTGGGATGACTGCCGGTGGGGTTGACAGCCGTGGAATCAAGTGCCACAGACTGAACTGAATGATTTTCAGCTTTACTTCTCATTGATTCTGGAAATGGACGATTCTTCACTGGGCTTAAGACTCCACAGCTATCACCCGCTTTGCAGTGCAGTCTCTAACGTGCCTTTTCAGCCCAATGCCATGAACGTCCTGGATTCTGTCACTCTCTGTCTTCCTCTCAAGGAATTTCTACATGTACGAAAGGAGCCTCAATTTCTACATTTCTGAAATGAGCACCCAGGCTCCCTGAATAGGCAGGTGTGTCAACCCCCTTATACTGGGCATCAAACAGCTCCAGTGCCAACTAACGGCTCACCTGACGTCTCTGTTCCCTCTTCAGGTGGCTTCATCCTCTTGTAGTATTGCAGGGGATTGCGCCACAGGTCCTTACATAGGATCTGTCAGGGGACTCAATCGGGAAAGGCCTCATCAGGGCTCAGAAAGGTGACCCAAGCAGCTGGGAACACACGGGGTCATTCCTCATGTTTCCCAGTGAGGACTCACCTCAGCAATCTTGTTAGATCCTGCGAAGTTGTGGTCAGAGAACCAGTTGAAGAAGTTAAGGCTGCTGTTGTGGTGTCTGCGGCGATAGGCCTCCACTTCATAATCCGGATACCACTCAATTGGAGTGGAATGAGAAGCCCTGTATTCTACAGAGACAGGAGTTTTTGTGGGAAGGGGGCTGGATCCCGTTGGCAATGATCCACCCACCATCTTCCTTCCACTACCCATCCTGGGAGCCACCTGTCACCTGTGATGTTCACCAGATATTCCTTGGTAATCACTTTATTCTGGAAGTAGGGGTTACTCCGAAAGAACAACATGATCTTGCAGAGATGAACAGGATGCTTCTCTTCTTCCACCTGTCAGGACAAGGTGGAGAAAGCTTAGATAGGTTTTCGGGTGAGGTGCTCACTCTTGCTTACAGGAATGAATTATTTCCCTTACCCTCCCCCGCTAAACCCTCTAGCCCCAGTCTTCCTGGCCTCACCTCCAGGCTGACCATGTAGCTCAGCATGTCTTCATCTTCGTCAGTGATCAGGGCTGACATCTGGGGGTGGTTTGCAATCTGATTTAGGTCAAAGAGACTTTACACACGATGGAAGGGAAAGCGAGGAGCAACAGGGAAGAAGGCCTAAGAGCACCCAGAGGCTGGGGTAGGGGATTTCTCAGATCTGCTTCCATGTATGATCTCCTTTCGCCTCCCCGTCCCCGTAAACTAAGGCCTCCTGTGTTCACAGAGGGTGTATGATTCTGAGGCTGACTGCACTGACATGGGGAGGCGCGATTTGCAGAGACTTGCTGGTGTCTGAGGAGTGGCAGAATCTGCTTATAGCCGAAGACGCCCAGTCCCAGATCGGACTAGCAAGGGGCAGCAATCACACTCCCTTAAAAATAGCTTCATTCACTGAAAAACCTCTTCCGCTCTGAACTCGCTTCTGCTCTTCAAAAAGATGCCCCAAACGTCTGCGGCTCGGCATCACCAAGGGTTTCTCTGCCGCATGCAGGACAATAGTACCCACGCCTGCTCCGGCTTTCCACAGCCACATTGGTCCGTGGCAACTCCCCTTTGTTCCCCAAAGAGTCACATCGACGCCGAGCTGCCCATCGGTCACTTACACTTCCCCGAGAGCACCTCTCCACTAGAAAGGCCGAAGAAACACTGAGAAGGATACAACATTGGCCCAGAAGCCAGGGACGCTCTGGATGACGGCGCCTCTGCGGTCTAGGTGGGGCTTGCGCCTCCGCTCCATCTTTTCCCGCTGCCGAGAAAAGGCCTTCCTGGCTTGGGCATTAACCGGCTCCAGCTCCACCTGAACGGCCAGCAGCTCCTCCAGTGCAGACTCTGGGGTCATGGGCCCAGGGCCAGGCACAGCCTGCTGTGCCCGCTGGGCCTCCTCCCGCCGCTCCACGAGGCCCTCCTCCTCCGCCACCACCTCCACCTCCGCCATTATGTCATCCAACAGCAGCACCGCCTCCTCCCCCAAAGCCGCCTGCTCACTCTCCACCCCGGCCGCCCCCTCCTGCACAGCCTCCATCCTGAAGGCGGTGCCCTCCTTGGCACTCGCACACACCAAGGCCTGTGCTGCCCGACCCACGCCACAGAAACCCTGCCGCAGCCTCTCTGGCACCCGGTAGGTCAGCGAGCCCTCAGGGCGCATGCGCCGGGCTTCCAGGCGCCCCCTAAGGGACTGCGCGCGAAGGGCCGGGGGGCCGCACCCAGGCCGACTTCCTCCGGTCGTGGCCAATCAATGGGAGGGCGGTGGGCGTCTCCCTGGGCGGCACAGCCACTGGCGGGCCTGCATCTCCAGCCCCCCCAACCCCCGCCTTCCCTGCCCAAGCCTCCTCCGAGAAGCCCTTGGAGCTTGTGCCGGGTAGCTAGGCATCCGGGCACACGCGGGCTGCGTGGCCTTTGGAATTGTGGGCATGGCAGCCCTGTGCCCTGACATCCTCAGTGTGGCAAGCCATGAACATCTCTATGTGTCATGAACACAGGAAACATCTCTCTTCGTTAGGCAGGCCAGGTAGATGGTACGGAGGTAATACAGCAGATGCAGAGAACTCTCTCTGGTTGCTGGGGCTAGGGCGGCAGGGGTGTCCTGGGGGAAGTGATCGGGGCGGGCACGTGGGAGGAAAGTCGCCTGCCGGTGCTGAGGTGGAATTGATCTGCTGTAGAGGCCAGAGCCCCGGCACACACTCTCACAGGTCGAGGCAAATAGAGGCTCCGAGTACCATGCTTCCTCCCTGAGGATGCTGTACTCCAAGGAGCATTCCAAAGGGCCTCTTGTCCTATGCCCTGGGCACACCAGAGGCCAGCCGCCAGGGTTGGCCATTGTCGGCCTGCGCGCACGCTGTTGTGCGCTGCCTTGACGACCCAGAGGCTCCCGCACCCGCAGCAGCGGTTGCGGTGCCTGTTGGTGGGGCTCTGCAAGCCCAGGGCCGGGGCCTCTGGCTCCCGAGCTCCTGTGCGCAGTTGAGCCTGCTGGGGACCGGAGCCCTTTGGCCAGTGCGGGATCTGCGGGTCCAGCGGAGCTCCTCAGGAAACCTGGGTCCACGTAGGTGTGGGACCAGGTTCACAGCAGGGCGACGCCCGTGGGTCTTGCAGGGAGCGGGTCTGCTGGGGAGCGGGCCCCCAGAGCCTACGGGTGCGGGGCATGGGCTGGGCTGGGCTGGGCTGCGCAGGCCCAGGGTCTGTGGGAGCACCCAGGAGAAAACCGTGTTCAGGCTGGAGGCAATGCTGGAGAGGACGGCCGGGGTACAGAGCAAGGAGGCGGCCTTGGAAGAGGAGGCGGTGCTGAAGGTGGAAGACATCATGGCTGAGGTGGAGGTGGTGGTTGAGGTGGAGCCCGACGTGGGGTGGCAGAAGGAGGGCCAGCGGGCACAGCCTGGCCCTGGACCGAGCACACCGGGGCCGTCAATGGACTCGCTGGAGGTCCTTCACTTGGAGCTGGGCTCCGTGAATGCCCCAGGCCACAGAGCATCTCCGCCTTGTGAGCCAGAGCCATATCCTTGCGGCTGCCGATTTGGGATGGCGGGCAGCAGGGGATAGTCATCGGGCCTCGGGGGGTATGGGGGCTGTTTGCGGGGAGGAGCCAGGTGGGAGGCACGTGGGGTCAGCCAGGAGGCAGGGGATGGGGGACAGCGTGGGAGCCGAGGCCACGTTCCCGCAGCTGTGAGGGCAGCTCGCTTGTAGCAGCCCTGGGAGCACGTGGTAGGGAAGGGGAGCCAGGGCCAGCACTGACAAGGGAGAATCGCGGCGCCAAGGTCCCTTTGCGCACAGCCCAAATTCGAAGGACGCGTTTCCCTGGGAACGTCCCTGGAGGACGGGGAATCTGTATGCCATTACCAGCCATTGAACCACCCCTGCTCTCGGTGCCTGTTTCCAGCAGGCTCACCCCAGAAACACAAGGTGCTTAAGACGGGTTCGCGGCGCATGGGGCTGCCGACCACCTGACGGCGGGCACCAGCTCCGCAGATGCGCATTCATCCAACTGCAGGCGCTGCACTCAAAGGCGTGTAGGCCCTGAGCCTGTATAACTTCCTCTGGACCCACGCAATTCCCTTGGAGAGCGCCAGGCACGACCCTGCTGTGGCTTCTAACTACAAGGCTTCCCTCAGGTGGACAGGCCCACCCCTCAGGGAGACTAGGATAAGAGGACACCACACACCCGGACATCAGCGGAGCATGTCCAGCACCCAGCACACAAAGGCCTCCTGCATCTCAGAAACTCAGAGAAGCAGCCGCCTCACACCACCCCCGGTCCCTCCCGTCCCTCAGCTGCAACCACCTGCCCACTTTTTCTGCCTCCCGTCTCTGGTCAGCCCAGGCCGTCTTGGCCGGGGTCCACCCACTCCAAAAACCACCACAGTTGTGGCGTTGCCTCCTCGCCAGACAGAGATAGAGGGCCAACAATGAAGGGTGACTGGCCAAATGTCTGGGAGATGGCCCTGTTCCACATTGTCTGTGTTCTTGCGAAATTGCAAGGCGTCACGAGGCTTGCCCACCCAATCCTCTGGAGAGTTCTTGCGCAGAGGTAGATTGTTTGGCACACGAGATGTCGGCGTGGGTCGGAAAGCATGCGGAAGTCCTGCTTTGCTACGTGATGGATTTGCAGGTCAGGCTGGGGAGCCTGGGTCTGTGGGAGGAGTCCAGTGTCTGAGTCAGTTTGAGGTCCCCCTGGGGACCAGGGTTGTCTCAGTGGGAGAGCTGGGAAGGGGAAACTCATGGTTCACTACAGCTAGTAGGCCACCTCAGCCCGGCTAGTTGAGATGGTCCCATTGAATCCATCCTCTTTCTCCTTGATCCGGCAGGTGGAGGAACTCAGCCATCCCGGTTACCGGTGGCAGGATGATTTCCTTTCATCCCAACCTTTATTTCCACAGTGAAATCATCATGAAGGAGCACTGTGTTGGCATCCTCGGTAAGGAATGCCTCCCAGCATGGTAGGGGAGCTGGTGTGTGGGAGGGTGGGACTGGCATGAACCTTCCTGACTCCTCTCCCTGCAGGCTACAGGGTGTCTCATTCCACTGCAGTCCAGCGGTTCTGGGATCACGAAGGTCAAGCCTCCAGCTGCAGGCAGTACACCTCCTACCTGAGCTCATTCAGCTGTTTGGCTGAACATGACTGCCCGGGTTTTGGCAGGATTGCTGAGGTGGGGTTCGCCGTGGGGCATCATGGGAAAGGACCTAGCTGGTCATTCCTTGGTCTCTGGGGAATTGGCTTTGAACTGTCACCTGAACTGTCCTGGACCCACTTCTGCAGTCCCCTAGATCATCAGCCAGGGCCTATGGCTCAATCCATTGCAGTTCTATCCCATGGAGAGAGGGTCAGCCCTAGAGGCGGAACAGAGAGGAGGCCAGGCGAGCAGCCTAGGGCTGGGAAGGGCTGGGAACTGAGAGGCCTTTTGACCTGGATCTGGGCCCCACATGGAGAACCCAAGGATCCGGGAGGAGACTGCAGTGAGCAATCCCAGGCAATCCGTGGGTTGGGGGAGAGAGGCCCATCAGGGACATGTAACACCCACATTTCAGGATCGGGGCACCTTAAGCCACTATGATGCATATGTGGCTAAAGTCAGTGGGTGACAAGCAGGGCTTAAGGGATAGCTGTCTCATCATTACTCGCCAGCTCCCTGCCCTGCGGTAAGACCTGCTACCACCTGGGGCTCATTTTGAGATCAACCAGGGCCCCCTTTTTCTCCACGAGGATGTCCACCTGAGGCCCACCTAGGTGTATGTCCTTTCACAGTGTTTCTCCCAGGCCAGTCATGTTTTGTTTCCATGACCCCGGCTGCCTTGACATGTGTAATCCTCTCTGCCATCCTCACTCCCGCTGCCCTGCCTTCCCATATAAGTTAGTCCACCTCACACGGAATCTGGAGGACCACACTGGGCTCCAGTGTGAGGCAATGTTTTATTTTCTTCAGGTACATGTATTTTAGGGCTACCTCCAGGGCTGGGAATGTGAAGAGATTGCCAAATGGCTGGGGACCTTCAGTGTGTGTCCAGGGAGGGAACCCGGCTGGGAATTAAGGCCCACCTGAGTAATGGTATGGACATCCAGTGTCAGTTATCTTGATAAAGGCCTGCTTTCTTACATCACCTACTATTAATATAAAAGTTAATTCCTTAGAATATTGAAAAAACAAATCTATGTGTGAAGAAATATAATTTGTTCATAATTGTATGGAAAAAGCTGCCGACCGATCCATTTTCCATTACAATTCTTATGGGAGACTTGAAGGGTTTAGCAAGTTTTAAGATGCATTTCTATTCGTCTACTCCTGCCAGTTTTTATGATCATTTTTGTAATACAAGGACATGGCCTCTGGAAAGTTTTTGAGGGACTTTCAGCTTCTTTTAGGGTAGATACTTGTAAATTTTGAATTGTTTTCCCCTGCAGTTCTTTTGAGGTTACTCTTTGTACTTTCTTTGGGGGGTGTTAAATTTGTTTTCTTCTTTTGCCCTTGTGGAACTTTCGTTTTCAAGGAATTGTGTGTGTTTGTGTGTGTGTGTGTGTGTGTGTGTCTGTGTGTTAGATATGGGAGATAGCCTGTGAGCATGTTTTCGAATATGGATTTTTTTTTTACTTATCAATTTTGGGGGTGTGTGTGTGTGTGTGTGTGTGTGTGTGTGTTTGTTTCTTTTCAGTTGGAGTCTCACTGTGTCATCCAGGCTGCAGTCAAGTGGCAAACTCTCAGATCACTGCAACCTCTCCCTCCAGCTTCAAAGGATTCCTCTGCCTGCTGATGCTGCTTTTCCCCCACATGAGGAGAACATGCAGACAGTTATAAAAAATTCTGTGCCTGGGTAGGTATGAAAATATAATTTCAATGAATGGTAAATTTCACAAATACAGTTTCACATTTGTATTTTGCAACATTTTGAAAATTTTAGTTGCTGACACATGAAATTCTGTGTTGACTTTCATGTTAAATGTACACTTTTGAATCAATTTCAACAGTGACAACTAGCGAAGGCCAAGCGTTAGTTCAGGAAGCTGAAAGCAGTCGTTCTGTAAAAAAAACGATATTTATTGAAGGTATATTTAGAGAGATTTTAGAAGGCTTCAGTCAATATTTTTGTTTCTGTTGCTCTGGTGTTTTATCATACAGGGACCAGACTGTAGCATCAGTAGCTATAGTTACAAGGCTACCAAAGACTCAGTGCTATAGAAATTATTATTGTGGAAATTGGCAGCCTGGCTGTCTGTTTGAGGAGACTAGAGGACTTAGGAGTTTCCACCCAAAGTACAAGGGCCTGGTTTAGTGGGTGGCCTTCTTTTGCTGAAGTAGATAAGATCCAGGAGAAGGGTGGATTCACTGTAGTAGCCAGGGCTTTGAGACTGGTAAAGCTTATTTGTCTCCTAGTGCCATTGCCAGATATTGGTCTGTGCATAAAGGCACTTCCCGGACTCGCTGACTCCTGTAAATTCAAATGTAGAATTTAGATTTAAATCCCTATTCCAACTTCTTAAACTTAGATCTAATAGGTGGGTAATAAAATATGTATTCAGAAGAAAGGGAGACGTCAGGTAGGTATATAAGCAAATCATCCTGGTCAAATACCTTCAAAAATATTACTACAAAAAATTACTGAAGATTAAACCTTAAAAAAGTTATTTTAATTGGAGAAACAGAAAAAGGTTGGAGTCATTTTAAACCCTGAGGTGTAAAGGTACTGTTATTAGATTACAGGAATTATATACAATGAATAATTTGTGGGAAGAGCAGCATACTATCTCTTTAGTATGGCTAGAGATTCATAAGCCGTGTAAGAAAACTCAGAGATTGAGAAGAAAATGTTTTCAGGGATTTTGTTCTGTTATGAAAGACTTTTAAAATGGTTTCCTACTGATCAAGGATTCACTTATATTTATCACTGAGGCATATGCTATATACCCTTCTATATAGGGATGAAGTTATAGTTTCTATCATGTAGATACAAAAACATGTGACTCTGTACCACATTTGCATTAGAGCCTTTGGCATGATTAATGAAGCAAACGGTGGAACTGTCTACGTCAGGTTACAGGTGGGCACAGCTGGAAGCTTCCGTCCCTTGCACTTTAACATTTCTGCATTCTCATCTGTCTCTCCTGGAAAGAAAACGGACTATAACTATCCTAAAGGACATATGTTACATGAAGACACTAAGTATTGAGATAAGACCATGAGTTGTCTTATCAGTGTCTTGGCATTACATTTATATGTATAACTTATACAAAAAATCCAGTTTATTTTATCACGATTACATATTACATCCCACATTTATGTATTTTATTATCTTTCCAGTGACTGTTTTGTTTTGTTTTGTTTTGTTTTGTTTTGTTTTGAAATCTCGTTCCACTCTGTCACTCAGTCTGGAATGCAGTGGCCTGATCTCAGCTCACTGCAACCTCCATCTCTTGGGTTCAAGGATTTTAAAAATTAGTAAAGAATTTTCAATTGAGTTAGCAGAAGTAAAAATAAACTTAAGTGGAAATAGAACAACAAAATTGTAAACACTATTTCTCAGCAATTCATAGATTATCATACTAGGAATTGAAATGTACTTAGAACTCAATGATACCGCCAATATTAAAGATTAAATCTGTGAGTAGCAAGAAAAGTGATATTACAATAGGAGTTTACAGACAAATATTTCTCTAATAACTTGAAAATTAATGTACTAGATATTTCAATAAAGAATTAGAAAAGAAACAACAGAATCAATTCTGAAAAACTAAAGTGTGGGAATAATGATGTAGACAAAATTAGTAAAACATACAAAGCTAACCTTTGCTTGTTGGAGAAATATAATAAATGATGCAACCGTCAGTCAAGTTTAGAAAAAAAGGGAGAAAACATAGATAAAACTAAGAATTTAAAAGGTACACAACCATAGATACAGCATAGATTAAGAAGCTAATAAGGAAATATCATTAACACCTTAACCTACAAATTTGAAAACTTAGATCAAATAGACAGATATTTATAATCTGTCTATATATATAGACATATATATCGCTTTCTATATATATTTTCATATTTATACATAATTTTTATATTTGTATCTTACATTTATATATATAATATATAAACATAAGCTATGTATATAGCTTAGTAAAATTGATACAAGAAGACATATATAATCTGTATAGTCTCATAAATGTTCAAGGAAATAAAGGATTCTTCCTAGAGATAAAACGCTAGGCTCAGATTTTTTTCCCCAGGCAGAGCATTTCAATATATATGAAGAATTCTATAGAATAAAAAAGGGAAAATCCTAAACTCATTGTGTGAAGCAAGCAGAACTTTGACGCCAACAAGCCATAAACTGAGTGTAGAAAAAGATATGAAAATTAAGGCCATTCTCATTCCTGAAGCAAATCGTAAAATCCCAAATGTAACAAGATTTATGTGGATTCTTTGAGGGTTAGAAGGAAATTTCCTTCTGCCAGATCCTGCTACTCTGGGACAACCCACACACAAATTTATGTTTTGAGATTTTCTGTAATACCCATGCAATATGGAACTGGCTTGACAATCTGTGTGATAGCCAGCCTGTGGCCATGACTTCTCAGGGACACAAATCTTTTCTGTTTGCCTCCTTGTTCTGCTCAGCTCCAAGAGAACTTTGACCAAAGTTCCTTGAGCTTGGAAATAGGAATGGGTTTGCTTCTGTTTCACCCTTACTGTGAAGATACAGTCCGGTGGAATCCAGATCCACTGGGAGAGAGTCGGCTATTAAACTCTTTTCATGAGTAGTCCCTAGGCCTTGACTGGAGTCTTTCTTGAGATATGAGGCTAATAGTTCCTTCTTGGTCCACCACTTTTTGATATAATTAATGCTTCTTCTATTGGGAATTTTTAATTGTTTGGGAAGTGACATGGTTTGGTGTGTCTCCATTCAAATCTCAGCTTCAATTGTATCTCCCAGAATTCCCTCGTGTTGCGGGTGGGACCCAGGGGGAGGTAATTGAATCATGGGGGTCGGTCTTTCTCATGCTATTCTTGTGACAGTGAAGAAGTCTCACGGGATCTGATGGGTTTTTCAGGGGTTTCTGCCTCAGGTTCTTCCTCATTCTCTCTTGGCATTGCCATGTAAGAAGTGCCTTTATTCGTATACCATGATTCTGAGGCCTCCACAGCCATGTGGAACTGTCAGTCCAATTAAACCTCCTTTTATTCCCAGTTTCAGGTATCTCTTCTTCAGCAGCGTGAAAATGAACTAAGACAGGAGGTTTGGTCCAAATAACCTTGGCTTCCATGATAGAAGATAGAAGTTGCTGAAATGTTTAATCTTTTCTGTGGCAACCTTTTGCAGTGGGTCTTATTTTTCTCATTTTTTTTTCTTGTTCTCTTCACCTTTGTTTCTCACAGGGTACTCTCGCTCTGTAGACCAGGCTGGAGCGCAGTGGCAGGATCTCAGCTCAACACATCCTCCGCCTCCCAGGTTCAGCCTCTGCAGTAGCTGGGATTACAAGCATGCATCACCACGCTCAGCTAATGTTTTGTATTTTTAGTAGAAGCCAGGCTTCACCATGTTGGCCAGGCTGCTCTCCTACTACAGATCTCAGGTGACCCGCCCGACTCAGCTTCCCAAAATCCAAAGTGCTGGGAATACAGGTGTGAGCCACCGAGCCCAGCCAACTCCAGTATTTTTTACCTAAGCCAGTGGACGAGTGGAGTTGCCTTTATTTTTTTTTTCATGGTCTCGCTGTGTCATCCAGGCTGGAGTGCAGTAGTCTGATCTTGGCTTACTATACAATCTCTGCCACCCATGTTCAGGTGGTTCTCCTACCTCAGCCTCCCAAGTAGCTGGGACCACAGGAAAGTGCCACTAGGTCTGGCTAATTTTTGTATTTTTGGTAGAGACAGCTTTTTGCCATGTTGCCCATGCTGGTCTCCAACTCCTGACCTCAAGTGACCCACCAACCTCGGCCTCCCAAAATGTAGAAATTACAACAAGAGCCACGAAGCCTGGCCTGGAGTTGTGGCTTTTTGACATAAGAAATCTGTGGAGGGAAAAGCTTGGTTTGTGGGAGCACCCGAGCTCAGTTTGGCTCAAAGGTTTGGGATACCTATTATTGAGTGGCAGTGATGGTATGTTGTTAATGTACAATATCTTCCTGTATATAGCATACGTCTATGCTCATCAGATATTTTCAGGTAAAAAAAGATAGTCTTTCCAGTAGTTTGAGCCATTATAGCAATTTCCACCAGGGGATTTCAAAGTCCAATTCCAGTTGTGGGCAACAGTGATTAACATAATGGTAATTAATGAGAAGAGATTTTGAGACGTCCAGCCACGTTTCCATGTCAGTGCCTTGTTTGCAGTATTATGAAGAAAGAGTGCATTGGACTAGATACTAAGAAAAACATTGAATTATTTTTCTTGCCTCTATAACATCAAAGGACAATTAGAGATATAGAAACTATGGAACATTTCACAGCATGGCTTGACATTTCACTGAACTTTTATCCTTTTAACCATGTACAAAGTTTGTTACCTATGCAAAGGTAGGACTGCAAAAGGAAGACAGAGGTGGAGTCAGAGGTCACAATCCACAGCAAGGTGACACTCTTGTTGATCGCACCTTGAAAGCCAAATTAGAGCGAGAATTAACTTTCCGGTTGCCGTAAGAGAACAAGGAGAATGAAGCTACCAGCAGTTAACAGTATTGGATTAATTGAAATGAAGGTGGACAGAGTTTTTTGGCTTTCCATCAAATTGAGTAAAGAAAAGGTAACCGCTTATCTAATTTCACACACATACAATTATGGATTAATTAAAAGATTACACAACCCATATATTATGGGTTTCTCATTTAAGTGTATATATACATGGGCAAACTCACAGTGTGCCAGTATGTGTCTATATCCAAATATATACAAATCCATGTCCAACAGTTAGCAAGTGAGAAATTCTCTTCCATTTCACCATTCCCTTTCCTAGAATTTTTTCATAAATATAATTTTTCCATATATTTGAAGCCTACTCTCTGGAGGCATGTAATGCATGCATGCAGTAAACCTGTGCGATATCACAATGTTGGTGTCAGAGAAAACTATAACACCGATGTTATAAAAGATTAATTGTGAGGAGAAAGTTATGCTTCGCATTACTACAAATACACAAGTATGATTTCATCCAAAGCTGAAATCAGTCAATATAATTTGTTTTTAATGTTTTATTTAAAATCCTTAATTTCAACAGGATTACTCAAGAAAAATAACGTTATTGGTATTAAATAATGTTGATGTATTCCCTTTAATTGTTGATTATTTAAAATGTCAGTAAAATAGTAAATGGCACTGTACAATGTAGTTTCATGAAGCATTCTTTATAGTTTTCATAAAATTGATAGTCTCCATGGAATATTTTAAGACTGAGGAAGTTCCATATATCATTTGATTGTACTTTCACTTTATTACTTGCTTGCATGTCATAACTGATGGAAATAAAACTATGTATATTTACAAATATGAAAAACATGGACTTTTGTTTACGTTTTCTAGTGAGACACAGTTACCAATAATTTTATCTATATAGGAAAATTTTTACAAACCCAAAGTTCTAATGTTTCTTTTCTTTGAAGTTTCGTATTTCAGTCTAGGTATGTAATGGAATTGGCTGTGATCATTCTTTGATTTCACTGTTATTTGTGAGTTTCTGATATGCTTTTAGGAATGTATAGAGCTTAACGCTTGCTTTCTTCTTCTTCCTCTACCTTTGGACCTGTATATGCGATGTCTGCAGTAATGTGCAGTGCTATCTGACATACGGTTGCTGAAAGATACAAGCATATATAGAATTCTTCATTTCAGTGAATCTTTAGGAACAGACAAGTAACCTGAGAGATAATTACGGTATGAATGTAAGCAAGCAGTTTATCATAGAGGTACAATAAGGGTGAAAATAAATTTAAAAATACATGCCTCATCCAAAACATGAGGTAGTAAAAATGAAAAATTTAAGTTGGCATAAAGAACACTTTAAAAGTTCTGATTCTTTCTGGTGAGAGCAAGGAGCTCAGAAACCATGAGAAAGTCCTTCAAAGCTGCATGTTGGATTTGCAGGTCAGGATGGAAAGCCTGGGTCTGGGGGAGGGTGCTAAGGTCCTGGTCAGGTTGAGGTCCTTCTGGGGCTCAGGTGTGTCTCAGCGGGAAAGCTGGGAAGGGGAAACGCATGCTTCACCCCGGCTAGAATGCCACCTCAGCCCACCTAGATGAAATTGCCCCTTCACAGCCCTGTTTCTCCTTCTTGGACAGGCAGGTGGAGGAACTCGGCCACCCTGAATACAAGGGGTAGGAAGAAGTTTGCCTTTCATCACAACATTTACTTCGGAAACAAAGTGATGACTAAGGAGTATTGCGTTGGCATCCTCCCTGAGGAGTAGAGGGGGTAGTACCTCGGGAGCTGGGCCTGGCGTGCGCCTTCCTGACTCGTCTCCCTCCAGGATACAGGGCGACTGGCTCCACTGCAGTCCAGTGGTTCTAGGGTCATGCAGGTGAAAGCCCGAGTTTCCCGCAGGTCACTGCCTGAGCTTCTTCAGCTGGTTATCTGACTGTGAGGGCCCAGGTTACGGCACGATTGCTGAGGTGGGGCAGCTATGGGGCATCATGGCAAAGGACCTTCTTCGACATTCCTTGGCATCGGAGGAATTGGCTTTGAACCAGAACCTGACCTGTCACGACCAATTTGCCCAGTCCACCAGATCATCAGCCAGGGCCTGTGGCTCTATATTCTGCAGCACTACCCAAGGGAGTTAGGCCCTCAGAGAGGGAACAGAGAAGAGGCCAGGGAAGCAGCCCAGGGCTGGGGGTTGACAGGCCTGTGGGTCCTGGAGTTAGGACACACATAGAGAAGCCAAGGCTCAGGGAGGAGACTGCAGTAAGGAAACTCAGGCCATCATGGGCTGGTGGAGAAATGCCCATCAGGGAACTGTGGTACCCACATTTCACGATGGGGGAACCGTAATCTGCTTAATAGGCACAAGTAGCTAAGGTCAATGGGTGGGAAGCCAGGGTCAAGAGATAGCTCCCTCATCATCCCTTGCTAGCTACTTCCCTGTCCTGAGGCTTGCTTCTACCTGGGGTTCAGTTTGGGCTCAACCAGGGATCTCTCACCCTCCACACAGATGCCCACCTGAGGCCTCTCTAGGTCTGCGTCCTCCCAGAATGACTCTCCCAGGCCTGCTAAGTACCGTTTGGATGACACCACGCTCCACTGACATGCTTGGTTCCCTCCGCCATCCTCATTCACCCAGCAACTCCCCACCCCAAAAAAGGCAGGCCACCGCACAGGGAATCTGGAGGACCACACAGGGCTCACAGGGGAGGAAATGTGAAGAGATGGCAAAACAGAACAGGACATTCCGTGTGTTTCCAGAAGGCAATCTGGCTGGATATTAAGGCCCACCTCAGTATTGGTGAGGACACCCAGTGTCTCTTGGCCCTGAGCTTGTGCACACAAACACGCACATTGTCTAAACGGCATTGACATCACTACTACCTGAGTCATCCTCAGATTCTATACAACCCCTGTAAAAATATCAATGACACATTCTTCTTAGAAAAACAATCTGGGAATCCCAAATTTGCTATGAAATGGCAGAAGATCCTGAAAACCCAGAGCAATCCAGTAAAAAGCACAAAGCTGGAGCCACCCCACTACCTAACTTCATGATATACTACTACAAAACTTTTTGTACCAAAATACAATAGCACTGGCAGAAAAGCAGAGACTAGAGCTTAGGAAAAACAACAGGAGCCCAGAACTAAGTCACTGCATTTGCAGCTCACAGCCTTTTCCCAAAGAAGCAAGAACGCCCAATGCAAAATCAAGTATCTTCTATAAACTAGGTTGGGGAAATCTGAATAGCCACACAAAGGATTTTACAAGTGGATTATTTATCACCAAACTCCAGTGTCAGATGTGAAACGATAAAAATAGCAGAAGAGATCACAAGGAAGAAGCTCCATGGCGTCCGTGTGTGCAATGATGGTCTCAAAGTGACTGCAAGAACACAGTAAACACCATCAAAAATAGAGAATGGAATCATATCAAACTAAAGTGCTTCACCACACCATAGAAAACTCAACATACAGAAGGGGCATCCTACAGGATGGGAGCAATGATTGGATCACCATACATCTGTTCATGGGGGAATAGTCACAGTACATAAGGAACTCCCAACAACTCAATAGCATGAAAACAAATGGGCGAAGGCTGCGAAGACTCATTTGTGAAACTGAGACATACAGTTGCCCAGAAGACACACTAAAAATTCCTCATTATCCCCAATCCATCACGAAAATGCAAATCAAAAACACAATGAGATTTCTTCTCACTTCAGTCAGAATGCATATTATCCGAAAGACAAACAAACAAAAAAAAAAAAAGAAAGAAAAGAAAACCCTAATCTCTGGTGAGGAGGCAGAGAAAACGAATTCCCTGCTCACTTTTGGGGAGAATGTAAATTAGTGCTGGCATTAAAGAAGCTTTATGGCTCTTATTTAAGTATAAACAGCCTTCAGAAATCTACAAGTAGAACCACCCACTATATGATCCAGCAAATCAGAATACCCGGGCACGCCCGCCAGTACACAGATCAGTATGTTGAAGCGGTGCGCGCACCCATGCAATTATTGCTGCACTCATTACATTTTTGCTGTAGCCAAAATGCGGAAGCAACCTGAGAGTCCCTCCATTGATAAGTGGATTAAAAAATGGGGCAAAAACGCATATGCGCAACGTAAATATGCGCTGCAATAAGAAATCAGGAAATCCTGCCAGTTGTGAGAATGTGTGGGAATCTGCTGAATGTGTGCATGCCATTCTGTTAAGTGACATAAGCCAGGTATCAGAAAGGAAAGTAGCACATGATCTCATTCTTATATGAAATCAAAAAAGCGGACTTCACAGAAGTAGTGACTCCAATGACTGCGGTGAAGAGGGTGCACTGACGAGATGCTGGATGAAGAACTCATACTTCTAGTTATAAAGGAGGAATAGGTTAAAAATATTTTCTTCAGCATGCTCACTATAACTAGTGGTAACATATTCTTTCTCTAAAAATATTCGAATACAGTGCAGGTCAAGTTTTTTCACAACAAAAATGACAACTATGTGAGGTCACACATATGTTGATTGGCTGGATGTATCCAATGCATAATGTATATGACCTGTTGAACATCACGCCTTAAGTTGTAAATATGTATCATTTCATATGACATTTTTTAAACAAACATACAATTTTTAAAATGCCTTAACAAAATAAATGCAAATAAAATATTTTATTATAAAGCAGTGCTTTTCTTTTCTAGCAAAGTCTTTTTCATGACACAGGAAAGAATGCAAGCCGTTTCGTAACTTGAGAAATAAATACATATGTGTACATGTATATATATACGTATATACATGTATATACGTATATAAATGTGCATATATACGTATATACATGTATATACGTATATATGTGTGTACATAGGTATTCTTATATAGGTGTATATATATATGAAAATCCCAATGAATGCTGATGATGAGTTGAAAGATAGAAATTCCAGGCACAGAGGCTATAGTCCATGAATTGAAACCTTCAGTGCATGTTTCAAAACAAGACGTGAGGAGGAGGAAGAAAAAAGCAAAAAACACAAAGCCATGGCAGGGCCATGGGTCACACCTGTCATCCCAGCACTTTGATAAGCTGAGGTGGGAGGATTGCCTGCACTCAGGAGTTCCAGATGAGCCTGGGGCAACATGGACCCACATTCAAAAAGTAAGTATTTAGTTAATTAATACATAGCTTGGAGGGGTGGCATGCACCTGTACTGCCAGGTGTGTGAGAGTCTGAGTTGACAGGATCACATGGGTGTGTGGTGCCTGGGCTGCAGTGGGCTGAGATCGTGGGGCTGCTGTCCAACCTAGAAGACAGAGTAAGACCCATTCTCGGAAAACAAACAAAAAAACAGTCACATTAGGTAAATTAAAACTATGTAGTGTGAGGAGAATCAAAATAAACGAAACATCATTAGAGCCTACGCGATGTGATGAAGGAAACCAGCTTTCACATAATAACAGCCCCGGCTGGGGAGAACAATGAGAAAGGGCAGAGAGAACCCTGTAAATAATACCACGCCAAATTCCCCAAATGAGTTAAAACACATAAAAGTACGAAGAGTGCTTCTTTTCAATTCAATGCCCTTGAATTCAGAATTAGAAAGTAAACCCAGATAGAGAATAGAAACATAGACGATACAGATGGAGAGAGTGTGGTGGGGAAGCAAGGGAAGGATGAAAGGAGGGGTGTAAAGGAAGGAAAAGAAAAAAGGAAGGGAGAGAGAGTGACAGATGTTCAAAGACACAGATACAAAGTCTACAATGGTTGTAGAGATAGGCATGTGCAAATTGCCGCAGGGAGTGTGGAAAAATATCGGAACCACGGAGACATAGGTGGAGTCAGAGAAAATATACAAACCCGCACAGAGAAATAAACATACGCAACCACAAACACACACGTGCTACTTTAAACACGAAAAGACACCAAGTCCCTGTCGGTACAAATCACAGATGTGCTTCCGAGTTACTGAGGCACGGTGCAAATTTGTCAGTGCCCTTAGCATCTGTGGCCCACGTGCACGGATATTCAGTGGAAGAAGCATTACACAGCCTGTATAATTCAGCACGATCTGTGATAATACCAGAAGAAGGGATCTCATGTGAAATCACTAGACTGAATTGCACGTAGGATTCAAGCAAGAAGCCCAGTCTGCTGCATCGACTCCGTGGGGTGGCAATATGGCTGAGCCACCAACCCATGGCACGCCCATCCATCGTAGACAGTTCCTGGTTTGCTACCTGCCTTGGAAAAACCTCCTCCCCTACCACCACTTTAAAAAAGGCTAGCTCCAAAACTAGCCCTGGCATCTATTTACGGTCATTTTCTTATCTATTTACCTCCTAGAAAAATCATCGCAAGACCCTTTCCTCAACATTTTCCTATGCCTTAAATTTGGGGCAACATGTTTTAAGACGACCTCGTTATAGGCAAGTCCCCAGACGTTTCCTAATCTGAGTTGCCCAGAGTGCACACACCAATCTGTTGCCCCATTGCCGCTATAGGGATACCGTACTGGACCACAGTGTCTTTCACATGCACACAGTAGGAGAGAGGGCAGCTTGAGGGGGCCAAAGTGTTCCGACTGTTTTCAGAATAATTTGCTTAGAACACCTGTTTCTCCTGTGTTTGTGGGTCAGGGGGACGGTAGTCAGAGGAGGACAAGACTCCCGCTCCAGAGCTTCAGAGGTCTGCATAGGAGCAGGGACAAAACCGGGCGATAGATTTTCAAAGCTCAACTGCTTTGACACCGAGCAGGAGGGGTAGAATGCATATTGCAGGCACCACAACAGATTCAGGAACTTTGACTGTCAAACCCTCTTCCCTGAAACAACATAGATCTTCTCACAGAAGCTGTGCTGACTGGAGTCTATACGGGACAGCAATGTTAGCACTCTAGTAGCGTGTGGTCAACATGGATGCTCGTGTTGGAACTGTTTCATCTGGGAACAGGAAAGAAAGTTCTGCCTCCGACACTGAAATCCTCCTGCCCCATCCTTGACAGAGGCAACCCCTTGTCTTGTGCAGACACACGTGTTCCTGGGAAGCAGCCTCCCACTCACAAATGAAAGCTGTATGTTTTGTCCTCCTGTGTGAGGCTTGCAAAACATATTCCGCAACTATATTCGCTTTACGTTCTAAACCTTAGGCAAACTATGCTGAAGAGGCCACAGAAAATTTAGGGGCCCTGGGTCCAGATACAATCTGCAGTGCCAATCACGAGGGAGAATAGAGCCTCACTAGACTTTGCAAGAGCACAAAATGCACTCGTACTGTTGTTAGCTACATACGTTATTGGCTCCTCACCTAACACAGAATCTTGGAGAAAAGCTTAAAACAACTAAAGATGTAAACATCAACAAGAGTGTCCATATCCTGGGTCATCAAGTGACAAGAGAGTCCATGGATGGATTCTCCAACAATCTTATATTCCACTAATCCACCCCCTTTCCCCTCACTTCTGTAAGTTTCTGTTTTCCCTTAGTCATCTCTGCCAAAAGCGTATCCTGAATGCCTTCCCACATGCCTCTATCACCTTTCCCACAGTCCCTCCATACACCTTACATGCCCATTTCTTCTCACGTTGATGTTTCAGAAGTCCTGAGAGGCTGATTGTCCCAGAAAAGGATCATGCATTCACCTTTAAAAGAACATGTGGATTCAACACGAAAGCGAACTTTAAGATTTCCATCATCCTGTGCTTAGCTACTGTGTATGATGATACCCAAAATGAAGGATTTTGGAGGTCCCAGCAAACTGGGCCCTGGAAACCCAGTAACCCCTTTCCTTGAACTATCTCTGCTTCCATAGGACGAAGTCAGCCTCCAACTAAGCTGTCTTTTGCTTTTACCTCTCCCACTCTGTCCTGTAGGAAGAATCCCAACACATCCCACACCCATTCACTCTACAACTTTAGAGGCCCAGCTCCAACGCAGACTGGTTATTTCCATGAAGAGAATAAAGCACGTGGATTGATCAATTCATTATGACACCCGAATAAAGTGGATAAACATACACACACACACACACACACACACACACACAAACACAAAGACACACACACACACACAGACACAGAGTCACACATCCTTGAGAATGTTTATTTTTCATTCCATACAATCCACATTTACCCCCTCTTCCTGAATTTTTGTGACTCGATCTCTTTTTCCTTTAGTTCCTGTGCATAAGACCATGCTGAGTACTGCCGTCCTGCATATGGCTGTAACTTTTTAGGAGTTCTGCTGTATTAGGTAAAATCTGATGCTCCATCATATTCAACTCAACAACTGGGAGTCCCCTAGAGAAACACAAACTCATGTTAAAACGCATTTTCTCTGAGCCATACTTTGAAATGTTTCAATTGTGGGGCCCGCTGAGAAAAGGATATCCCTTCCCCATTTGTGATCCCTTAAACTTCCTCCTACCACGTGTTACAAACTGTTCTGCGCAATCCCTGCCCCATTCCCAGTATTGTCTGTGAGGGGAGTCAGCTAACAAGATGCACTGGGCCCTAAAAGCACACACAAGTCTGATGGGGCAACAGCTTAAGGAAATCCATCAATCTAAACAGTCCTTTGTGGTTTGGGGCAAGGATGACCAGGACGCACATTCAGGGAGCCCAATCTCATGGGGTTGGCGGGATGACTGCCGGTGGGGTTGACAGCCGTGGAATCAAGTGCCACAGACTGAACTGAATGATTTTCAGCTTTACTTCTCATTGATTCTGGAAATGGACGATTCTTCACTGGGCTTAAGACTCCACAGCTATCACCCGCTTTGCAGTGCAGTCTCTAACGTGCCTTTTCAGCCCAATGCCATGAACGTCCTGGATTCTGTCACTCTCTGTCTTCCTCTCAAGGAATTTCTACATGTACGAAAGGAGCCTCAATTTCTACATTTCTGAAATGAGCACCCAGGCTCCCTGAATAGGCAGGTGTGTCAACCCCCTTATACTGGGCATCAAACAGCTCCAGTGCCAACTAACGGCTCACCTGACGTCTCTGTTCCCTCTTCAGGTGGCTTCATCCTCTTGTAGTATTGCAGGGGATTGCGCCACAGGTCCTTACATAGGATCTGTCAGGGGACTCAATCGGGAAAGGCCTCATCAGGGCTCAGAAAGGTGACCCAAGCAGCTGGGAACACACGGGGTCATTCCTCATGTTTCCCAGTGAGGACTCACCTCAGCAATCTTGTTAGATCCTGCGAAGTTGTGGTCAGAGAACCAGTTGAAGAAGTTAAGGCTGCTGTTGTGGTGTCTGCGGCGATAGGCCTCCACTTCATAATCCGGATACCACTCAATTGGAGTGGAATGAGAAGCCCTGTATTCTACAGAGACAGGAGTTTTTGTGGGAAGGGGGCTGGATCCCGTTGGCAATGATCCACCCACCATCTTCCTCCCACTACCCATCCTGGGAGCCACCTGTCACCTGTGATGTTCACCAGATATTCCTTGGTAATCACTTTATTCTGGAAGTAGGGGTTACTCCGAAAGAACAACATGATCTTGCAGAGATGAACAGGATGCTTCTCTTCTCCCACCTGTCAGGACAAGGTGGAGAAAGCTTAGATAGGTTTTCGGGTGAGGTGCTCACTCTTGCTTACAGGAATGAATTATTTCCCTTACCCTCCCCCGCTAAACCCTCTAGCCCCAGTCTTCCTGGCCTCACCTCCAGGCTGACCATGTAGCTCAGCATGTCTTCATCTTCGTCAGTGATCAGGGCTGACATCTGGGGGTGGTTTGCAATCTGATTTAGGTCAAAGAGACTTTACACACGATGGAAGGGAAAGCGAGGAGCAACAGGGAAGAAGGCCTAAGAGCACCCAGAGGCTGGGGTAGGGGATTTCTCAGATCTGCTTCCATGTATGATCTCCTTTCGCCTCCCCGTCCCCGTAAACTAAGGCCTCCTGTGTTCACAGAGGGTGTATGATTCTGAGGCTGACTGCACTGACATGGGGAGGCGCGATTTGCAGAGACTTGCTGGTGTCTGAGGAGTGGCAGAATCTGCTTATAGCCGAAGACGCCCAGTCCCAGATCGGACTAGCAAGGGGCAGCAATCACACTCCCTTAAAAATAGCTTCATTCACTGAAAAACCTCTTCCGCTCTGAACTCGCTTCTGCTCTTCAAAAAGATGCCCCAAACGTCTGCTGCTCGGCATCACCAAGGGTTTCTCTGCCGCATGCAGGACAATAGTACCCACGCCTGCTCCGGCTTTCCACAGCCACACTGGTCCGTGGCAACTCCCCTTTGTTCCCCAAAGAGTCACATCGACGCCGAGCTGCCCATCGGTCACTTACACTTCCCCGAGAGCACCTCTCCACTAGAAAGGCCGAAGAAACACTGAGAAGGATACAACATTGGCCCAGAAGCCAGGGACGCTCTGGATGACGGCGCCTCTGCGGTCTAGGTGGGGCTTGCGCCTCCGCTCCATCTTTTCCCGCTGCCGAGAAAAGGCCTTCCTGGCTTGGGCATTAACCGGCTCCAGCTCCACCTGAACGGCCAGCAGCTCCTCCAGTGCAGACTCTGGGGTCATGGGCCCAGGGCCAGGCACAGCCTGCTGTGCCCGCTGGGCCTCCTCCCGCCGCTCCACGAGGCCCTCCTCCTCCGCCACCACCTCCACCTCCGCCACCACCTCCACCTCCGCCATTATGTCATCCAACAGCAGCACCGCCTCCTCCCCCAAAGCCGCCTGCTCACTCTCCACCCCGGCCGCCCCCTCCTGTACAGCCTCCATCCTGAAGGCGGTGCCCTCCTTGGCACTCGCACACACCAAGGCCTGTGCTGCCCGACCCACGCCACAGAAACCCTGCCGCAGCCTCTCTGGCACCCGGTAGGTCAGCGAGCCCTCAGGGCGCATGCGCCGGGCTTCCAGGCGCCCCCTAAGGGACTGCGCGCGAAGGGCCGGGGGGCCGCACCCAGGCCGACTTCCTCCCGTCGTGGCCAGTCAATGGGAGGGCGGTGGGCGTCTCCCTGGGCGGCACAGCCACTGGCGGGCCTGCATCTCCAGCCCCCCCAACCCCCGCCTTCCCTGCCCAAGCCTCCTCCGAGAAGCCCTTGGAGCTTGTGCCGGGTAGCTAGGCATCCGGGCACACGCGGGCTGCGTGGCCTTTGGAATTGTGGGCATGGCAGCCCTGTGCCCTGACATCCTCAGTGTGGCAAGCCATGAACATCTCTATGTGTCATGAACACAGGAAACATCTCTCTTCGTTAGGCAGGCCAGGTAGATGGTACGGAGGTAATACAGCAGATGCAGAGAACTCTCTCTGGTTGCTGGGGCTAGGGCGGCAGGGGTGTCCTGGGGGAAGTGATCGGGGCGGGCACGTGGGAGGAAAGTCGCCTGCCGGTGCTGAGGTGGAATTGATCTGCTGTAGAGGCCAGAGCCCCGGCACACACTCTCACAGGTCGAGGCAAATAGAGGCTCCGAGTACCATGCTTCCTCCCTGAGGATGCTGTACTCCAAGGAGCATTCCAAAGGGCCTCTTGTCCTATGCCCTGGGCACACCAGAGGCCAGCCGCCAGGGTTGGCCATTGTCGGCCTGCGCGCACGCTGTTGTGCGCTGCCTTGACGACCCAGAGGCTCCCGCACCCGCAGCAGCGGTTGCGGTGCCTGTTGGTGGGGCTCTGCAAGCCCAGGGCCGGGGCCTCTGGCTCCCGAGCTCCTGTGCGCAGTTGAGCCTGCTGGGGACCGGAGCCCTTTGGCCAGTGCGGGATCTGCGGGTCCAGCGGAGCTCCTCAGGAAACCTGGGTCCACGTAGGTGTGGGACCAGGTTCACAGCAGGGCGACGCCCGTGGGTCTTGCAGGGAGCGGGTCTGCTGGGGAGCGGGCCCCCAGAGCCTACGGGTGCGGGGCATGGGCTGGGCTGGGCTGGGCTGCGCAGGCCCAGGGTCTGTGGGAGCACCCAGGAGAAAACCGTGTTCAGGCTGGAGGCAATGCTGGAGAGGACGGCCGGGGTACAGAGCAAGGAGGCGGCCTTGGAAGAGGAGGCGGTGCTGAAGGTGGAAGACATCATGGCTGAGGTGGAGGTGGTGGTTGAGGTGGAGCCCGACGTGGGGTGGCAGAAGGAGGGCCAGCGGGCACAGCCTGGCCCTGGACCGAGCACACCGGGGCCGTCAATGGACTCGCTGGAGGTCCTTCACTTGGAGCTGGGCTCCGTGAATGCCCCAGGCCACAGAGCATCTCCGCCTTGTGAGCCAGAGCCATATCCTTGCGGCTGCCGATTTGGGATGGCGGGCAGCAGGGGATAGTCATCGGGCCTCGGGGGGTATGGGGGCTGTTTGCGGGGAGGAGCCAGGTGGGAGGCACGTGGGGTCAGCCAGGAGGCAGGGGATGGGGGACAGCGTGGGAGCCGAGGCCACGTTCCCGCAGCTGTGAGGGCAGCTCGCTTGTAGCAGCCCTGGGAGCACGTGGTAGGGAAGGGGAGCCAGGGCCAGCACTGACAAGGGAGAATCGCGGCGCCAAGGTCCCTTTGCGCACAGCCCAAATTCGAAGGACGCGTTTCCCTGGGAACGTCCCTGGAGGACGGGGAATCTGTATGCCATTACCAGCCATTGAACCACCCCTGCTCTCGGTGCCTGTTTCCAGCAGGCTCACCCCAGAAACACAAGGTGCTTAAGACGGGTTCGCGGCGCATGGGGCTGCCGACCACCTGACGGCGGGCACCAGCTCCGCAGATGCGCATTCATCCAACTGCAGGCGCTGCACTCAAAGGCGTGTAGGCCCTGAGCCTGTATAACTTCCTCTGGACCCACGCAATTCCCTTGGAGAGCGCCAGGCACGACCCTGCTGTGGCTTCTAACTACAAGGCTTCCCTCAGGAGGACAGGCCCACCCCTCAGGGAGACTAGGATAAGAGGACACCACACACCCGGACATCAGCGGAGCATGTCCAGCACCCAGCACACAAAGGCCTCCTGCATCTCAGAAACCCAGAGAAGCAGCCGCCTCACACCACCCCCGGTCCCTCCCGTCCCTCAGCTGCAACCACCTGCCCACTTTTTCTGCCTCCCGTCTCTGGTCAGCCCAGGCCGTCTTGGCCGGGGTCCACCCACTCCAAAAACCACCACAGTTGTGGCGTTGCCTCCTCGCCAGACAGAGATAGAGGGCCAACAATGAAGGGTGACTGGCCAAATGTCTGGGAGATGGCCCTGTTCCACATTGTCTGTGTTCTTGCGAAATTGCAAGGCGTCACGAGGCTTGCCCACCCAATCCTCTGGAGAGTTCTTGCGCAGAGGTAGATTGTTTGGCACACGAGATGTCGGCGTGGGTCGGAAAGCATGCGGAAGTCCTGCTTTGCTACGTGATGGATTTGCAGGTCAGGCTGGGGAGCCTGGGTCTGTGGGAGGAGTCCAGTGTCTGAGTCAGTTTGAGGTCCCCCTGGGGACCAGGGTTGTCTCAGTGGGAGAGCTGGGAAGGGGAAACTCATGGTTCACTACAGCTAGTAGGCCACCTCAGCCCGGCTAGTTGAGATGGTCCCATTGAATCCATCCTCTTTCTCCTTGATCCGGCAGGTGGAGGAACTCAGCCATCCCGGTTACCGGTGGCAGGATGATTTCCTTTCATCCCAACCTTTATTTCCACAGTGAAATCATCATGAAGGAGCACTGTGTTGGCATCCTCGGTAAGGAATGCCTCCCAGCATGGTAGGGGAGCTGGTGTGTGGGAGGGTGGGACTGGCATGAACCTTCCTGACTCCTCTCCCTGCAGGCTACAGGGTGTCTCATTCCACTGCAGTCCAGCGGTTCTGGGATCACGAAGGTCAAGCCTCCAGCTGCAGGCAGTACACCTCCTACCTGAGCTCATTCAGCTGTTTGGCTGAACATGACTGCCCGGGTTTTGGCAGGATTGCTGAGGTGGGGTTCGCCGTGGGGCATCATGGGAAAGGACCTAGCTGGTCATTCCTTGGTCTCTGGGGAATTGGCTTTGAACTGTCACCTGAACTGTCCTGGACCCACTTCTGCAGTCCCCTAGATCATCAGCCAGGGCCTATGGCTCAATCCATTGCAGTTCTATCCCATGGAGAGAGGGTCAGCCCTAGAGGCGGAACAGAGAGGAGGCCAGGCGAGCAGCCTAGGGCTGGGAAGGGCTGGGAACTGAGAGGCCTTTTGACCTGGATCTGGGCCCCACATGGAGAACCCAAGGATCCGGGAGGAGACTGCAGTGAGCAATCCCAGGCAATCCGTGGGTTGGGGGAGAGAGGCCCATCAGGGACATGTAACACCCACATTTCAGGATCGGGGCACCTTAAGCCACTATGATGCATATGTGGCTAAAGTCAGTGGGTGACAAGCAGGGCTTAAGGGATAGCTGTCTCATCATTACTCGCCAGCTCCCTGCCCTGCGGTAAGACCTGCTACCACCTGGGGCTCATTTTGAGATCAACCAGGGCCCCCTTTTTCTCCACGAGGATGTCCACCTAAGGCCCACCTAGGTGTATGTCCTTTCACAGTGTTTCTCCCAGGCCAGTCATGTTTTGTTTCCATGACCCCGGCTGCCTTGACATGTGTAATCCTCTCTGCCATCCTCACTCCCGCTGCCCTGCCTTCCCATATAAGTTAGTCCACCTCACACGGAATCTGGAGGACCACACTGGGCTCCAGTGTGAGGCAATGTTTTATTTTCTTCAGGTACATGTATTTTAGGGCTACCTCCAGGGCTGGGAATGTGAAGAGATTGCCAAATGGCTGGGGACCTTCAGTGTGTGTCCAGGGAGGGAACCCGGCTGGGAATTAAGGCCCACCTGAGTAATGGTATGGACATCCAGTGTCAGTTATCTTGATAAAGGCCTGCTTTCTTACATCACCTACTATTAATATAAAAGTTAATTCCTTAGAATATTGAAAAAACAAATCTATGTATGAAGAAATATAATTTGTTCATAATTGTATGGAAAAAGCTGCCGACCGATCCATTTTCCATTACAATTCTTATGGGAGACTTGAAGGGTTTAGCAAGTTTTAAGATGCATTTCTATTCGTCTACTCCTGCCAGTTTTTATGATCATTTTTGTAATACAAGGACATGGCCTCTGGAAAGTTTTTGAGGGACTTTCAGCTTCTTTTAGGGTAGATACTTGTAAATTTTGAATTGTTTTCCCCTGCAGTTCTTTTGAGGTTACTCTTTGTACTTTCTTTGGGGGGTGTTAAATTTGTTTTCTTGTTTTGCCCTTGTGGAACTTTCGTTTTCAAGGAATTGTGTGTGTGTGTGTGTGTGTGTGTGTGTGTGTGTGTGTGTTAGATATGGGAGTTAGCCTGTGAGCATGTTTTCGAATATGGATTTTTTTTTTACTTATCAATTTTGGGTGTGTGTGTGTGTGTGTGTGTGTGTGTGTGTGTGTGTTTGTTTCTTTTCAGTTGGAGTCTCACTGTGTCATCCAGGCTGCAGTCAAGTGGCAAACTCTCAGATCACTGCAACCTCTCCCTCCAGCTTCAAAGGATTCCTCTGCCTGCTGATGCTGCTTTTCCCCCACATGAGGAGAACATGCAGACAGTTATAAAAAATTCTGTGCCTGGGTAGGTATGAAAATATAATTTCAATGAATGGTAAATTTCACAAATACAGTTTCACATTTGTATTTTGCAACATTTTGAAAATTTTAGTTGCTGACACATGAAATTCTGTGTTGACTTTCATGTTAAATGTACACTTTTGAATCAATTTCAACAGTGACAACTAGCGAAGGCCAAGCGTTAGTTCAGGAAGCTGAAAGCAGTCGTTCTGTAAAAAAAACCATATTTATTGAAGGTATATTTAGAGAGATTTTAGAAGGCTTCAGTCAATATTTTTGTTTCTGTTGCTCTGGTGTTTTATCATACAGGGACCAGACTGTAGCATCAGTAGCTATAGTTACAAGGCTACCAAAGACTCAGTGCTATAGAAATTATTATTGTGGAAATTGGCAGCCTGGCTGTCTGTTTGAGGAGACTAGAGGACTTAGGAGTTTCCACCCAAAGTACAAGGGCCTGGTTTAGTGGGTGGCCTTCTTTTGCTGAAGTAGATAAGATCCAGGAGAAGGGTGGATTCACTGTAGTAGCCAGGGCTTTGAGACTGGTAAAGCTTATTTGTCTCCTAGTGCCATTGCCAGATATTGGTCTGTGCATAAAGGCACTTCCCGGACTCGCTGACTCCTGTAAATTCAAATGTAGAATTTAGATTTAAATCCCTATTCCAACTTCTTAAACTTAGATCTAATAGGTGGGTAATAAAATATGTATTCAGAAGAAAGGGAGACGTCAGGTAGGTATATAAGCAAATCATCCTGGTCAAATACCTTCAAAAATATTACTACAAAAAATTACTGAAGATTAAACCTTAAAAAAGTTATTTTAATTGGAGAAACAGAAAAAGGTTGGAGTCATTTTAAACCCTGAGGTGTAAAGGTACTGTTATTAGATTACAGGAATTATATACAATGAATAATTTGTGGGAAGAGCAGCATACTATCTCTTTAGTATGGCTAGAGATTCATAAGCCGTGTAAGAAAACTCAGAGATTGAGAAGAAAATGTTTTCAGGGATTTTGTTCTGTTATGAAAGACTTTTAAAATGGTTTCCTACTGATCAAGGATTCACTTATATTTATCACTGAGGCATATGCTATATACCCTTCTATATAGGGATGAAGTTATAGTTTCTATCATGTAGATACAAAAACATGTGACTCTGTACCACATTTGCATTAGAGCCTTTGGCATGATTAATGAAGCAAACGGTGGAACTGTCTACGTCAGGTTACAGGTGGGCACAGCTGGAAGCTTCCGTCCCTTGCACTTTAACATTTCTGCATTCTCATCTGTCTCTCCTGGAAAGAAAACGGACTATAACTATCCTAAAGGACATATGTTACATGAAGACACTAAGTATTGAGATAAGACCATGAGTTGTCTTATCAGTGTCTTGGCATTACATTTATATGTATAACTTATACAAAAAATCCAGTTTATTTTATCACGATTACATATTACATCCCACATTTATGTATTTTATTATCTTTCCAGTGACTGTTTTGTTTTGTTTTGTTTTGTTTTGTTTTGAAATCTCGTTCCACTCTGTCACTCAGTCTGGAATGCAGTGGCCTGATCTCAGCTCACTGCAACCTCCATCTCTTGGGTTCAAGGATTTTAAAAATTAGTAAAGAATTTTCAATTGAGTTAGCAGAAGTAAAAATAAACTTAAGTGGAAATAGAACAACAAAATTGTAAACACTATTTCTCAGCAATTCATAGATTATCATACTAGGAATTGAAATGTACTTAGAACTCAATGATACCGCCAATATTGAAGATTAAATCTGTGAGTAGCAAGAAAAGTGATATTACAATAGGAGTTTACAGACAAATATTTCTCTAATAACTTGAAAATTAATGTACTAGATATTTCAATAAAGAATTAGAAAAGAAACAACAGAATCAATTCTGAAAAACTAAAGTGTGGGAATAATGATGTAGACAAAATTAGTAAAACATACAAAGCTAACCTTTGCTTGTTGGAGAAATATAATAAATGATGCAACCGTCAGTCAAGTTTAGAAAAAAAGGGAGAAAACATAGATAAAACTAAGAATTTAAAAGGTACACAACCATAGATACAGCATAGATTAAGAAGCTAATAAGGAAATATCATTAACACCTTAACCTACAAATTTGAAAACTTAGATCAAATAGACAGATATTTATAATCTGTCTATATATATAGACATATATATCGCTTTCTATATATATTTTCATATTTATACATAATTTTTATATTTGTATCTTACATTTATATATATAATATATAAACATAAGCTATGTATATAGCTTAGTAAAATTGATACAAGAAGACATATATAATCTGTATAGTCTCATAAATGTTCAAGGAAATAAAGGATTCTTCCTAGAGATAAAACGCTAGGCTCAGATTTTTTTCCCCAGGCAGAGCATTTCAATATATATGAAGAATTCTATAGAATAAAAAAGGGAAAATCCTAAACTCATTGTGTGAAGCAAGCAGAACTTTGACGCCAACAAGCCATAAACTGAGTGTAGAAAAAGATATGAAAATTAAGGCCATTCTCATTCCTGAAGCAAATCGTAAAATCCCAAATGTAACAAGATTTATGTGGATTCTTTGAGGGTTAGAAGGAAATTTCCTTCTGCCAGATCCTGCTACTCTGGGACAACCCACACACAAATTTATGTTTTGAGATTTTCTGTAATACCCATGCAATATGGAACTGGCTTGACAATCTGTGTGATAGCCAGCCTGTGGCCATGACTTCTCAGGGACACAAATCTTTTCTGTTTGCCTCCTTGTTCTGCTCAGCTCCAAGAGAACTTTGACCAAAGTTCCTTGAGCTTGGAAATAGGAATGGGTTTGCTTCTGTTTCACCCTTACTGTGAAGATACAGTCCGGTGGAATCCAGATCCACTGGGAGAGAGTCGGCTATTAAACTCTTTTCATGAGTAGTCCCTAGGCCTTGACTGGAGTCTTTCTTGAGATATGAGGCTAATAGTTCCTTCTTGGTCCACCACTTTTTGATATAATTAATGCTTCTTCTATTGGGAATTTTTAATTGTTTGGGAAGTGACATGGTTTGGTGTGTCTCCATTCAAATCTCAGCTTCAATTGTATCTCCCAGAATTCCCTCGTGTTGCGGGTGGGACCCAGGGGGAGGTAATTGAATCATGGGGGTCGGTCTTTCTCATGCTATTCTTGTGACAGTGAAGAAGTCTCACGGGATCTGATGGGTTTTTCAGGGGTTTCTGCCTCAGGTTCTTCCTCATTCTCTCTTGGCATTGCCATGTAAGAAGTGCCTTTATTCGTATACCATGATTCTGAGGCCTCCACAGCCATGTGGAACTGTCAGTCCAATTAAACCTCCTTTTATTCCCAGTTTCAGGTATCTCTTCTTCAGCAGCGTGAAAATGAACTAAGACAGGAGGTTTGGTCCAAATAACCTTGGCTTCCATGATAGAAGATAGAAGTTGCTGAAATGTTTAATCTTTTCTGTGGCAACCTTTTGCAGTGGGTCTTATTTTTCTCATTTTTTTTTCTTGTTCTCTTCACCTTTGTTTCTCACAGGGTACTCTCGCTCTGTAGACCAGGCTGGAGCGCAGTGGCAGGATCTCAGCTCAACACATCCTCCGCCTCCCAGGTTCAGCCTCTGCAGTAGCTGGGATTACAAGCATGCATCACCACGCTCAGCTAATGTTTTGTATTTTTAGTAGAAGCCAGGCTTCACCATGTTGGCCAGGCTGCTCTCCTACTACAGATCTCAGGTGACCCGCCCGACTCAGCTTCCCAAAATCCAAAGTGCTGGGAATACAGGTGTGAGCCACCGAGCCCAGCCAACTCCAGTATTTTTTACCTAAGCCAGTGGATGAGTGGAGTTGCCTTTATTTTTTTTTTCATGGTCTCGCTGTGTCATCCAGGCTGGAGTGCAGTAGTCTGATCTTGGCTTACTATACAATCTCTGCCACCCATGTTCAGGTGGTTCTCCTACCTCAGCCTCCCAAGTAGCTGGGACCACAGGAAAGTGCCACTAGGTCTGGCTAATTTTTGTATTTTTGGTAGAGACAGCTTTTTGCCATGTTGCCCATGCTGGTCTCCAACTCCTGACCTCAAGTGACCCACCAACCTCGGCCTCCCAAAATGTAGAAATTACAACAAGAGCCACGAAGCCTGGCCTGGAGTTGTGGCTTTTTGACATAAGAAATCTGTGGAGGGAAAAGCTTGGTTTGTGGGAGCACCTGAGCTCAGTTTGGCTCAAAGGTTTGGGATACCTATTATTGAGTGGCAGTGATGGTATGTTGTTAATGTACAATATCTTCCTGTATATAGCATACGTCTATGCTCATCAGATATTTTCAGGTAAAAAAAGATAGTCTTTCCAGTAGTTTGAGCCATTATAGCAATTTCCACCAGGGGATTTCAAAGTCCAATTCCAGTTGTGGGCAACAGTGATTAACATAATGGTAATTAATGAGAAGAGATTTTGAGACGTCCAGCCACGTTTCCATGTCAGTGCCTTGTTTGCAGTATTATGAAGAAAGAGTGCATTGGACTAGATACTAAGAAAAACATTGAATTATTTTTCTTGCCTCTATAACATCAAAGGACAATTAGAGATATAGAAACTATGGAACATTTCACAGCATGGCTTGACATTTCACTGAACTTTTATCCTTTTAACCATGTACAAAGTTTGTTACCTATGCAAAGGTAGGACTGCAAAAGGAAGACAGAGGTGGAGTCAGAGGTCACAATCCACAGCAAGGTGACACTCTTGTTGATCGCACCTTGAAAGCCAAATTAGAGCGAGAATTAACTTTCCGGTTGCCGTAAGAGAACAAGGAGAATGAAGCTACCAGCAGTTAACAGTATTGGATTAATTGAAATGAAGGTGGACAGAGTTTTTTGGCTTTCCATCAAATTGAGTAAAGAAAAGGTAACCGCTTATCTAATTTCACACACATACAATTATGGATTAATTAAAAGATTACACAACCCATATATTATGGGTTTCTCATTTAAGTGTATATATACATGGGCAAACTCACAGTGTGCCAGTATGTGTCTATATCCAAATATATACAAATCCATGTCCAACAGTTAGCAAGTGAGAAATTCTCTTCCATTTCACCATTCCCTTTCCTAGAATTTTTTCATAAATATAATTTTTCCATATATTTGAAGCCTACTCTCTGGAGGCATGTAATGCATGCATGCAGTAAACCTGTGCGATATCACAATGTTGGTGTCAGAGAAAACTATAACACCGATGTTATAAAAGATTAATTGTGAGGAGAAAGTTATGCTTCGCATTACTACAAATACACAAGTATGATTTCATCCAAAGCTGAAATCAGTCAATATAATTTGTTTTTAATGTTTTATTTAAAATCCTTAATTTCAACAGGATTACTCAAGAAAAATAACGTTATTGGTATTAAATAATGTTGATGTATTCCCTTTAATTGTTGATTATTTAAAATGTCAGTAAAATAGTAAATGGCACTGTACAATGTAGTTTCATGAAGCATTCTTTATAGTTTTCATAAAATTGATAGTCTCCATGGAATATTTTAAGACTGAGGAAGTTCCATATATCATTTGATTGTACTTTCACTTTATTACTTGCTTGCATGTCATAACTGATGGAAATAAAACTATGTATATTTACAAATATGAAAAACATGGACTTTTGTTTACGTTTTCTAGTGAGACACAGTTACCAATAATTTTATCTATATAGGAAAATTTTTACAAACCCAAAGTTCTAATGTTTCTTTTCTTTGAAGTTTCGTATTTCAGTCTAGGTATGTAATGGAATTGGCTGTGATCATTCTTTGATTTCACTGTTATTTGTGAGTTTCTGATATGCTTTTAGGAATGTATAGAGCTTAACGCTTGCTTTCTTCTTCTTCCTCTACCTTTGGACCTGTATATGCGATGTCTGCAGTAATGTGCAGTGCTATCTGACATACGGTTGCTGAAAGATACAAGCATATATAGAATTCTTCATTTCAGTGAATCTTTAGGAACAGACAAGTAACCTGAGAGATAATTACGGTATGAATGTAAGCAAGCAGTTTATCATAGAGGTACAATAAGGGTGAAAATAAATTTAAAAATACATGCCTCATCCAAAACATGAGGTAGTAAAAATGAAAAATTTAAGTTGGCATAAAGAACACTTTAAAAGTTCTGATTCTTTCTGGTGAGAGCAAGGAGCTCAGAAACCATGAGAAAGTCCTTCAAAGCTGCATGTTGGATTTGCAGGTCAGGATGGAAAGCCTGGGTCTGGGGGAGGGTGCTAAGGTCCTGGTCAGGTTGAGGTCCTTCTGGGGCTCAGGTGTGTCTCAGCGGGAAAGCTGGGAAGGGGAAACGCATGCTTCACCCCGGCTAGAATGCCACCTCAGCCCACCTAGATGAAATTGCCCCTTCACAGCCCTGTTTCTCCTTCTTGGACAGGCAGGTGGAGGAACTCGGCCACCCTGAATACAAGGGGTAGGAAGAAGTTTGCCTTTCATCACAACATTTACTTCGGAAACAAAGTGACGACTAAGGAGTATTGCGTTGGCATCCTCCCTGAGGAGTAGAGGGGGTAGTACCTCGGGAGCTGGGCCTGGCGTGCGCCTTCCTGACTCGTCTCCCTCCAGGATACAGGGCGACTGGCTCCACTGCAGTCCAGTGGTTCTAGGGTCATGCAGGTGAAAGCCCGAGTTTCCCGCAGGTCACTGCCTGAGCTTCTTCAGCTGGTTATCTGACTGTGAGGGCCCAGGTTACGGCACGATTGCTGAGGTGGGGCAGCTATGGGGCATCATGGCAAAGGACCTTCTTCGACATTCCTTGGCATCGGAGGAATTGGCTTTGAACCAGAACCTGACCTGTCACGACCAATTTGCCCAGTCCACCAGATCATCAGCCAGGGCCTGTGGCTCTATATTCTGCAGCACTACCCAAGGGAGTTAGGCCCTCAGAGAGGGAACAGAGAAGAGGCCAGGGAAGCAGCCCAGGGCTGGGGGTTGACAGGCCTGTGGGTCCTGGAGTTAGGACACACATAGAGAAGCCAAGGCTCAGGGAGGAGACTGCAGTAAGGAAACTCAGGCCATCATGGGCTGGTGGAGAAATGCCCATCAGGGAACTGTGGTACCCACATTTCACGATGGGGGAACCGTAATCTGCTTAATAGGCACAAGTAGCTAAGGTCAATGGGTGGGAAGCCAGGGTCAAGAGATAGCTCCCTCATCATCCCTTGCTAGCTACTTCCCTGTCCTGAGGCTTGCTTCTACCTGGGGTTCAGTTTGGGCTCAACCAGGGATCTCTCACCCTCCACACAGATGCCCACCTGAGGCCTCTCTAGGTCTGCGTCCTCCCAGAATGACTCTCCCAGGCCTGCTAAGTACCGTTTGGATGACACCACGCTCCACTGACATACTTGGTTCCCTCCGCCATCCTCATTCACCCAGCAACTCCCCACCCCAAAAAAGGCAGGCCACCGCACAGGGAATCTGGAGGACCACACAGGGCTCACAGGGGAGGAAATGTGAAGAGATGGCAAAACAGAACAGGACATTCCGTGTGTTTCCAGAAGGCAATCTGGCTGGATATTAAGGCCCACCTCAGTATTGGTGAGGACACCCAGTGTCTCTTGGCCCTGAGCTTGTGCACACAAACACGCACATTGTCTAAACGGCATTGACATCACTACTACCTGAGTCATCCTCAGATTCTATACAACCCCTGTAAAAATATCAATGACACATTCTTCTTAGAAAAACAATCTGGGAATCCCAAATTTGCTATGAAATGGCAGAAGATCCTGAAAACCCAGAGCAATCCAGTAAAAAGCACAAAGCTGGAGCCACCACACTACCTAACTTCATGATATACTACTACAAAACTTTTTGTACCAAAATACAATAGCACTGGCAGAAAAGCAGAGACTAGAGCTTAGGAAAAACAACAGGAGCCCAGAACTAAGTCACTGCATTTGCAGCTCACAGCCTTTTCCCAAAGAAGCAAGAACGCCCAATGCAAAATCAAGTATCTTCTATAAACTAGGTTGGGGAAATCTGAATAGCCACACAAAGGATTTTACAAGTGGATTATTTATCACCAAACTCCAGTGTCAGATGTGAAACGATAAAAATAGCAGAAGAGATCACAAGGAAGAAGCTCCATGGCGTCCGTGTGTGCAATGATGGTCTCAAAGTGACTGCAAGAACACAGTAAACACCATCAAAAATAGAGAATGGAATCATATCAAACTAAAGTGCTTCACCACACCATAGAAAACTCAACATACAGAAGGGGCATCCTACAGGATGGGAGCAATGATTGGATCACCATACATCTGTTCATGGGGGAATAGTCACAGTACATAAGGAACTCCCAACAACTCAATAGCATGAAAACAAATGGGCGAAGGCTGCGAAGACTCATTTGTGAAACTGAGACATACAGTTGCCCAGAAGACACACTAAAAATTCCTCATTATCCCCAATCCATCACGAAAATGCAAATCAAAAACACAATGAGATTTCTTCTCACTTCAGTCAGAATGCATATTATCCGAAAGACAAACAAACAAAAAAAAAAAAAGAAAGAAAAGAAAACCCTAATCTCTGGTGAGGAGGCAGAGAAAACGAATTCCCTGCTCACTTTTGGGGAGAATGTAAATTAGTGCTGGCATTAAAGAAGCTTTATGGCTCTTATTTAAGTATAAACAGCCTTCAGAAATCTACAAGTAGAACCACCCACTATATGATCCAGCAAATCAGAATACCCGGGCACGCCCGCCAGTACACAGATCAGTATGTTGAAGCGGTGCGCGCACCCATGCAATTATTGCTGCACTCATTACATTTTTGCTGTAGCCAAAATGCGGAAGCAACCTGAGAGTCCCTCCATTGATAAGTGGATTAAAAAATGGGGCAAAAACGCATATGCGCAACGGAAATATGCGCTGCAATAAGAAATCAGGAAATCCTGCCAGTTGTGAGAATGTGTGGGAATCTGCTGAATGTGTGCATGCCATTCTGTTAAGTGACATAAGCCAGGTATCAGAAAGGAAAGTAGCACATGATCTCATTCTTATATGAAATCAAAAAAGCGGACTTCACAGAAGTAGTGACTCCAATGACTGCGGTGAAGAGGGTGCACTGACGAGATGCTGGATGAAGAACTCATACTTCTAGTTATAAAGGAGGAATAGGTTAAAAATATTTTCTTCAGCATGCTCACTATAACTAGTGGTAACATATTCTTTCTCTAAAAATATTCGAATACAGTGCAGGTCAAGTTTTTTCACAACAAAAATGACAACTATGTGAGGTCACACATATGTTGATTGGCTGGATGTATCCAATGCATAATGTATATGACCTGTTGAACATCACGCCTTAAGTTGTAAATATGTATCATTTCATATGACATTTTTTAAACAAACATACAATTTTTAAAATGCCTTAACAAAATAAATGCAAATAAAATATTTTATTATAAAGCAGTGCTTTTCTTTTCTAGCAAAGTCTTTTTCATGACACAGGAAAGAATGCAAGCCGTTTCGTAACTTGAGAAATAAATACATATGTGTACATGTATATATATACGTATATACATGTATATACGTATATAAATGTGCATATATACGTATATACATGTATATACGTATATATGTGTGTACATAGGTATTCTTATATAGGTATATATATATATGAAAATCCCAATGAATGCTGATGATGAGTTGAAAGATAGAAATTCCAGGCACAGAGGCTATAGTCCATGAATTGAAACCTTCAGTGCATGTTTCAAAACAAGACGTGAGGAGGAGGAAGAAAAAAGCAAAAAACACAAAGCCATGGCAGGGCCATGGGTCACACCTGTCATCCCAGCACTTTGATAAGCTGAGGTGGGAGGATTGCCTGCACTCAGGAGTTCCAGATGAGCCTGGGGCAACATGGACCCACATTCAAAAAGTAAGTATTTAGTTAATTAATACATAGCTTGGAGGGGTGGCATGCACCTGTACTGCCAGGTGTGTGAGAGTCTGAGTTGACAGGATCACATGGGTGTGTGGTGCCTGGGCTGCAGTGGGCTGAGATCGTGGGGCTGCTGTCCAACCTAGAAGACAGAGTAAGACCCATTCTCGGAAAACAAACAAAAAAACAGTCACATTAGGTAAATTAAAACTATGTAGTGTGAGGAGAATCAAAATAAACGAAACATCATTAGAGCCTACGCGATGTGATGAAGGAAACCAGCTTTCACATAATAACAGCCCCGGCTGGGGAGAACAATGAGAAAGGGCAGAGAGAACCCTGTAAATAATACCACGCCAAATTCCCCAAATGAGTTAAAACACATAAAAGTACGAAGAGTGCTTCTTTTCAATTCAATGCCCTTGAATTCAGAATTAGAAAGTAAACCCAGATAGAGAATAGAAACATAGACGATACAGATGGAGAGAGTGTGGTGGGGAAGCAAGGGAAGGATGAAAGGAGGGGTGTAAAGGAAGGAAAAGAAAAAAGGAAGGGAGAGAGAGTGACAGATGTTCAAAGACACAGATACAAAGTCTACAATGGTTGTAGAGATAGGCATGTGCAAATTGTCGCAGGGAGTGTGGAAAAATATCGGAACCACGGAGACATAGGTGGAGTCAGAGAAAATATACAAACCCGCACAGAGAAATAAACATACGCAACCACAAACACACACGTGCTACTTTAAACACGAAAAGACACCAAGTCCCTGTCGGTACAAATCACAGATGTGCTTCCGAGTTACTGAGGCACGGTGCAAATTTGTCAGTGCCCTTAGCATCTGTGGCCCACGTGCACGGATATTCAGTGGAAGAAGCATTACACAGCCTGTATAATTCAGCACGATCTGTGATAATACCAGAAGAAGGGATCTCATGTGAAATCACTAGACTGAATTGCACGTAGGATTCAAGCAAGAAGCCCAGTCTGCTGCATCGACTCCGTGGGGTGGCAATATGGCTGAGCCACCAACCCATGGCACGCCCATCCATCGTAGACAGTTCCTGGTTTGCTACCTGCCTTGGAAAAACCTCCTCCCCTACCACCACTTTAAAAAAGGCTAGCTCCAAAACTAGCCCTGGCATCTATTTACGGTCATTTTCTTATCTATTTACCTCCTAGAAAAATCATTGCAAGACCCTTTCCTCAACATTTTCCTATGCCTTAAATTTGGGGCAACACGTTTTAAGACGACCTCGTTATAGGCAAGTCCCCAGACGTTTCCTAATCTGAGTTGCCCAGAGTGCACACACCAATCTGTTGCCCCATTGCCGCTATAGGGATACCGTACTGGACCACAGTGTCTTTGACATGCACACAGTAGGATACAGGGCAGCTTGAGGGGGCCAAAGTGTTCCGACTGTTTTCAGAATAATTTGCTTAGAACACCTGTTTCTCCTGTGTTTGTGGGTCAGGGGGACGGTAGTCAGAGGAGGACAAGACTCCCGCTCCAGAGCTTCAGAGGTCTGCATAGGAGCAGGGACAAAACCGGGCGATAGATTTTCAAAGCTCAACTGCTTTGACACCGAGCAGGAGGGGTAGAATGCATATTGCAGGCACCACAACAGATTCAGGAACTTTGACTGTCAAACCCTCTTCCCTGAAACAACATAGCTCTTCTCACAGAAGCTGTGCTGACCAGAGTCTATACGGGACAGCAATGTTAGCACTCTAGTAGCGTGTGGTCAACATGGATGCTCGTGTTGGAACTGTTTCATCTGGGAACAGGAAAGAAAGTTCTGCCTCCGACACTGAAATCCTCCTGCCCCATCCTTGACAGAGGCAACCCCTTGTCTTGTGCAGACACACGTGTTCCTGGGAAGCAGCCTCCCACTCGCGAATGAAAGCTGTATGTTTTGTCCTCCTGTGTGAGGCTTGCAAAACATATTCCGCAACTATATTCGCTTTACGTTCTAAACCTTAGGCAAACTATGCTGAAGAGGCCACAGAAAATTTAGGGGCCCTGGGCTCCAGATACAATCTGCAGTGCCAATCACGAGGGAGAATAGAGCCTCACTAGACTTTGCAAGAGCACAAAATGCACTCGTACTGTTGTTAGCTACATACGTTATTGGCTCCTCACCTAACACAGAATCTTGGAGAAAAGCTTAAAACAACTAAAGATGTAAACATCAACAAGAGTGTCCATATCCTGGGTCATCAAGTGACAAGAGAGTCCATGGATGGATTCTCCAACAATCTTATATTCCACTAATCCACCCCCTTTCCCCTCACTTCTGTAAGTTTCTGTTTTCCCTTAGTCATCTCTGCCAAAAGCGTATCCTGAATGCCTTCCCACATGCCTCTGTCACCTTTCCCACAGTCCCTCCATACACCTTACATGCCCATTTCTTCTCACGTTGATGTTTCAGAAGTCCTGAGAGGCTGATTGTCCCAGAAAAGGATCATGCATTCACCTTTAAAAGAACATGTGGATTCAACACGAAAGCGAACTTTAAGATTTCCATCATCCTGTGCTTAGCTACTGTGTATGATGATACCCAAAATGAAGGATTTTGGAGGTCCCAGCAAACTGGGCCCTGGAAACCCAGTAACCCCTTTCCTTGAACTATCTCTGCTTCCATAGGACGAAGTCAGCCTCCAACTAAGCTGTCTTTTGCTTTTACCTCTCCCACTCTGTCCTGTAGGAAGAATCCCAACACATCCCACACCCATTCACTCTACAACTTTAGAGGCCCAGCTCCAACGCAGACTGGTTATTTCCATGAAGAGAATAAAGCACGTGGATTGATCAATTCATTATGACACCCGAATAAAGTGGATAAACATACACACACACACACACACACACACACAAACACAAAGACACACACACACACACAGACACAGAGTCACACATCCTTGAGAATGTTTATTTTTCATTCCATACAATCCACATTTACCCCCTCTTCCTGAATTTTTGTGACTCGATCTCTTTTTCCTTTAGTTCCTGTGCATAAGACCATGCTGAGTACTGCCGTCCTGCATATGGCTGTAACTTTTTAGGAGTTCTGCTGTATTAGGTAAAATCTGATGCTCCATCATATTCAACTCAACAACTGGGAGTCCCCTAGAGAAACACAAACTCATGTTAAAACGCATTTTCTCTGAGCCATACTTTGAAATGTTTCAATTGTGGGGCCCGCTGAGAAAAGGATATCCCTTCCCCATTTGTGATCCCTTAAACTTCCTCCTACCACGTGTTACAAACTGTTCTGCGCAATCCCTGCCCCATTCCCAGTATTGTCTGTGAGGGGAGTCAGCTAACAAGATGCACTGGACCCTAAAAGCACACACAAGTCTGATGGGGCAACAGCTTAAGGAAATCCATCAATCTAAACAGTCCTTTGTGGTTTGGGGCAAGGATGACCAGGACGCACATTCAGGGAGCCCAATCTCATGGGGTTGGTGGGATGACTGCCGGTGGGGTTGACAGCCGTGGAATCAAGTGCCACAGACTGAACTGAATGATTTTCAGCTTTACTTCTCATTGATTCTGGAAATGGACGATTCTTCACTGGGCTTAAGACTCCACAGCTATCACCCGCTTTGCAGTGCAGTCTCTAACGTGCCTTTTCAGCCCAATGCCATGAACGTCCTGGATTCTGTCACTCTCTGTCTTCCTCTCAAGGAATTTCTACATGTACGAAAGGAGCCTCAATTTCTACATTTCTGAAATGAGCACCCAGGCTCCCTGAATAGGCAGGTGTGTCAACCCCCTTATACTGGGCATCAAACAGCTCCAGTGCCAACTAACGGCTCACCTGACGTCTCTGTTCCCTCTTCAGGTGGCTTCATCCTCTTGTAGTATTGCAGGGGATTGCGCCACAGGTCCTTACATAGGATCTGTCAGGGGACTCAATCGGGAAAGGCCTCATCAGGGCTCAGAAAGGTGACCCAAGCAGCTGGGAACACACGGGGTCATTCCTCATGTTTCCCAGTGAGGACTCACCTCAGCAATCTTGTTAGATCCTGCGAAGTTGTGGTCAGAGAACCAGTTGAAGAAGTTAAGGCTGCTGTTGTGGTGTCTGCGGCGATAGGCCTCCACTTCATAATCCGGATACCACTCAATTGGAGTGGAATGAGAAGCCCTGTATTCTACAGAGACAGGAGTTTTTGTGGGAAGGGGGCTGGATCCCGTTGGCAATGATCCACCCACCATCTTCCTCCCACTACCCATCCTGGGAGCCACCTGTCACCTGTGATGTTCACCAGATATTCCTTGGTAATCACTTTATTCTGGAAGTAGGGGTTACTCCGAAAGAACAACATGATCTTGCAGAGATGAACAGGATGCTTCTCTTCTCCCACCTGTCAGGACAAGGTGGAGAAAGCTTAGATAGGTTTTCGGGTGAGGTGCTCACTCTTGCTTACAGGAATGAATTATTTCCCTTACCCTCCCCCGCTAAACCCTCTAGCCCCAGTCTTCCTGGCCTCACCTCCAGGCTGACCATGTAGCTCAGCATGTCTTCATCTTCGTCAGTGATCAGGGCTGACATCTGGGGGTGGTTTGCAATCTGATTTAGGTCAAAGAGACTTTACACACGATGGAAGGGAAAGCGAGGAGCAACAGGGAAGAAGGCCTAAGAGCACCCAGAGGCTGGGGTAGGGGATTTCTCAGATCTGCTTCCATGTATGATCTCCTTTCGCCTCCCCGTCCCCGTAAACTAAGGCCTCCTGTGTTCACAGAGGGTGTATGATTCTGAGGCTGACTGCACTGACATGGGGAGGCGCGATTTGCAGAGACTTGCTGGTGTCTGAGGAGTGGCAGAATCTGCTTATAGCCGAAGACGCCCAGTCCCAGATCGGACTAGCAAGGGGCAGCAATCACACTCCCTTAAAAATAGCTTCATTCACTGAAAAACCTCTTCCGCTCTGAACTCGCTTCTGCTCTTCAAAAAGATGCCCCAAACGTCTGCTGCTCGGCATCACCAAGGGTTTCTCTGCCGCATGCAGGACAATAGTACCCACGCCTGCTCCGGCTTTCCACAGCCACACTGGTCCGTGGCAACTCCCCTTTGTTCCCCAAAGAGTCACATCGACGCCGAGCTGCCCATCGGTCACTTACACTTCCCCGAGAGCACCTCTCCACTAGAAAGGCCGAAGAAATACTGAGAAGGATACAACATTGGCCCAGAAGCCAGGGACGCTCTGGATGACGGCGCCTCTGCGGTCTAGGTGGGGCTTGCGCCTCCGCTCCATCTTTTCCCGCTGCCGAGAAAAGGCCTTCCTGGCTTGGGCATTAACCGGCTCCAGCTCCACCTGAACGGCCAGCAGCTCCTCCAGTGCAGACTCTGGGGTCATGGGCCCAGGGCCAGGCACAGCCTGCTGTGCCCGCTGGGCCTCCTCCCGCCGCTCCACGAGGCCCTCCTCCTCCGCCACCACCTCCACCTCCGCCATTATGTCATCCAACAGCAGCACCGCCTCCTCCCCCAAAGCCGCCTGCTCACTCTCCACCCCGGCCGCCCCCTCCTGTACAGCCTCCATCCTGAAGGCGGTGCCCTCCTTGGCACTCGCACACACCAAGGCCTGTGCTGCCCGACCCACGCCACAGAAACCCTGCCGCAGCCTCTCTGGCACCCGGTAGGTCAGCGAGCCCTCAGGGCGCATGCGCCGGGCTTCCAGGCGCCCCCTAAGGGACTGCGCGCGAAGGGCCGGGGGGCCGCACCCAGGCCGACTTCCTCCCGTCGTGGCCAGTCAATGGGAGGGCGGTGGGCGTCTCCCTGGGCGGCACAGCCACTGGCGGGCCTGCATCTCCAGCCCCCCCACCCCCCGCCTTCCCTGCCCAAGCCTCCTCCGAGAAGCCCTTGGAGCTTGTGCCGGGTAGCTAGGCATCCGGGCACACGCGGGCTGCGTGGCCTTTGGAATTGTGGGCATGGCAGCCCTGTGCCCTGACATCCTCAGTGTGGCAAGCCATGAACATCTCTATGTGTCATGAACACAGGAAACATCTCTCTTCGTTAGGCAGGCCAGGTAGATGGTACGGAGGTAATACAGCAGATGCAGAGAACTCTCTCTGGTTGCTGGGGCTAGGGCGGCAGGGGTGTCCTGGGGGAAGTGATCGGGGCGGGCACGTGGGAGGAAAGTCGCCTGCCGGTGCTGAGGTGGAATTGATCTGCTGTAGAGGCCAGAGCCCCGGCACACACTCTCACAGGTCGAGGCAAATAGAGGCTCCGAGTACCATGCTTCCTCCCTGAGGATGCTGTACTCCAAGGAGCATTCCAAAGGGCCTCTTGTCCTATGCCCTGGGCACACCAGAGGCCAGCCGCCAGGGTTGGCCATTGTCGGCCTGCGCGCACGCTGTTGTGCGCTGCCTTGACGACCCAGAGGCTCCCGCACCCGCAGCAGCGGTTGCGGTGCCTGTTGGTGGGGCTCTGCAAGCCCAGGGCCGGGGCCTCTGGCTCCCGAGCTCCTGTGCGCAGTTGAGCCTGCTGGGGACCGGAGCCCTTTGGCCAGTGCGGGATCTGCGGGTCCAGCGGAGCTCCTCAGGAAACCTGGGTCCACGTAGGTGTGGGACCAGGTTCACAGCAGGGCGACGCCCGTGGGTCTTGCAGGGAGCGGGTCTGCTGGGGAGCGGGCCCCCAGAGCCTACGGGTGCGGGGCATGGGCTGGGCTGGGCTGGGCTGCGCAGGCCCAGGGTCTGTGGGAGCACCCAGGAGAAAACCGTGTTCAGGCTGGAGGCAATGCTGGAGAGGACGGCCGGGGTACAGAGCAAGGAGGCGGCCTTGGAAGAGGAGGCGGTGCTGAAGGTGGAAGACATCATGGCTGAGGTGGAGGTGGTGGTTGAGGTGGAGCCCGACGTGGGGTGGCAGAAGGAGGGCCAGCGGGCACAGCCTGGCCCTGGACCGAGCACACCGGGGCCGTCAATGGACTCGCTGGAGGTCCTTCACTTGGAGCTGGGCTCCGTGAATGCCCCAGGCCACAGAGCATCTCCGCCTTGTGAGCCAGAGCCATATCCTTGCGGCTGCCGATTTGGGATGGCGGGCAGCAGGGGATAGTCATCGGGCCTCGGGGGGTATGGGGGCTGTTTGCGGGGAGGAGCCAGGTGGGAGGCACGTGGGGTCAGCCAGGAGGCAGGGGATGGGGGACAGCGTGGGAGCCGAGGCCACGTTCCCGCAGCTGTGAGGGCAGCTCGCTTGTAGCAGCCCTGGGAGCACGTGGTAGGGAAGGGGAGCCAGGGCCAGCACTGACAAGGGAGAATCGCGGCGCCAAGGTCCCTTTGCGCACAGCCCAAATTCGAAGGACGCGTTTCCCTG
Organism: Homo sapiens; assembly: GCF_000001405.40. Taxonomy (NCBI): domain Eukaryota; kingdom Metazoa; phylum Chordata; class Mammalia; order Primates; family Hominidae; genus Homo; species Homo sapiens. The sequence goes on along the minus strand of NW_025791821.1, from coordinate 406,037 downwards.
GGAACGTCCCTGGAGGACGGGGAATCTGTATGCCATTACCAGCCATTGAACCACCCCTGCTCTCGGTGCCTGTTTCCAGCAGGCTCACCCCAGAAACACAAGGTGCTTAAGACGGGTTCGCGGCGCATGGGGCTGCCGACCACCTGACGGCGGGCACCAGCTCCGCAGATGCGCATTCATCCAACTGCAGGCGCTGCACTCAAAGGCGTGTAGGCCCTGAGCCTGTATAACTTCCTCTGGACCCACGCAATTCCCTTGGAGAGCGCCAGGCACGACCCTGCTGTGGCTTCTAACTACAAGGCTTCCCTCAGGTGGACAGGCCCACCCCTCAGGGAGACTAGGATAAGAGGACACCACACACCCGGACATCAGCGGAGCATGTCCAGCACCCAGCACACAAAGGCCTCCTGCATCTCAGAAACTCAGAGAAGCAGCCGCCTCACACCACCCCCGGCCCCTCCCGTCCCTCAGCTGCAACCACCTGCCCACTTTTTCTGCCTCCCGTCTCTGGTCAGCCCAGGCCGTCTTGGCCGGGGTCCACCCACTCCAAAAACCACCACAGTTGTGGCGTTGCCTCCTCGCCAGACAGAGATAGAGGGCCAACAATGAAGGGTGACTGGCCAAATGTCTGGGAGATGGCCCTGTTCCACATTGTCTGTGTTCTTGCGAAATTGCAAGGCGTCACGAGGCTTGCCCACCCAATCCTCTGGAGAGTTCTTGCGCAGAGGTAGATTGTTTGGCACACGAGATGTCGGCGTGGGTCGGAAAGCATGCGGAAGTCCTGCTTTGCTACGTGATGGATTTGCAGGTCAGGCTGGGGAGCCTGGGTCTGTGGGAGGAGTCCAGTGTCTGAGTCAGTTTGAGGTCCCCCTGGGGACCAGGGTTGTCTCAGTGGGAGAGCTGGGAAGGGGAAACTCATGGTTCACTACAGCTAGTAGGCCACCTCAGCCCAGCTAGTTGAGATGGTCCCATTGAATCCATCCTCTTTCTCCTTGATCCGGCAGGTGGAGGAACTCAGCCATCCCGGTTACCGGTGGCAGGATGATTTCCTTTCATCCCAACCTTTATTTCCACAGTGAAATCATCATGAAGGAGCACTGTGTTGGCATCCTCGGTAAGGAATGCCTCCCAGCATGGTAGGGGAGCTGGTGTGTGGGAGGGTGGGACTGGCATGAACCTTCCTGACTCCTCTCCCTGCAGGCTACAGGGTGTCTCATTCCACTGCAGTCCAGCGGTTCTGGGATCACGAAGGTCAAGCCTCCAGCTGCAGGCAGTACACCTCCTACCTGAGCTCATTCAGCTGTTTGGCTGAACATGACTGCCCGGGTTTTGGCAGGATTGCTGAGGTGGGGTTCGCCGTGGGGCATCATGGGAAAGGACCTAGCTGGTCATTCCTTGGTCTCTGGGGAATTGGCTTTGAACTGTCACCTGAACTGTCCTGGACCCACTTCTGCAGTCCCCTAGATCATCAGCCAGGGCCTATGGCTCAATCCATTGCAGTTCTATCCCATGGAGAGAGGGTCAGCCCTAGAGGCGGAACAGAGAGGAGGCCAGGCGAGCAGCCTAGGGCTGGGAAGGGCTGGGAACTGAGAGGCCTTTTGACCTGGATCTGGGCCCCACATGGAGAACCCAAGGATCCGGGAGGAGACTGCAGTGAGCAATCCCAGGCAATCCGTGGGTTGGGGGAGAGAGGCCCATCAGGGACATGTAACACCCACATTTCAGGATCGGGGCACCTTAAGCCACTATGATGCATATGTGGCTAAAGTCAGTGGGTGACAAGCAGGGCTTAAGGGATAGCTGTCTCATCATTACTCGCCAGCTCCCTGCCCTGCGGTAAGACCTGCTACCACCTGGGGCTCATTTTGAGATCAACCAGGGCCCCCTTTTTCTCCACGAGGATGTCCACCTGAGGCCCACCTAGGTCTGTGTCCTTTCACAGTGTTTCTCCCAGGCCAGTCATGTTTTGTTTCCATGACCCCGGCTGCCTTGACATGTGTAATCCTCTCTGCCATCCTCACTCCCGCTGCCCTGCCTTCCCATATAAGTTAGTCCACCTCACACGGAATCTGGAGGACCACACTGGGCTCCAGTGTGAGGCAATGTTTTATTTTCTTCAGGTACATGTATTTTAGGGCTACCTCCAGGGCTGGGAATGTGAAGAGATTGCCAAATGGCTGGGGACCTTCAGTGTGTGTCCAGGGAGGGAACCCGGCTGGGAATTAAGGCCCACCTGAGTAATGGTATGGACATCCAGTGTCAGTTATCTTGATAAAGGCCTGCTTTCTTACATCACCTACTATTAATATAAAAGTTAATTCCTTAGAATATTGAAAAAACAAATCTATGTATGAAGAAATATAATTTGTTCATAATTGTATGGAAAAAGCTGCCGACCGATCCATTTTCCATTACAATTCTTATGGGAGACTTGAAGGGTTTAGCAAGTTTTAAGATGCATTTCTATTCGTCTACTCCTGCCAGTTTTTATGATCATTTTTGTAATACAAGGACATGGCCTCTGGAAAGTTTTTGAGGGACTTTCAGCTTCTTTTAGGGTAGATACTTGTAAATTTTGAATTGTTTTCCCCTGCGGTTCTTTTGAGGTTACTCTTTGTACTTTCTTTGGGGGGTGTTAAATTTGTTTTCTTGTTTTGCCCTTGTGGAACTTTCGTTTTCAAGGAATTGTGTGTGTTTGTGTGTGTGTGTGTGTGTGTGTGTGTGTGTGTGTGTTAGATATGGGAGATAGCCTGTGAGCATGTTTTCGAATATGGATTTTTTTTTTACTTATCAATTTTGGGGGTGTGTGTGTGTGTGTGTGTGTGTGTGTGTGTGTTTGTTTCTTTTCAGTTGGAGTCTCACTGTGTCATCCAGGCTGCAGTCAAGTGGCAAACTCTCAGATCACTGCAACCTCTCCCTCCAGCTTCAAAGGATTCCTCTGCCTGCTGATGCTGCTTTTCCCCCACATGAGGAGAACATGCAGACAGTTATAAAAAATTCTGTGCCTGGGTAGGTATGAAAATATAATTTCAATGAATGGTAAATTTCACAAATACAGTTTCACATTTGTATTTTGCAACATTTTGAAAATTTTAGTTGCTGACACATGAAATTCTGTGTTGACTTTCATGTTAAATGTACACTTTTGAATCAATTTCAACAGTGACAACTAGCGAAGGCCAAGCGTTAGTTCAGGAAGCTGAAAGCAGTCGTTCTGTAAAAAAAACCATATTTATTGAAGGTATATTTAGAGAGATTTTAGAAGGCTTCAGTCAATATTTTTGTTTCTGTTGCTCTGGTGTTTTATCATACAGGGACCAGACTGTAGCATCAGTAGCTATAGTTACAAGGCTACCAAAGACTCAGTGCTATAGAAATTATTATTGTGGAAATTGGCAGCCTGGCTGTCTGTTTGAGGAGACTAGAGGACTTAGGAGTTTCCACCCAAAGTACAAGGGCCTGGTTTAGTGGGTGGCCTTCTTTTGCTGAAGTAGATAAGATCCAGGAGAAGGGTGGATTCACTGTAGTAGCCAGGGCTTTGAGACTGGTAAAGCTTATTTGTCTCCTAGTGCCATTGCCAGATATTGGTCTGTGCATAAAGGCACTTCCCGGACTCGCTGACTCCTGTAAATTCAAATGTAGAATTTAGATTTAAATCCCTATTCCAACTTCTTAAACTTAGATCTAATAGGTGGGTAATAAAATATGTATTCAGAAGAAAGGGAGACGTCAGGTAGGTATATAAGCAAATCATCCTGGTCAAATACCTTCAAAAATATTACTACAAAAAATTACTGAAGATTAAACCTTAAAAAAGTTATTTTAATTGGAGAAACAGAAAAAGGTTGGAGTCATTTTAAACCCTGAGGTGTAAAGGTACTGTTATTAGATTACAGGAATTATATACAATGAATAATTTGTGGGAAGAGCAGCATACTATCTCTTTAGTATGGCTAGAGATTCATAAGCCGTGTAAGAAAACTCAGAGATTGAGAAGAAAATGTTTTCAGGGATTTTGTTCTGTTATGAAAGACTTTTAAAATGGTTTCCTACTGATCAATGATTCACTTATATTTATCACTGAGGCATATGCTATATACCCTTCTATATAGGGATGAAGTTATAGTTTCTATCATGTAGATACAAAAACATGTGACTCTGTACCACATTTGCATTAGAGCCTTTGGCATGATTAATGAAGCAAACGGTGGAACTGTCTACGTCAGGTTACAGGTGGGCACAGCTGGAAGCTTCCGTCCCTTGCACTTTAACATTTCTGCATTCTCATCTGTCTCTCCTGGAAAGAAAACGGACTATAACTATCCTAAAGGACATATGTTACATGAAGACACTAAGTATTGAGATAAGACCATGAGTTGTCTTATCAGTGTCTTGGCATTACATTTATATGTATAACTTACACAAAAAATCCAGTTTATTTTATCACGATTACATATTACATCCCACATTTATGTATTTTATTATCTTTCCAGTGACTGTTTTGTTTTGTTTTGTTTTGTTTTGTTTTGAAATCTCGTTCCACTCTGTCACTCAGTCTGGAATGCAGTGGCCTGATCTCAGCTCACTGCAACCTCCATCTCTTGGGTTCAAGGATTTTAAAAATTAGTAAAGAATTTTCAATTGAGTTAGCAGAAGTAAAAATAAACTTAAGTGGAAATAGAACAACAAAATTGTAAACACTATTTCTCAGCAATTCATAGATTATCATACTAGGAATTGAAATGTACTTAGAACTCAATGATACCGCCAATATTAAAGATTAAATCTGTGAGTAGCAAGAAAAGTGATATTACAATAGGAGTTTACAGACAAATATTTCTCTAATAACTTGAAAATTAATGTACTAGATATTTCAATAAAGAATTAGAAAAGAAACAACAGAATCAATTCTGAAAAACTAAAGTGTGGGAATAATGATGTAGACAAAATTAGTAAAACATACAAAGCTAACCTTTGCTTGTTGGAGAAATATAATAAATGATGCAACCGTCAGTCAAGTTTAGAAAAAAAGGGAGAAAACATAGATAAAACTAAGAATTTAAAAGGTACACAACCATAGATACAGCATAGATTAAGAAGCTAATAAGGAAATATCGTTAACACCTTAACCTACAAATTTGAAAACTTAGATCAAATAGACAGATATTTATAATCTGTCTATATATATAGACATATATATCGCTTTCTATATATATTTTCATATTTATACATAATTTTTATATTTGTATCTTACATTTATATATATAATATATAAACATAAGCTATGTATATAGCTTAGTAAAATTGATACAAGAAGACATATATAATCTGTATAGTCTCATAAATGTTCAAGGAAATAAAGGATTCTTCCTAGAGATAAAACGCTAGGCTCAGATTTTTTTCCCCAGGCAGAGCATTTCAATATATATGAAGAATTCTATAGAATAAAAAAGGGAAAATCCTAAACTCATTGTGTGAAGCAAGCAGAACTTTGACGCCAACAAGCCATAAACTGAGTGTAGAAAAAGATATGAAAATTAAGGCCATTCTCATTCCTGAAGCAAATCGTAAAATCCCAAATGTAACAAGATTTATGTGGATTCTTTGAGGGTTAGAAGGAAATTTCCTTCTGCCAGATCCTGCTACTCTGGGACAACCCACACACAAATTTATGTTTTGAGATTTTCTGTAATACCCATGCAATATGGAACTGGCTTGACAATCTGTGTGATAGCCAGCCTGTGGCCATGACTTCTCAGGGACACAAATCTTTTCTGTTTGCCTCCTTGTTCTGCTCAGCTCCAAGAGAACTTTGACCAAAGTTCCTTGAGCTTGGAAATAGGAATGGGTTTGCTTCTGTTTCACCCTTACTGTGAAGATACAGTCCGGTGGAATCCAGATCCACTGGGAGAGAGTCGGCTATTAAACTCTTTTCATGAGTAGTCCCTAGGCCTTGACTGGAGTCTTTCTTGAGATATGAGGCTAATAGTTCCTTCTTGGTCCACCACTTTTTGATATAATTAATGCTTCTTCTATTGGGAATTTTTAATTGTTTGGGAAGTGACATGGTTTGGTGTGTCTCCATTCAAATCTCAGCTTCAATTGTATCTCCCAGAATTCCCTCGTGTTGCGGGTGGGACCCAGGGGGAGGTAATTGAATCATGGGGGTCGGTCTTTCTCATGCTATTCTTGTGACAGTGAAGAAGTCTCACGGGATCTGATGGGTTTTTCAGGGGTTTCTGCCTCAGGTTCTTCCTCATTCTCTCTTGGCATTGCCATGTAAGAAGTGCCTTTATTCGTATACCATGATTCTGAGGCCTCCACAGCCATGTGGAACTGTCAGTCCAATTAAACCTCCTTTTATTCCCAGTTTCAGGTATCTCTTCTTCAGCAGCGTGAAAATGAACTAAGACAGGAGGTTTGGTCCAAATAACCTTGGCTTCCATGATAGAAGATAGAAGTTGCTGAAATGTTTAATCTTTTCTGTGGCAACCTTTTGCAGTGGGTCTTATTTTTCTCATTTTTTTTTCTTGTTCTCTTCACCTTTGTTTCTCACAGGGTACTCTCGCTCTGTAGACCAGGCTGGAGCGCAGTGGCAGGATCTCAGCTCAACACATCCTCCGCCTCCCAGGTTCAGCCTCTGCAGTAGCTGGGATTACAAGCATGCATCACCACGCTCAGCTAATGTTTTGTATTTTTAGTAGAAGCCAGGCTTCACCATGTTGGCCAGGCTGCTCTCCTACTACAGATCTCAGGTGACCCGCCCGACTCAGCTTCCCAAAATCCAAAGTGCTGGGAATACAGGTGTGAGCCACCGAGCCCAGCCAACTCCAGTACTTTTTACCTAAGCCAGTGGACGAGTGGAGTTGCCTTTATTTTTTTTTTCATGGTCTCGCTGTGTCATCCAGGCTGGAGTGCAGTAGTCTGATCTTGGCTTACTATACAATCTCTGCCACCCATGTTCAGGTGGTTCTCCTACCTCAGCCTCCCAAGTAGCTGGGACCACAGGAAAGTGCCACTAGGTCTGGCTAATTTTTGTATTTTTGGTAGAGACAGCTTTTTGCCATGTTGCCCATGCTAGTCTCCAACTCCTGACCTCAACTGACCCACCAACCTCGGCCTCCCAAAATGTAGAAATTACAACAAGAGCCACGAAGCCTGGCCTGGAGTTGTGGCTTTTTGACATAAGAAATCTGTGGAGGGAAAAGCTTGGTTTGTGGGAGCACCTGAGCTCAGTTTGGCTCAAAGGTTTGGGATACCTATTATTGAGTGGCAGTGATGGTATGTTGTTAATGTACAATATCTTCCTGTATATAGCATACGTCTATGCTCATCAGATATTTTCAGGTAAAAAAAGATAGTCTTTCCAGTAGTTTGAGCCATTATAGCAATTTCCACCAGGGGATTTCAAAGTCCAATTCCAGTTGTGGGCAACAGTGATTAACATAATGGTAATTAATGAGAAGAGATTTTGAGACGTCCAGCCACGTTTCCATGTCAGTGCCTTGTTTGCAGTATTATGAAGAAAGAGTGCATTGGACTAGATACTAAGAAAAACATTGAATTATTTTTCTTGCCTCTATAACATCAAAGGACAATTAGAGATATAGAAACTATGGAACATTTCACAGCATGGCTTGACATTTCACTGAACTTTTATCCTTTTAACCATGTACAAAGTTTGTTACCTATGCAAAGGTAGGACTGCAAAAGGAAGACAGAGGTGGAGTCAGAGGTCACAATCCACAGCAAGGTGACACTCTTGTTGATCGCACCTTGAAAGCCAAATTAGAGCGAGAATTAACTTTCCGGTTGCCGTAAGAGAACAAGGAGAATGAAGCTACCAGCAGTTAACAGTATTGGATTAATTGAAATGAAGGTGGACAGAGTTTTTTGGCTTTCCATCAAATTGAGTAAAGAAAAGGTAACCGCTTATCTAATTTCACACACATACAATTATGGATTAATTAAAAGATTACACAACCCATATATTATGGGTTTCTCATATAAGTGTATATATACATGGGCAAACTCACAGTGTGCCAGTATGTGTCTATATCCAAATATATACAAATCCATGTCCAACAGTTAGCAAGTGAGAAATTCTCTTCCATTTCACCATTCCCTTTCCTAGAATTTTTTCATAAATATAATTTTTCCATATATTTGAAGCCTACTCTCTGGAGGCATGTAATGCATGCATGCAGTAAACCTGTGCGATATCACAATGTTGGTGTCAGAGAAAACTATAACACCGATGTTATAAAAGATTAATTGTGAGGAGAAAGTTATGCTTCGCATTACTACAAATACACAAGTATGATTTCATCCAAAGCTGAAATCAGTCAATATAATTTGTTTTTAATGTTTTATTTAAAATCCTTAATTTCAACAGGATTACTCAAGAAAAATAACGTTATTGGTATTAAATAATGTTGACGTATTCCCTTTAATTGTTGATTATTTAAAATGTCAGTAAAATAGTAAATGGCACTGTACAATGTAGTTTCATGAAGCATTCTTTATAGTTTTCATAAAATTGATAGTCTCCATGGAATATTTTAAGACTGAGGAAGTTCCATATATCATTTGATTGTACTTTCACTTTATTACTTGCTTGCATGTCATAACTGATGGAAATAAAACTATGTATATTTACAAATATGAAAAACATGGATTTTTGTTTACGTTTTCTAGTGAGACACAGTTACCAATAATTTTATCTATATAGGAAAATTTTTACAAACCCAAAGTTCTAATGTTTCTTTTCTTTGAAGTTTCGTATTTCAGTCTAGGTATGTAATGGAATTGGCTGTGATCATTCTTTGATTTCACTGTTATTTGTGAGTTTCTGATATGCTTTTAGGAATGAATAGAGTTTAACGCTTGCTTTCTTCTTCTTCCTCTACCTTTGGACCTGTATATGCGATGTCTGCAGTAATGTGCAGTGCTATCTGACATACGGTTGCTGAAAGATACAAGCATATATAGAATTCTTCGTTTCAGTGAATCTTTAGGAACAGACAAGTAACCTGAGAGATAATTACGGTATGAATGTAAGCAAGCAGTTTATCATAGAGGTACAATAAGGGTGAAAATAAATTTAAAAATACATGCCTCATCCAAAACATGAGGTAGTAAAAATGAAAAATTTAAGTTGGCATAAAGAACACTTTAAAAGTTCTGATTCTTTCTGGTGAGAGCAAGGAGCTCAGAAACCATGAGAAAGTCCTTCAAAGCTGCATGTTGGATTTGCAGGTCAGGATGGAAAGCCTGGGTCTGGGGGAGGGTGCTAAGGTCCTGGTCAGGTTGAGGTCCTTCTGGGGCTCAGGTGTGTCTCAGCGGGAAAGCTGGGAAGGGGAAACGCATGCTTCACCCCGGCTAGAATGCCACCTCAGCCCACCTAGATGAAATTGCCCCTTCACAGCCCTGTTTCTCCTTCTTGGACAGGCAGGTGGAGGAACTCGGCCACCCTGAATACAAGGGGTAGGAAGAAGTTTGCCTTTCATCACAACATTTACTTCGGAAACAAAGTGATGACTAAGGAGTATTGCGTTGGCATCCTCCCTGAGGAGTAGAGGGGGTAGTACCTCGGGAGCTGGGCCTGGCGTGCGCCTTCCTGACTCGTCTCCCTCCAGGATACAGGGCGACTGGCTCCACTGCAGTCCAGTGGTTCTAGGGTCATGCAGGTGAAAGCCCGAGTTTCCCGCAGGTCACTGCCTGAGCTTCTTCAGCTGGTTGTCTGACTGTGAGGGCCCAGGTTACGGCACGATTGCTGAGGTGGGGCAGCTATGGGGCATCATGGCAAAGGACCTTCTTCGACATTCCTTGGCATCGGAGGAATTGGCTTTGAACCAGAACCTGACCTGTCACGACCAATTTGCCCAGTCCACCAGATCATCAGCCAGGGCCTGTGGCTCTATATTCTGCAGCACTACCCAAGGGAGTTAGGCCCTCAGAGAGGGAACAGAGAAGAGGCCAGGGAAGCAGCCCAGGGCTGGGGGTTGACAGGCCTGTGGGTCCTGGAGTTAGGACACACATAGAGAAGCCAAGGCTCAGGGAGGAGACTGCAGTAAGGAAACTCAGGCCATCATGGGCTGGTGGAGAAATGCCCATCAGGGAACTGTGGTACCCACATTTCACGATGGGGGAACCGTAATCTGCTTAATAGGCACAAGTAGCTAAGGTCAATGGGTGGGAAGCCAGGGTCAAGAGATAGCTCCCTCATCATCCCTTGCTAGCTACTTCCCTGTCCTGAGGCTTGCTTCTACCTGGGGTTCAGTTTGGGCTCAACCAGGGATCTCTCACCCTCCACACAGATGCCCACCTGAGGCCTCTCTAGGTCTGCGTCCTCCCAGAATGACTCTCCCAGGCCTGCTAAGTACCGTTTGGATGACACCACGCTCCACTGACATACTTGGTTCCCTCCGCCATCCTCATTCACCCAGCAACTCCCCACCCCAAAAAAGGCAGGCCACCGCACAGGGAATCTGGAGGACCACACAGGGCTCACAGGGGAGGAAATGTGAAGAGATGGCAAAACAGAACAGGACATTCCGTGTGTTTCCAGAAGGCAATCTGGCTGGATATTAAGGCCCACCTCAGTATTGGTGAGGACACCCAGTGTCTCTTGGCCCTGAGCTTGTGCACACAAACACGCACATTGTCTAAACGGCATTGACATCACTACTACCTGAGTCATCCTCAGATTCTATACAACCCCTGTAAAAATATCAATGACACATTCTTCTTAGAAAAACAATCTGGGAATCCCAAATTTGCTATGAAATGGCAGAAGATCCTGAAAACCCAGAGCAATCCAGTAAAAAGCACAAAGCTGGAGCCACCACACTACCTAACTTCATGATATACTACTACAAAACTTTTTGTACCAAAATACAATTGCACTGGCAGAAAAGCAGAGACTAGAGCTTAGGAAAAACAACAGGAGCCCAGAACTAAGTCACTGCATTTGCAGCTCACAGCCTTTTCCCAAAGAAGCAAGAACGCCCAATGCAAAATCAAGTATCTTCTATAAACTAGGTTGGGGAAATCTGAATAGCCACACAAAGGATTTTACAAGTGGATTATTTATCACCAAACTCCAGTGTCAGATGTGAAACGATAAAAATAGCAGAAGAGATCACAAGGAAGAAGCTCCATGGCGTCCGTGTGTGCAATGATGGTCTCAAAGTGACTGCAAGAACACAGTAAACACCATCAAAAATAGAGAATGGAATCATATCAAACTAAAGTGCTTCACCACACCATAGAAAACTCAACATACAGAAGGGGCATCCTACAGGATGGGAGCAATGATTGGATCACCATACATCTGTTCATGGGGGAATAGTCACAGTACATAAGGAACTCCCAACAACTCAATAGCATGAAAACAAATGGGCGAAGGCTGCGAAGACTCATTTGTGAAACTGAGACATACAGTTGCCCAGAAGACACACTAAAAATTCCTCATTATCCCCAATCCATCACGAAAATGCAAATCAAAAACACAATGAGATTTCTTCTCACTTCAGTCAGAATGCATATTATCCGAAAGACAAACAAACAAAAAAAAAAAAAGAAAGAAAAGAAAACCCTAATCTCTGGTGAGGAGGCAGAGAAAACGAATTCCCTGCTCACTTTTGGGGAGAATGTAAATTAGTGCTGGCATTAAAGAAGCTTTATGGCTCTTATTTAAGTATAAACAGCCTTCAGAAATCTACAAGTAGAACCACCCACTATATGATCCAGCAAATCAGAATACCCGGGCACGCCCGCCAGTACACAGATCAGTATGTTGAAGCGGTGCGCGCACCCATGCAATTATTGCTGCACTCATTACATTTTTGCTGTAGCCAAAATGCGGAAGCAACCTGAGAGTCCCTCCATTGATAAGTGGATTAAAAAATGGGGCAAAAACGCATATGCGCAACGTAAATATGCGCTGCAATAAGAAATCAGGAAATCCTGCCAGTTGTGAGAATGTGTGGGAATCTGCTGAATGTGTGCATGCCATTCTGTTAAGTGACATAAGCCAGGTATCAGAAAGGAAAATAGCACATGATCTCATTCTTATATGAAATCAAAAAAGCGGACTTCACAGAAGTAGTGACTCCAATGACTGCGGTGAAGAGGGTGCACTGACGAGATGCTGGATGAAGAACTCATACTTCTAGTTATAAAGGAGGAATAGGTTAAAAATATTTTCTTCAGCATGCTCACTATAACTAGTGGTAACATATTCTTTCTCTAAAAATATTCGAATACAGTGCAGGTCAAGTTTTTTCACAACAAAAATGACAACTATGTGAGGTCACACATATGTTGATTGGCTGGATGTATCCAATGCATAATGTATATGACCTGTTGAACATCACGCCTTAAGTTGTAAATATGTATCATTTCATATGACATTTTTTAAACAAACATACAATTTTTAAAATGCCTTAACAAAATAAATGCAAATAAAATATTTTATTATAAAGCAGTGCTTTTCTTTTCTAGCAAAGTCTTTTTCATGACACAGGAAAGAATGCAAGCCGTTTCGTAACTTGAGAAATAAATACATATGTGTACATGTATATATATACGTATATACATGTATATACGTATATAAATGTGCATATATACGTATATACATGTATATACGTATATATGTGTGTACATAGGTATTCTTATATAGGTATATATATATATGAAAATCCCAATGAATGCTGATGATGAGTTGAAAGATAGAAATTCCAGGCACAGAGGCTATAGTCCATGAATTGAAACCTTCAGTGCATGTTTCAAAACAAGACGTGAGGAGGAGGAAGAAAAAAGCAAAAAACACAAAGCCATGGCAGGGCCATGGGTCACACCTGTCATCCCAGCACTTTGATAAGCTGAGGTGGGAGGATTGCCTGCACTCAGGAGTTCCAGATGAGCCTGGGGCAACATGGACCCACATTCAAAAAGTAAGTATTTAGTTAATTAATACATAGCTTGGAGGGGTGGCATGCACCTGTACTGCCAGGTGTGTGAGAGTCTGAGTTGACAGGATCACATGGGTGTGTGGTGCCTGGGCTGCAGTGGGCTGAGATCGTGGGGCTGCTGTCCAACCTAGAAGACAGAGTAAGACCCATTCTCGGAAAACAAACAAAAAAACAGTCACATTAGGTAAATTAAAACTATGTAGTGTGAGGAGAATCAAAATAAACGAAACATCATTAGAGCCTACGCGATGTGACGAAGGAAACCAGCTTTCACATAATAACAGCCCCGGCTGGGGAGAACAATGAGAAAGGGCAGAGAGAACCCTGTAAATAATACCACGCCAAATTCCCCAAATGAGTTAAAACACATAAAAGTACGAAGAGTGCTTCTTTTCAATTCAATGCCCTTGAATTCAGAATTAGAAAGTAAACCCAGATAGAGAATAGAAACATAGACGATACAGATGGAGAGAGTGTGGTGGGGAAGCAAGGGAAGGATGAAAGGAGGGGTGTAAAGGAAGGAAAAGAAAAAAGGAAGGGAGAGAGAGTGACAGATGTTCAAAGACACAGATACAAAGTCTACAATGGTTGTAGAGATAGGCATGTGCAAATTGTCGCAGGGAGTGTGGAAAAATATCGGAACCACGGAGACATAGGTGGAGTCAGAGAAAATATACAAACCCGCACAGAGAAATAAACATACGCAACCACAAACACACACGTGCTACTTTAAACACGAAAAGACACCAAGTCCCTGTCGGTACAAATCACAGATGTGCTTCCGAGTTACTGAGGCACGGTGCAAATTTGTCAGTGCCCTTAGCATCTGTGGCCCACGTGCACGGATATTCAGTGGAAGAAGCATTACACAGCCTGTATAATTCAGCACGATCTGTGATAATACCAGAAGAAGGGATCTCATGTGAAATCACTAGACTGAATTGCACGTAGGATTCAAGGAAGAAGCCCAGTCTGCTGCATCGACTCCGTGGGGTGGCAATATGGCTGAGCCACCAACCCATGGCACGCCCATCCATCGTAGACAGTTCCTGGTTTGCTACCTGCCTTGGAAAAACCTCCTCCCCTACCACCACTTTAAAAAAGGCTAGCTCCAAAACTAGCCCTGGCATCTATTTACGGTCATTTTCTTATCTATTTACCTCCTAGAAAAATCATTGCAAGACCCTTTCCTCAACATTTTCCTATGCCTTAAATTTGGGGCAACACGTTTTAAGACGACCTCGTTATAGGCAAGTCCCCAGACGTTTCCTAATCTGAGTTGCCCAGAGTGCACACACCAATCTGTTGCCCCATTGCCGCTATAGGGATACCGTACTGGACCACAGTGTCTTTGACATGCACACAGTAGGATACAGGGCAGCTTGAGGGGGCCAAAGGGTTCCGACTGTTTTCAGAATAATTTGCTTAGAACACCTGTTTCTCCTGTGTTTGTGGGTCAGGGGGACGGTAGTCAGAGGAGGACAAGACTCCCGCTCCAGAGCTTCAGAGGTCTGCATAGGAGCAGGGACAAAACCGGGCGATAGATTTTCAAAGCTCAACTGCTTTGACACCGAGCAGGAGGGGTAGAATGCATATTGCAGGCACCACAACAGATTCAGGAACTTTGACTGTCAAACCCTCTTCCCTGAAACAACATAGCTCTTCTCACAGAAGCTGTGCTGACTGGAGTCTATACGGGACAGCAATGTTAGCACTCTAGTAGCGTGTGGTCAACATGGATGCTCGTGTTGGAACTGTTTCATCTGGGAACAGGAAAGAAAGTTCTGCCTCCGACACTGAAATCCTCCTGCCCCATCCTTGACAGAGGCAACCCCTTGTCTTGTGCAGACACACGTGTTCCTGGGAAGCAGCCTCCCACTCGCGAATGAAAGCTGTATGTTTTGTCCTCCTGTGTGAGGCTTGCAAAACATATTCCGCAACTATATTCACTTTACGTTCTAAACCTTAGGCAAACTATGCTGAAGAGGCCACAGAAAATTTAGGGGCCCTGGGTCCAGATACAATCTGCAGTGCCAATCACGAGGGAGAATAGAGCCTCACTAGACTTTGCAAGAGCACAAAATGCACTCGTACTGTTGTTAGCTACATACGTTATTGGCTCCTCACCTAACACAGAATCTTGGAGAAAAGCTTAAAACAACTAAAGATGTAAACATCAACAAGAGTGTCCATATCCTGGGTCATCAAGTGACAAGAGAGTCCATGGATGGATTCTCCAACAATCTTATATTCCACTAATCCACCCCCTTTCCCCTCACTTCTGTAAGTTTCTGTTTTCCCTTAGTCATCTATGCCAAAAGCGTATCCTGAATGCCTTCCCACATGCCTCTGTCACCTTTCCCACAGTCCCTCCATACACCTTACATGCCCATTTCTTCTCACGTTGATGTTTCAGAAGTCCTGAGAGGCTGATTGTCCCAGAAAAGGATCATGCATTCACCTTTAAAAGAACATGTGGATTCAACACGAAAGCGAACTTTAAGATTTCCATCATCCTGTGCTTAGCTACTGTGTATGATGATACCCAAAATGAAGGATTTTGGAGGTCCCAGCAAACTGGGCCCTGGAAACCCAGTAACCCCTTTCCTTGAACTATCTCTGCTTCCATAGGACGAAGTCAGCCTCCAACTAAGCTGTCTTTTGCTTTTACCTCTCCCACTCTGTCCTGTAGGAAGAATCCCAAAACATCCCACACCCATTCACTCTACAACTTTAGAGGCCCAGCTCCAACGCAGACTGGTTATTTCCATGAAGAGAATAAAGCACGTGGATTGATCAATTCATTATGACACCCGAATAAAGTGGATAAACATACACACACAGACACACACACACACAAACACAAAGACACACACACACACACAGACACAGAGTCACACATCCTTGAGAATGTTTATTTTTCATTCCATACAATCCACATTTACCCCCTCTTCCTGAATTTTTGTGACTCGATCTCTTTTTCCTTTAGTTCCTGTGCATAAGACCATGCTGAGTACTGCCGTCCTGCATATGGCTGTAACTTTTTAGGAGTTCTGCTGTATTAGGTAAAATCTGATGCTCCATCATATTCAACTCAACAACTGGGAGTCCCCTAGAGAAACACAAACTCATGTTAAAACGCATTTTCTCTGAGCCATACTTTGAAATGTTTCAATTGTGGGGCCCGCTGAGAAAAGGATATCCCTTCCCCATTTGTGATCCCTTAAACTTCCTCCTACCACGTGTTACAAACTGTTCTGCGCAATCCCTGCCCCATTCCCAGTATTGTCTGTGAGGGGAGTCAGCTAACAAGATGCACTGGACCCTAAAAGCACACACAAGTCTGATGGGGCAACAGCTTAAGGAAATCCATCAATCTAAACAGTCCTTTGTGGTTTGGGGCAAGGATGACCAGGACGCACATTCAGGGAGCCCAATCTCATGGGGTTGGCGGGATGACTGCCGGTGGGGTTGACAGCCGTGGAATCAAGTGCCACAGACTGAACTGAATGATTTTCAGCTTTACTTCTCATTGATTCTGGAAATGGACGATTCTTCACTGGGCTTAAGACTCCACAGCTATCACCCGCTTTGCAGTGCAGTCTCTAACGTGCCTTTTCAGCCCAATGCCATGAACGTCCTGGATTCTGTCACTCTCTGTCTTCCTCTCAAGGAATTTCTACATGTACGAAAGGAGCCTCAATTTCTACATTTCTGAAATGAGCACCCAGGCTCCCTGAATAGGCAGGTGTGTCAACCCCCTTATACTGGGCATCAAACAGCTCCAGTGCCAACTAACGGCTCACCTGACGTCTCTGTTCCCTCTTCAGGTGGCTTCATCCTCTTGTAGTATTGCAGGGGATTGCGCCACAGGTCCTTACATAGGATCTGTCAGGGGACTCAATCGGGAAAGGCCTCATCAGGGCTCAGAAAGGTGACCCAAGCAGCTGGGAACACACGGGGTCATTCCTCATGTTTCCCAGTGAGGACTCACCTCAGCAATCTTGTTAGATCCTGCGAAGTTGTGGTCAGAGAACCAGTTGAAGAAGTTAAGGCTGCTGTTGTGGTGTCTGCGGCGATAGGCCTCCACTTCATAATCCGGATACCACTCAATTGGAGTGGAATGAGAAGCCCTGTATTCTACAGAGACAGGAGTTTTTGTGGGAAGGGGGCTGGATCCCGTTGGCAATGATCCACCCACCATCTTCCTTCCACTACCCATCCTGGGAGCCACCTGTCACCTGTGATGTTCACCAGATATTCCTTGGTAATCACTTTATTCTGGAAGTAGGGGTTACTCCGAAAGAACAACATGATCTTGCAGAGATGAACAGGATGCTTCTCTTCTTCCACCTGTCAGGACAAGGTGGAGAAAGCTTAGATAGGTTTTCGGGTGAGGTGCTCACTCTTGCTTACAGGAATGAATTATTTCCCTTACCCTCCCCCGCTAAACCCTCTAGCCCCAGTCTTCCTGGCCTCACCTCCAGGCTGACCATGTAGCTCAGCATGTCTTCATCTTCGTCAGTGATCAGGGCTGACATCTGGGGGTGGTTTGCAATCTGATTTAGGTCAAAGAGACTTTACACACGATGGAAGGGAAAGCGAGGAGCAACAGGGAAGAAGGCCTAAGAGCACCCAGAGGCTGGGGTAGGGGATTTCTCAGATCTGCTTCCATGTATGATCTCCTTTCGCCTCCCCCTCCCCGTAAACTAAGGCCTCCTGTGTTCACAGAGGGTGTATGATTCTGAGGCTGACTGCACTGACATGGGGAGGCGCGATTTGCAGAGACTTGCTGGTGTCTGAGGAGTGGCAGAATCTGCTTATAGCCGAAGACGCCCAGTCCCAGATCGGACTAGCAAGGGGCAGCAATCACACTCCCTTAAAAATAGCTTCATTCACTGAAAAACCTCTTCCGCTCTGAACTCGCTTCTGCTCTTCAAAAAGATGCCCCAAACGTCTGCTGCTCGGCATCACCAAGGGTTTCTCTGCCGCATGCAGGACAATAGTACCCACGCCTGCTCCGGCTTTCCACAGCCACATTGGTCCGTGGCAACTCCCCTTTGTTCCCCAAAGAGTCACATCGACGCCGAGCTGCCCATCGGTCACTTACACTTCCCCGAGAGCACCTCTCCACTAGAAAGGCCGAAGAAACACTGAGAAGGATACAACATTGGCCCAGAAGCCAGGGACGCTCTGGATGACGGCGCCTCTGCGGTCTAGGTGGGGCTTGCGCCTCCGCTCCATCTTTTCCCGCTGCCGAGAAAAGGCCTTCCTGGCTTGGGCATTAACCGGCTCCAGCTCCACCTGAACGGCCAGCAGCTCCTCCAGTGCAGACTCTGGGGTCATGGGCCCAGGGCCAGGCACAGCCTGCTGTGCCCGCTGGGCCTCCTCCCGCCGCTCCACGAGGCCCTCCTCCTCCGCCACCACCTCCACCTCCGCCATTATGTCATCCAACAGCAGCACCGCCTCCTCCCCCAAAGCCGCCTGCTCACTCTCCACCCCGGCCGCCCCCTCCTGTACAGCCTCCATCCTGAAGGCGGTGCCCTCCTTGGCACTCGCACACACCAAGGCCTGTGCTGCCCGACCCACGCCACAGAAACCCTGCCGCAGCCTCTCTGGCACCCGGTAGGTCAGCGAGCCCTCAGGGCGCATGCGCCGGGCTTCCAGGCGCCCCCTAAGGGACTGCGCGCGAAGGGCCGGGGGGCCGCACCCAGGCCGACTTCCTCCCGTCGTGGCCAGTCAATGGGAGGGCGGTGGGCGTCTCCCTGGGCGGCACAGCCACTGGCGGGCCTGCATCTCCAGCCCCCCCAACCCCCGCCTTCCCTGCCCAAGCCTCCTCCGAGAAGCCCTTGGAGCTTGTGCCGGGTAGCTAGGCATCCGGGCACACGCGGGCTGCGTGGCCTTTGGAATTGTGGGCATGGCAGCCCTGTGCCCTGACATCCTCAGTGTGGCAAGCCATGAACATCTCTATGTGTCATGAACACAGGAAACATCTCTCTTCGTTAGGCAGGCCAGGTAGATGGTACGGAGGTAATACAGCAGATGCAGAGAACTCTCTCTGGTTGCTGGGGCTAGGGCGGCAGGGGTGTCCTGGGGGAAGTGATCGGGGCGGGCACGTGGGAGGAAAGTCGCCTGCCGGTGCTGAGGTGGAATTGATCTGCTGTAGAGGCCAGAGCCCCGGCACACACTCTCACAGGTCGAGGCAAATAGAGGCTCCGAGTACCATGCTTCCTCCCTGAGGATGCTGTACTCCAAGGAGCATTCCAAAGGGCCTCTTGTCCTATGCCCTGGGCACACCAGAGGCCAGCCGCCAGGGTTGGCCATTGTCGGCCTGCGCGCACGCTGTTGTGCGCTGCCTTGACGACCCAGAGGCTCCCGCACCCGCAGCAGCGGTTGCGGTGCCTGTTGGTGGGGCTCTGCAAGCCCAGGGCCGGGGCCTCTGGCTCCCGAGCTCCTGTGCGCAGTTGAGCCTGCTGGGGACCGGAGCCCTTTGGCCAGTGCGGGATCTGCGGGTCCAGCGGAGCTCCTCAGGAAACCTGGGTCCACGTAGGTGTGGGACCAGGTTCACAGCAGGGCGACGCCCGTGGGTCTTGCAGGGAGCGGGTCTGCTGGGGAGCGGGCCCCCAGAGCCTACGGGTGCGGGGCATGGGCTGGGCTGGGCTGGGCTGCGCAGGCCCAGGGTCTGTGGGAGCACCCAGGAGAAAACCGTGTTCAGGCTGGAGGCAATGCTGGAGAGGACGGCCGGGGTACAGAGCAAGGAGGCGGCCTTGGAAGAGGAGGCGGTGCTGAAGGTGGAAGACATCATGGCTGAGGTGGAGGTGGTGGTTGAGGTGGAGCCCGACGTGGGGTGGCAGAAGGAGGGCCAGCGGGCACAGCCTGGCCCTGGACCGAGCACACCGGGGCCGTCAATGGACTCGCTGGAGGTCCTTCACTTGGAGCTGGGCTCCGTGAATGCCCCAGGCCACAGAGCATCTCCGCCTTGTGAGCCAGAGCCATATCCTTGCGGCTGCCGATTTGGGATGGCGGGCAGCAGGGGATAGTCATCGGGCCTCGGGGGGTATGGGGGCTGTTTGCGGGGAGGAGCCAGGTGGGAGGCACGTGGGGTCAGCCAGGAGGCAGGGGATGGGGGACAGCGTGGGAGCCGAGGCCACGTTCCCGCAGCTGTGAGGGCAGCTCGCTTGTAGCAGCCCTGGGAGCACGTGGTAGGGAAGGGGAGCCAGGGCCAGCACTGACAAGGGAGAATCGCGGCGCCAAGGTCCCTTTGCGCACAGCCCAAATTCGAAGGACGCGTTTCCCTGGGAACGTCCCTGGAGGACGGGGAATCTGTATGCCATTACCAGCCATTGAACCACCCCTGCTCTCGGTGCCTGTTTCCAGCAGGCTCACCCCAGAAACACAAGGTGCTTAAGACGGGTTCGCGGCGCATGGGGCTGCCGACCACCTGACGGCGGGCACCAGCTCCGCAGATGCGCATTCATCCAACTGCAGGCGCTGCACTCAAAGGCGTGTAGGCCCTGAGCCTGTATAACTTCCTCTGGACCCACGCAATTCCCTTGGAGAGCGCCAGGCACGACCCTGCTGTGGCTTCTAACTACAAGGCTTCCCTCAGGTGGACAGGCCCACCCCTCAGGGAGACTAGGATAAGAGGACACCACACACCCGGACATCAGCGGAGCATGTCCAGCACCCAGCACACAAAGGCCTCCTGCATCTCAGAAACCCAGAGAAGCAGCCGCCTCACACCACCCCCGGTCCCTCCCGTCCCTCAGCTGCAACCACCTGCCCACTTTTTCTGCCTCCCGTCTCTGGTCAGCCCAGGCCGTCTTGGCCGGGGTCCACCCACTCCAAAAACCACCACAGTTGTGGCGTTGCCTCCTCGCCAGACAGAGATAGAGGGCCAACAATGAAGGGTGACTGGCCAAATGTCTGGGAGATGGCCCTGTTCCACATTGTCTGTGTTCTTGCGAAATTGCAAGGCGTCACGAGGCTTGCCCACCCAATCCTCTGGAGAGTTCTTGCGCAGAGGTAGATTGTTTGGCACACGAGATGTCGGCGTGGGTCGGAAAGCATGCGGAAGTCCTGCTTTGCTACGTGATGGATTTGCAGGTCAGGCTGGGGAGCCTGGGTCTGTGGGAGGAGTCCAGTGTCTGAGTCAGTTTGAGGTCCCCCTGGGGACCAGGGTTGTCTCAGTGGGAGAGCTGGGAAGGGGAAACTCATGGTTCACTACAGCTAGTAGGCCACCTCAGCCCGGCTAGTTGAGATGGTCCCATTGAATCCATCCTCTTTCTCCTTGATCCGGCAGGTGGAGGAACTCAGCCATCCCGGTTACCGGTGGCAGGATGATTTCCTTTCATCCCAACCTTTATTTCCACAGTGAAATCATCATGAAGGAGCACTGTGTTGGCATCCTCGGTAAGGAATGCCTCCCAGCATGGTAGGGGAGCTGGTGTGTGGGAGGGTGGGACTGGCATGAACCTTCCTGACTCCTCTCCCTGCAGGCTACAGGGTGTCTCATTCCACTGCAGTCCAGCGGTTCTGGGATCACGAAGGTCAAGCCTCCAGCTGCAGGCAGTACACCTCCTACCTGAGCTCATTCAGCTGTTTGGCTGAACATGACTGCCCGGGTTTTGGCAGGATTGCTGAGGTGGGGTTCGCCGTGGGGCATCATGGGAAAGGACCTAGCTGGTCATTCCTTGGTCTCTGGGGAATTGGCTTTGAACTGTCACCTGAACTGTCCTGGACCCACTTCTGCAGTCCCCTAGATCATCAGCCAGGGCCTATGGCTCAATCCATTGCAGTTCTATCCCATGGAGAGAGGGTCAGCCCTAGAGGCGGAACAGAGAGGAGGCCAGGCGAGCAGCCTAGGGCTGGGAAGGGCTGGGAACTGAGAGGCCTTTTGACCTGGATCTGGGCCCCACATGGAGAACCCAAGGATCCGGGAGGAGACTGCAGTGAGCAATCCCAGGCAATCCGTGGGTTGGGGGAGAGAGGCCCATCAGGGACATGTAACACCCACATTTCAGGATCGGGGCACCTTAAGCCACTATGATGCATATGTGGCTAAAGTCAGTGGGTGACAAGCAGGGCTTAAGGGATAGCTGTCTCATCATTACTCGCCAGCTCCCTGCCCTGCGGTAAGACCTGCTACCACCTGGGGCTCATTTTGAGATCAACCAGGGCCCCCTTTTTCTCCACGAGGATGTCCACCTGAGGCCCACCTAGGTCTGTGTCCTTTCACAGTGTTTCTCCCAGGCCAGTCATGTTTTGTTTCCATGACCCCGGCTGCCTTGACATGTGTAATCCTCTCTGCCATCCTCACTCCCGCTGCCCTGCCTTCCCATATAAGTTAGTCCACCTCACACGGAATCTGGAGGACCACACTGGGCTCCAGTGTGAGGCAATGTTTTATTTTCTTCAGGTACATGTATTTTAGGGCTACCTCCAGGGCTGGGAATGTGAAGAGATTGCCAAATGGCTGGGGACCTTCAGTGTGTGTCCAGGGAGGGAACCCGGCTGGGAATTAAGGCCCACCTGAGTAATGGTATGGACATCCAGTGTCAGTTATCTTGATAAAGGCCTGCTTTCTTACATCACCTACTATTAATATAAAAGTTAATTCCTTAGAATATTGAAAAAACAAATCTATGTATGAAGAAATATAATTTGTTCATAATTGTATGGAAAAAGCTGCCGACCGATCCATTTTCCATTACAATTCTTATGGGAGACTTGAAGGGTTTAGCAAGTTTTAAGATGCATTTCTATTCGTCTACTCCTGCCAGTTTTTATGATCATTTTTGTAATACAAGGACATGGCCTCTGGAAAGTTTTTGAGGGACTTTCAGCTTCTTTTAGGGTAGATACTTGTAAATTTTGAATTGTTTTCCCCTGCGGTTCTTTTGAGGTTACTCTTTGTACTTTCTTTGGGGGGTGTTAAATTTGTTTTCTTCTTTTGCCCTTGTGGAACTTTCGTTTTCAAGGAATTGTGTGTGTTTGTGTGTGTGTGTGTGTGTGTGTGTGTGTCTGTGTGTTAGATATGGGAGATAGCCTGTGAGCATGTTTTCGAATATGGATTTTTTTTTTACTTATCAATTTTGGGGGTGTGTGTGTGTGTGTGTGTGTGTGTGTGTGTTTGTTTCTTTTCAGTTGGAGTCTCACTGTGTCATCCAGGCTGCAGTCAAGTGGCAAACTCTCAGATCACTGCAACCTCTCCCTCCAGCTTCAAAGGATTCCTCTGCCTGCTGATGCTGCTTTTCCCCCACATGAGGAGAACATGCAGACAGTTATAAAAAATTCTGTGCCTGGGTAGGTATGAAAATATAATTTCAATGAATGGTAAATTTCACAAATACAGTTTCACATTTGTATTTTGCAACATTTTGAAAATTTTAGTTGCTGACACATGAAATTCTGTGTTGACTTTCATGTTAAATGTACACTTTTGAATCAATTTCAACAGTGACAACTAGCGAAGGCCAAGCGTTCGTTCAGGAAGCTGAAAGCAGTCGTTCTGTAAAAAAAACCATATTTATTGAAGGTATATTTAGAGAGATTTTAGAAGGCTTCAGTCAATATTTTTGTTTCTGTTGCTCTGGTGTTTTATCATACAGGGACCAGACTGTAGCATCAGTAGCTATAGTTACAAGGCTACCAAAGACTCAGTGCTATAGAAATTATTATTGTGGAAATTGGCAGCCTGGCTGTCTGTTTGAGGAGACTAGAGGACTTAGGAGTTTCCACCCAAAGTACAAGGGCCTGGTTTAGTGGGTGGCCTTCTTTTGCTGAAGTAGATAAGATCCAGGAGAAGGGTGGATTCACTGTAGTAGCCAGGGCTTTGAGACTGGTAAAGCTTATTTGTCTCCTAGTGCCATTGCCAGATATTGGTCTGTGCATAAAGGCACTTCCCGGACTCGCTGACTCCTGTAAATTCAAATGTAGAATTTAGATTTAAATCCCTATTCCAACTTCTTAAACTTAGATCTAATAGGTGGTTAATAAAATATGTATTCAGAAGAAAGGGAGACGTCAGGTAGGTATATAAGCAAATCATCCTGGTCAAATACCTTCAAAAATATTACTACAAAAAATTACTGAAGATTAAACCTTAAAAAAGTTATTTTAATTGGAGAAACAGAAAAAGGTTGGAGTCATTTTAAACCCTGAGGTGTAAAGGTACTGTTATTAGATTACAGGAATTATATACAATGAATAATTTGTGGGAAGAGCAGCATACTATCTCTTTAGTATGGCTAGAGATTCATAAGCCGTGTAAGAAAACTCAGAGATTGAGAAGAAAATGTTTTCAGGGATTTTGTTCTGTTATGAAAGACTTTTAAAATGGTTTCCTACTGATCAATGATTCACTTATATTTATCACTGAGGCATATGCTATATACCCTTCTATATAGGGATGAAGTTATAGTTTCTATCATGTAGATACAAAAACATGTGACTCTGTACCACATTTGCATTAGAGCCTTTGGCATGATTAATGAAGCAAACGGTGGAACTGTCTACGTCAGGTTACAGGTGGGCACAGCTGGAAGCTTCCGTCCCTTGCACTTTAACATTTCTGCATTCTCATCTGTCTCTCCTGGAAAGAAAACGGACTATAACTATCCTAAAGGACATATGTTACATGAAGACACTAAGTATTGAGATAAGACCATGAGTTGTCTTATCAGTGTCTTGGCATTACATTTATATGTATAACTTATACAAAAAATCCAGTTTATTTTATCACGATTACATATTACATCCCACATTTATGTATTTTATTATCTTTCCAGTGACTGTTTTGTTTTGTTTTGTTTTGTTTTGTTTTGAAATCTCGTTCCACTCTGTCACTCAGTCTGGAATGCAGTGGCCTGATCTCAGCTCACTGCAACCTCCATCTCTTGGGTTCAAGGATTTTAAAAATTAGTAAAGAATTTTCAATTGAGTTAGCAGAAGTAAAAATAAACTTAAGTGGAAATAGAACAACAAAATTGTAAACACTATTTCTCAGCAATTCATAGATTATCATACTAGGAATTGAAATGTACTTAGAACTCAATGATACCGCCAATATTAAAGATTAAATCTGTGAGTAGCAAGAAAAGTGATATTACAATAGGAGTTTACAGACAAATATTTCTCTAATAACTTGAAAATTAATGTACTAGATATTTCAATAAAGAATTAGAAAAGAAACAACAGAATCAATTCTGAAAAACTAAAGTGTGGGAATAATGATGTAGACAAAATTAGTAAAACATACAAAGCTAACCTTTGCTTGTTGGAGAAATATAATAAGTGATGCAACCGTCAGTCAAGTTTAGAAAAAAAGGGAGAAAACATAGATAAAACTAAGAATTTAAAAGGTACACAACCATAGATACAGCATAGATTAAGAAGCTAATAAGGAAATATCGTTAACACCTTAACCTACAAATTTGAAAACTTAGGTCAAATAGACAGATATTTATAATCTGTCTATATATATAGACATATATATCGCTTTCTATATATATTTTCATATTTATACATAATTTTTATATTTGTATCTTACATTTATATATATAATATATAAACATAAGCTATGTATATAGCTTAGTAAAATTGATACAAGAAGACATATATAATCTGTATAGTCTCATAAATGTTCAAGGAAATAAAGGATTCTTCCTAGAGATAAAACGCTAGGCTCAGATTTTTTTCCCCAGGCAGAGCATTTCAATATATATGAAGAATTCTATAGAATAAAAAAGGGAAAATCCTAAACTCATTGTGTGAAGCAAGCAGAACTTTGACGCCAACAAGACATAAACTGAGTGTAGAAAAAGATATGAAAATTAAGGCCATTCTCATTCCTGAAGCAAATCGTAAAATCCCAAATGTAACAAGATTTATGTGGATTCTTTGAGGGTTAGAAGGAAATTTCCTTCTGCCAGATCCTGCTACTCTGGGACAACCCACACACAAATTTATGTTTTGAGATTTTCTGTAATACCCATGCAATATGGAACTGGCTTGACAATCTGTGTGATAGCCAGCCTGTGGCCATGACTTCTTAGGGACACAAATCTTTTCTGTTTGCCTCCTTGTTCTGCTCAGCTCCAAGAGAACTTTGACCAAAGTTCCTTGAGCTTGGAAATAGGAATGGGTTTGCTTCTGTTTCACCCTTACTGTGAAGATACAGTCCGGTGGAATCCAGATCCACTGGGAGAGAGTCGGCTATTAAACTCTTTTCATGAGTAGTCCCTAGGCCTTGACTGGAGTCTTTCTTGAGATATGAGGCTAATAGTTCCTTCTTGGTCCACCACTTTTTGATATAATTAATGCTTCTTCTATTGGGAATTTTTAATTGTTTGGGAAGTGACATGGTTTGGTGTGTCTCCATTCAAATCTCAGCTTCAATTGTATCTCCCAGAATTCCCTCGTGTTGCGGGTGGGACCCAGGGGGAGGTAATTGAATCATGGGGGTCGGTCTTTCTCATGCTATTCTTGTGACAGTGAAGAAGTCTCACGGGATCTGATGGGTTTTTCAGGGGTTTCTGCCTCAGGTTCTTCCTCATTCTCTCTTGGCATTGCCATGTAAGAAGTGCCTTTATTCGTATACCATGATTCTGAGGCCTCCACAGCCATGTGGAACTGTCAGTCCAATTAAACCTCCTTTTATTCCCAGTTTCAGGTATGTCTTCTTCAGCAGCGTGAAAATGAACTAAGACAGGAGGTTTGGTCCAAATAACCTTGGCTTCCATGACAGAAGATAGAAGTTGCTGAAATGTTTAATCTTTTCTGTGGCAACCTTTTGCAGTGGGTCTTATTTTTCTCATTTTTTTTTCTTGTTCTCTTCACCTTTGTTTCTCACAGGGTACTCTCGCTCTGTAGACCAGGCTGGAGCGCAGTGGCAGGATCTCGGCTCAACACATCCTCCGCCTCCCAGGTTCAGCCTCTGCAGTAGCTGGGATTACAAGCATGCATCACCACGCTCAGCTAATGTTTTGTATTTTTAGTAGAAGCCAGGCTTCACCATGTTGGCCAGGCTGCTCTCCTACTACAGATCTCAGGTGACCCGCCCGACTCAGCTTCCCAAAATCCAAAGTGCTGGGAATACAGGTGTGAGCCACCGAGCCCAGCCAACTCCAGTACATTTTACCTAAGCCAGTGGACGAGTGGAGTTGCCTTTATTTTTTTCTTTTTCAGTCATGGTCTCGCTGTGTCATCCAGGCTGGAGTGCAGTAGTCTGATCTTGGCTTACTATACAATCTCTGCCACCCATGTTCAGGTGGTTCTCCTGCCTCAGCCTCCCAAGTAGCTGGGACCACAGGAAAGTGCCACTAGGTCTGGCTAATTTTTGTATTTTTGGTAGAGACAGCTTTTTGCCATGTTTCCCATGCTGGTCTCCAACTCCTGACCTCAAGTGACCCACCAACCTCGGCCTCCCAAAATGTAGAAATTACAACAAGAGCCACGAAGCCTGGCCTGGAGTTGTGGCTTTTTGACATAAGAAATCTGTGGAGGGAAAAGCTTGGTTTGTGGGAGCACCCGAGCTCAGTTTGGCTCAAAGGTTTGGGATACCTATTATTGAGTGGCAGTGATGGTATGTTGTTAATGTACAATATGTTCCTGTATATAGCATACGTCTATGCTCATCAGATATTTTCAGGTAAAAAAAGATAGTCTTTCCAGTAGTTTGAGCCATTATAGCAATTTCCACCAGGGGATTTCAAAGTCCAATTCCAGTTGTGGGCAACAGTGATTAACATAATGGTAATTAATGAGAAGAGATTTTGAGACGTCCAGCCACGTTTCCATGTCAGTGCCTTGTTTGCAGTATTATGAAGAAAGAGTGCATTGGACTAGATACTAAGAAAAACATTGAATTATTTTTCTTGCCTCTATAACATCAAAGGACAATTAGAGATATAGAAACTATGGAACATTTCACAGCATGGCTTGACATTTCACTGAACTTTTATCCTTTTAACCATGTACAAAGTTTGTTACCTATGCAAAGGTAGGACTGCAAAAGGAAGACAGAGGTGGAGTCAGAGGTCACAATCCACAGCAAGGTGACACTCTTGTTGATCGCACCTTGAAAGCCAAATTAGAGCGAGAATTAACTTTCCGGTTGCCGTAAGAGAACAAGGAGAATGAAGCTACCAGCAGTTAACAGTATTGGATTAATTGAAATGAAGGTGGACAGAGTTTTTTGGCTTTCCATCAAATTGAGTAAAGAAAAGGTAACCGCTTATCTAATTTCACACACATACAATTATGGATTAATTAAAAGATTACACAACCCATATATTATGGGTTTCTCATATAAGTGTATATATACATGGGCAAACTCACAGTGTGCCAGTATGTGTCTATATCCAAATATATACAAATCCATGTCCAACAGTTAGCAAGTGAGAAATTCTCTTCCATTTCACCATTCCCTTTCCTAGAATTTTTTCATAAATATAATTTTTCCATATATTTGAAGCCTACTCTCTGGAGGCATGTAATGCATGCATGCAGTAAACCTGTGCGATATCACAATGTTGGTGTCAGAGAAAACTATAACACCGATGTTATAAAAGATTAATTGTGAGGAGAAAGTTATGCTTCGCATTACTACAAATACACAAGTATGATTTCATCCAAAGCTGAAATCAGTCAATATAATTTGTTTTTAATGTTTTATTTAAAATCCTTAATTTCAACAGGATTACTCAAGAAAAATAACGTTATTGGTATTAAATAATGTTGACGTATTCCCTTTAATTGTTGATTATTTAAAATGTCAGTAAAATAGTAAATGGCACTGTACAATGTAGTTTCATGAAGCATTCTTTATAGTTTTCATAAAATTGATAGTCTCCATGGAATATTTTAAGACTGAGGAAGTTCCATATATCATTTGATTGTACTTTCACTTTATTACTTGCTTGCATGTCATAACTGATGGAAATAAAACTATGTATATTTACAAATATGAAAAACATGGATTTTTGTTTACGTTTTCTAGTGAGACACAGTTACCAATAATTTTATCTATATAGGAAAATTTTTACAAACCCAAAGTTCTAATGTTTCTTTTCTTTGAAGTTTCGTATTTCAGTCTAGGTATGTAATGGAATTGGCTGTGATCATTCTTTGATTTCACTGTTATTTGTGAGTTTCTGATATGCTTTTAGGAATGAATAGAGTTTAACGCTTGCTTTCTTCTTCTTCCTCTACCTTTGGACCTGTATATGCGATGTCTGCAGTAATGTGCAGTGCTATCTGACATACGGTTGCTGAAAGATACAAGCATATATAGAATTCTTCGTTTCAGTGAATCTTTAGGAACAGACAAGTAACCTGAGAGATAATTACGGTATGAATGTAAGCAAGCAGTTTATCATAGAGGTACAATAAGGGTGAAAATAAATTTAAAAATACATGCCTCATCCAAAACATGAGGTAGTAAAAATGAAAAATTTAAGTTGGCATAAAGAACACTTTAAAAGTTCTGATTCTTTCTGGTGAGAGCAAGGAGCTCAGAAACCATGAGAAAGTCCTTCAAAGCTGCATGTTGGATTTGCAGGTCAGGATGGAAAGCCTGGGTCTGGGGGAGGGTGCTAAGGTCCTGGTCAGGTTGAGGTCCTTCTGGGGCTCAGGTGTGTCTCAGCGGGAAAGCTGGGAAGGGGAAACGCATGCTTCACCCCGGCTAGAATGCCACCTCAGCCCACCTAGATGAAATTGCCCCTTCACAGCCCTGTTTCTCCTTCTTGGACAGGCAGGTGGAGGAACTCGGCCACCCTGAATACAAGGGGTAGGAAGAAGTTTGCCTTTCATCACAACATTTACTTCGGAAACAAAGTGATGACTAAGGAGTATTGCGTTGGCATCCTCCCTGAGGAGTAGAGGGGGTAGTACCTCGGGAGCTGGGCCTGGCGTGCGCCTTCCTGACTCGTCTCCCTCCAGGATACAGGGCGACTGGCTCCACTGCAGTCCAGTGGTTCTAGGGTCATGCAGGTGAAAGCCCGAGTTTCCCGCAGGTCACTGCCTGAGCTTCTTCAGCTGGTTGTCTGACTGTGAGGGCCCAGGTTACGGCACGATTGCTGAGGTGGGGCAGCTATGGGGCATCATGGCAAAGGACCTTCTTCGACATTCCTTGGCATCGGAGGAATTGGCTTTGAACCAGAACCTGACCTGTCACGACCAATTTGCCCAGTCCACCAGATCATCAGCCAGGGCCTGTGGCTCTATATTCTGCAGCACTACCCAAGGGAGTTAGGCCCTCAGAGAGGGAACAGAGAAGAGGCCAGGGAAGCAGCCCAGGGCTGGGGGTTGACAGGCCTGTGGGTCCTGGAGTTAGGACACACATAGAGAAGCCAAGGCTCAGGGAGGAGACTGCAGTAAGGAAACTCAGGCCATCATGGGCTGGTGGAGAAATGCCCATCAGGGAACTGTGGTACCCACATTTCACGATGGGGGAACCGTAATCTGCTTAATAGGCATAAGTAGCTAAGGTCAATGGGTGGGAAGCCAGGGTCAAGAGATAGCTGCCTCATCATCCCTTGCTAGCTACTTCCCTGTCCTGAGGCTTGCTTCTACCTGGGGTTCAGTTTGGGCTCAACCAGGGATCTCTCACCCTCCACACAGATGCCCACCTGAGGCCTCTCTAGGTCTGCGTCCTCCCAGAATGACTCTCCCAGGCCTGCTAAGTACCGTTTGGATGACACCACGCTCCACTGACATACTTGGTTCCCTCCGCCATCCTCATTCACCCAGCAACTCCCCACCCCAAAAAAGGCAGGCCACCGCACAGGGAATCTGGAGGACCACACAGGGCTCACAGGGGAGGAAATGTGAAGAGATGGCAAAACAGAACAGGACATTCCGTGTGTTTCCAGAAGGCAATCTGGCTGGATATTAAGGCCCACCTCAGTATTGGTGAGGACACCCAGTGTCTCTTGGCCCTGAGCATGTGCACACAAACACGCACATTGTCTAAACGGCATTGACATCACTACTACCTGAGTCATCCTCAGATTCTATACAACCCCTTTAAAAATATCAATGACACATTCTTCTTAGAAAACAATCTGGGAATCCCAAATTTGCTATGAAATGGCAGAAGATCCTGAAAACCCAGAGCAATCCAGTAAAAAGCACAAAGCTGGAGCCACCCCACTACCTAACTTCATGATATACTACTACAAAACTTTTTGTACCAAAATACAATAGCACTGGCAGAAAAGCAGAGACTAGAGCTTAGGAAAAACAACAGGAGCCCAGAACTAAGTCACTGCATTTGCAGCTCACAGCCTTTTCCCAAAGAAGCAAGAACGCCCAATGCAAAATCAAGTATCTTCTATAAACTAGGTTGGGGAAATCTGAATAGCCACACAAAGGATTTTACAAGTGGATTATTTATCACCAAACTCCAGTGTCAGATGTGAAACGATAAAAATAGCAGAAGAGATCACAAGGAAGAAGCTCCATGGCGTCCGTGTGTGCAATGATGGTCTCAAAGTGACTGCAAGAACACAGTAAACACCATCAAAAATAGAGAATGGAATCATATCAAACTAAAGTGCTTCACCACACCATAGAAAACTCAACATACAGAAGGGGCATCCTACAGGATGGGAGCAATGATTGGATCACCATACATCTGTTCATGGGGGAATAGTCACAGTACATAAGGAACTCCCAACAACTCAATAGCATGAAAACAAATGGGCGAAGGCTGCGAAGACTCATTTGTGAAACTGAGACATACAGTTGCCCAGAAGACACACTAAAAATTCCTCATTATCCCCAATCCATCACGAAAATGCAAATCAAAAACACAATGAGATTTCTTCTCACTTCAGTCAGAATGCATATTATCCGAAAGACAAACAAACAAAAAAAAAAAAAAGAAAGAAAAGAAAACCCTAATCTCTGGTGAGGAGGCAGAGAAAACGAATTCCCTGCTCACTTTTGGGGAGAATGTAAATTAGTGCTGGCATTAAAGAAGCTTTATGGCTCTTATTTAAGTATAAACAGCCTTCAGAAATCTACAAGTAGAACCACCCACTATATGATCCAGCAAATCAGAATACCCGGGCACGCCCGCCAGTACACAGATCAGTATGTTGAAGCGGTGCGCGCACCCATGCAATTATTGCTGCACTCATTACATTTTTGCTGTAGCCAAAATGCGGAAGCAACCTGAGTGTCCCTCCATTGATAAGTGGATTAAAAAATGGGGCAAAAACGCATATGCGCAACGGAAATATGCGCTGCAATAAGAAATCAGGAAATCCTGCCAGTTGTGAGAATGTGTGGGAATCTGCTGAATGTGTGCATGCCATTCTGTTAAGTGACATAAGCCAGGTATCAGAAAGGAAAATAGCACATGATCTCATTCTTATATGAAATCAAAAAAGCGGACTTCACAGAAGTAGTGACTCCAATGACTGCGGTGAAGAGGGTGCACTGACGAGATGCTGGATGAAGAACTCATACTTCTAGTTATAAAGGAGGAATAGGTTAAAAATATTTTCTTCAGCATGCTCACTATAACTAGTGGTAACATATTCTTTCTCTAAAAATATTCGAATACAGTGCAGGTCAAGTTTTTTCACAACAAAAATGACAACTATGTGAGGTCACACATATGTTGATTGGCTGGATGTATCCAATGCATAATGTATATGACCTGTTGAACATCACGCCTTAAGTTGTAAATATGTATCATTTCATATGACATTTTTTAAACAAACATACAATTTTTAAAATGCCTTAACAAAATAAATGCAAATAAAATATTTTATTATAAAGCAGTGCTTTTCTTTTCTAGCAAAGTCTTTTTCATGACACAGGAAAGAATGCAAGCCGTTTCGTAACTTGAGAAATAAATACATATGTGTACATGTATATATATACGTATATACATGTATATACGTATATAAATGTGCATATATACGTATATACATGTATATACGTATATATGTGTGTACATAGGTATTCTTATATAGGTGTATATATATATGAAAATCCCAATGAATGCTGATGATGAGTTGAAAGATAGAAATTCCAGGCACAGAGGCTATAGTCCATGAATTGAAACCTTCAGTGCATGTTTCAAAACAAGACGTGAGGAGGAGGAAGAAAAAAGCAAAAAACACAAAGCCATGGCAGGGCCATGGGTCACACCTGTCATCCCAGCACTTTGATAAGCTGAGGTGGGAGGATTGCCTGCACTCAGGAGTTCCAGATGAGCCTGGGGCAACATGGACCCACATTCAAAAAGTAAGTATTTAGTTAATTAATACATAGCTTGGAGGGGTGGCATGCACCTGTACTGCCAGGTGTGTGAGAGTCTGAGTTGACAGGATCACATGGGTGTGTGGTGCCTGGGCTGCAGTGGGCTGAGATCGTGGGGCTGCTGTCCAACCTAGAAGACAGAGTAAGACCCATTCTCGGAAAACAAACAAAAAAACAGTCACATTAGGTAAATTAAAACTATGTAGTGTGAGGAGAATCAAAATAAACGAAACATCATTAGAGCCTACGCGATGTGATGAAGGAAACCAGCTTTCACATAATAACAGCCCCGGCTGGGGAGAACAATGAGAAAGGGCAGAGAGAACCCTGTAAATAATACCACGCCAAATTCCCCAAATGAGTTAAAACACATAAAAGTACGAAGAGTGCTTCTTTTCAATTCAATGCCCTTGAATTCAGAATTAGAAAGTAAACCCAGATAGAGAATAGAAACATAGACGATACAGATGGAGAGAGTGTGGTGGGGAAGCAAGGGAAGGATGAAAGGGGTGTAAAGGAAGGAAAAGAAAAAAGGAAGGGAGAGAGAGTGACAGATGTTCAAAGACACAGATACAAAGTCTACAATGGTTGTAGAGATAGGCATGTGCAAATTGTCGCAGGGAGTGTGGAAAAATATCGGAACCACGGAGACACAGGTGGAGTCAGAGAAAATATACAAACCCGCACAGAGAAATAAACATACGCAACCACAAACACACACGTGCTACTTTAAACACGAAAAGACACCAAGTCCCTGTCGGTACAAATCACAGATGTGCTTCCGAGTTACTGAGGCACGGTGCAAATTTGTCAGTGCCCTTAGCATCTGTGGCCCACGTGCACGGATATTCAGTGGAAGAAGCATTACACAGCCTGTATAATTCAGCACGATCTGTGATAATACCAGAAGAAGGGATCTCATGTGAAATCACTAGACTGAATTGCACGTAGGATTCAAGGAAGAAGCCCAGTCTGCTGCATTCACTCGGTGGGGTGGCAATATGGCTGAGCCACCAACCCGTGGCACGCCCATCCATCGTAGACAGTTCCTGGTTTGCTACCTGCCTTGGAAAAAGCTCCTCCCCTACCACCACTTTAAAACAGGCTAGCTCCAAAACTAGCCCTGGCATCTATTTACGGTCATTTTCTTATCTATTTACCTCCTAGAAAAATCATTGCAAGACCCTTTCCTCAACATTTTCCTATGCCTTAAATTTGGGGCAACACGTTTTAAGACGACCTCGTTATAGGCAAGTCCCCAGACGTTTCCTAATCTGAGTTGCCCAGAGTGCACACACCAATCTGTTGCCCCATTGCCGCTATAGGGATACCGTACTGGACCACAGTGTCTTTGACATGCACACAGTAGGATACAGGGCAGCTTGAGGGGGCCAAAGGGTTCCGACTGTTTTCAGAATAATTTGCTTAGAACACCTGTTTCTCCTGTGTTTGTGGGTCAGGGGGACGGTAGTCAGAGGAGGACAAGACTCCCGCTCCAGAGCTTCAGAGGTCTGCATAGGAGCAGGGACAAAACCGGGCGATAGATTTTCAAAGCTCAACTGCTTTGACACCGAGCAGGAGGGGTAGAATGCATATTGCAGGCACCACAACAGATTCAGGAACTTTGACTGTCAAACCCTCTTCCCTGAAACAACATAGCTCTTCTCACAGAAGCTGTGCTGACCAGAGTCTATACGGGACAGCAATGTTAGCACTCTAGTAGCGTGTGGTCAACATGGATGCTCGTGTTGGAACTGTTTCATCTGGGAACAGGAAAGAAAGTTCTGCCTCCGACACTGAAATCCTCCTGCCCCATCCTTGACAGAGGCAACCCCTTGTCTTGTGCAGACACACGTGTTCCTGGGAAGCAGCCTCCCACTCGCGAATGAAAGCTGTATGTTTTGTCCTCCTGTGTGAGGCTTGCAAAACATATTCCGCAACTATATTCGCTTTACGTTCTAAACCTTAGGCAAACTATGCTGAAGAGGCCACAGAAAATTTAGGGGCCCTGGGTCCAGATACAATCTGCAGTGCCAATCACGAGGGAGAATAGAGCCTCACTAGACTTTGCAAGAGCACAAAATGCACTCGTACTGTTGTTAGCTACATACGTTATTGGCTCCTCACCTAACACAGAATCTTGGAGAAAAGCTTAAAACAACTAAAGATGTAAACATCAACAAGAGTGTCCATATCCTGGGTCATCAAGTGACAAGAGAGTCCATGGATGGATTCTCCAACAATCTTATATTCCACTAATCCACCCCCTTTCCCCTCACTTCTGTAAGTTTCTGTTTTCCCTTAGTCATCTCTGCCAAAAGCGTATCCTGAATGCCTTCC
The DNA here is from genome assembly GCF_000001405.40 of Homo sapiens. NCBI lineage: Eukaryota > Metazoa > Chordata > Mammalia > Primates > Hominidae > Homo > Homo sapiens. Next base: position 370,443 of record NW_025791821.1, on the reverse strand, counting down.
CACATGCCTCTGTCACCTTTCCCACAGTCCCTCCATACACCTTACATGCCCATTTCTTCTCACGTTGATGTTTCAGAAGTCCTGAGAGGCTGATTGTCCCAGAAAAGGATCATGCATTCACCTTTAAAAGAACATGTGGATTCAACACGAAAGCGAACTTTAAGATTTCCATCATCCTGTGCTTAGCTACTGTGTATGATGATACCCAAAATGAAGGATTTTGGAGGTCCCAGCAAACTGGGCCCTGGAAACCCAGTAACCCCTTTCCTTGAACTATCTCTGCTTCCACAGGACGAAGTCAGCCTCCAACTAAGCTGTCTTTTGCTTTTACCTCTCCCACTCTGTCCTGTAGGAAGAATCCCAACACATCCCACACCCATTCACTCTACAACTTTAGAGGCCCAGCTCCAACGCAGACTGGTTATTTCCATGAAGAGAATAAAGCACGTGGATTGATCAATTCATTATGACACCCGAATAAAGTGGATAAACATACACACACACACACACACACACACACAAACACAAAGACACACACACACACACACAGACACAGAGTCACACATCCTTGAGAATGTTTATTTTTCATTCCATACAATCCACATTTACCCCCTCTTCCTGAATTTTTGTGACTCGATCTCTTTTTCCTTTAGTTCCTGTGCATAAGACCATGCTGAGTACTGCCGTCCTGCATATGGCTGTAACTTTTTAGGAGTTCTGCTGTATTAGGTAAAATCTGATGCTCCATCATATTCAACTCAACAACTGGGAGTCCCCTAGAGAAACACAAACTCATGTTAAAACGCATTTTCTCTGAGCCATACTTTGAAATGTTTCAATTGTGGGGCCCGCTGAGAAAAGGATATCCCTTCCCCATTTGTGATCCCTTAAACTTCCTCCTACCACGTGTTACAAACTGTTCTGCGCAATCCCTGCCCCATTCCCAGTATTGTCTGTGAGGGGAGTCAGCTAACAAGATGCACTGGGCCCTAAAAGCACACACAAGTCTGATGGGGCAACAGCTTAAGGAAATCCATCAATCTAAACAGTCCTTTGTGGTTTGGGGCAAGGATGACCAGGACGCACATTCAGGGAGCCCAATCTCATGGGGTTGGTGGGATGACTGCCGGTGGGGTTGACAGCCGTGGAATCAAGTGCCACAGACTGAACTGAATGATTTTCAGCTTTACTTCTCATTGATTCTGGAAATGGACGATTCTTCACTGGGCTTAAGACTCCACAGCTATCACCCGCTTTGCAGTGCAGTCTCTAACGTGCCTTTTCAGCCCAATGCCATGAACGTCCTGGATTCTGTCACTCTCTGTCTTCCTCTCAAGGAATTTCTACATGTACGAAAGGAGCCTCAATTTCTACATTTCTGAAATGAGCACCCAGGCTCCCTGAATAGGCAGGTGTGTCAACCCCCTTATACTGGGCATCAAACAGCTCCAGTGCCAACTAACGGCTCACCTGACGTCTCTGTTCCCTCTTCAGGTGGCTTCATCCTCTTGTAGTATTGCAGGGGATTGCGCCACAGGTCCTTACATAGGATCTGTCAGGGGACTCAATCGGGAAAGGCCTCATCAGGGCTCAGAAAGGTGACCCAAGCAGCTGGGAACACACGGGGTCATTCCTCATGTTTCCCAGTGAGGACTCACCTCAGCAATCTTGTTAGATCCTGCGAAGTTGTGGTCAGAGAACCAGTTGAAGAAGTTAAGGCTGCTGTTGTGGTGTCTGCGGCGATAGGCCTCCACTTCATAATCCGGATACCACTCAATTGGAGTGGAATGAGAAGCCCTGTATTCTACAGAGACAGGAGTTTTTGTGGGAAGGGGGCTGGATCCCGTTGGCAATGATCCACCCACCATCTTCCTTCCACTACCCATCCTGGGAGCCACCTGTCACCTGTGATGTTCACCAGATATTCCTTGGTAATCACTTTATTCTGGAAGTAGGGGTTACTCCGAAAGAACAACATGATCTTGCAGAGATGAACACGATGCTTCTCTTCTTCCACCTGTCAGGACAAGGTGGAGAAAGCTTAGATAGGTTTTCGGGTGAGGTGCTCACTCTTGCTTACAGGAATGAATTATTTCCCTTACCCTCCCCCGCTAAACCCTCTAGCCCCAGTCTTCCTGGCCTCACCTCCAGGCTGACCATGTAGCTCAGCATGTCTTCATCTTCGTCAGTGATCAGGGCTGACATCTGGGGGTGGTTTGCAATCTGATTTAGGTCAAAGAGACTTTACACACGATGGAAGGGAAAGCGAGGAGCAACAGGGAAGAAGGCCTAAGAGCACCCAGAGGCTGGGGTAGGGGATTTCTCAGATCTGCTTCCATGTATGATCTCCTTTCGCCTCCCCGTCCCCGTAAACTAAGGCCTCCTGTGTTCACAGAGGGTGTATGATTCTGAGGCTGACTGCACTGACATGGGGAGGCGCGATTTGCAGAGACTTGCTGGTGTCTGAGGAGTGGCAGAATCTGCTTATAGCCGAAGACGCCCAGTCCCAGATCGGACTAGCAAGGGGCAGCAATCACACTCCCTTAAAAATAGCTTCATTCACTGAAAAACCTCTTCCGCTCTGAACTCGCTTCTGCTCTTCAAAAAGATGCCCCAAACGTCTGCTGCTCGGCATCACCAAGGGTTTCTCTGCCGCATGCAGGACAATAGTACCCACGCCTGCTCCGGCTTTCCACAGCCACACTGGTCCGTGGCAACTCCCCTTTGTTCCCCAAAGAGTCACATCGACGCCGAGCTGCCCATCGGTCACTTACACTTCCCCGAGAGCACCTCTCCACTAGAAAGGCCGAAGAAACACTGAGAAGGATACAACATTGGCCCAGAAGCCAGGGACGCTCTGGATGACGGCGCCTCTGCGGTCTAGGTGGGGCTTGCGCCTCCGCTCCATCTTTTCCCGCTGCCGAGAAAAGGCCTTCCTGGCTTGGGCATTAACCGGCTCCAGCTCCACCTGAACGGCCAGCAGCTCCTCCAGTGCAGACTCTGGGGTCATGGGCCCAGGGCCAGGCACAGCCTGCTGTGCCCGCTGGGCCTCCTCCCGCCGCTCCACGAGGCCCTCCTCCTCCGCCACCACCTCCACCTCCGCCATTATGTCATCCAACAGCAGCACCGCCTCCTCCCCCAAAGCCGCCTGCTCACTCTCCACCCCGGCCGCCCCCTCCTGTACAGCCTCCATCCTGAAGGCGGTGCCCTCCTTGGCACTCGCACACACCAAGGCCTGTGCTGCCCGACCCACGCCACAGAAACCCTGCCGCAGCCTCTCTGGCACCCGGTAGGTCAGCGAGCCCTCAGGGCGCATGCGCCGGGCTTCCAGGCGCCCCCTAAGGGACTGCGCGCGAAGGGCCGGGGGGCCGCACCCAGGCCGACTTCCTCCCGTCGTGGCCAATCAATGGGAGGGCGGTGGGCGTCTCCCTGGGCGGCACAGCCACTGGCGGGCCTGCATCTCCAGCCCCCCCACCCCCCGCCTTCCCTGCCCAAGCCTCCTCCGAGAAGCCCTTGGAGCTTGTGCCGGGTAGCTAGGCATCCGGGCACACGCGGGCTGCGTGGCCTTTGGAATTGTGGGCATGGCAGCCCTGTGCCCTGACATCCTCAGTGTGGCAAGCCATGAACATCTGTGTCATGAACACAGGAAACATCTCTCTTCGTTAGGCAGGCCAGGTAGATGGTACGGAGGTAATACAGCAGATGCAGAGAACTCTCTCTGGTTGCTGGGGCTAGGGCGGCAGGGGTGTCCTGGGGGAAGTGATCGGGGCGGGCACGTGGGAGGAAAGTCGCCTGCCGGTGCTGAGGTGGAATTGATCTGCTGTAGAGGCCAGAGCCCCGGCACACACTCTCACAGGTCGAGGCAAATAGAGGCTCCGAGTACCATGCTTCCTCCCTGAGGATGCTGTACTCCAGGGAGCATTCCAAAGGGCCTCTTGTCCTATGCCCTGGGCACACCAGAGGCCAGCCGCCAGGGTTGGCCATTGTTGGCCTGCGCACGCTGTTGTGCGCTGCCTTGACGACCCAGAGGCTCCCGCACCCGCAGCAGCGGTTGCGGTGCCTGTTGGTGGGGCTCTGCAAGCCCAGGGCCGGGGCCTCTGGCTCCCGAGCTCCTGTGCGCAGTTGAGCCTGCTGGGGACCGGAGCCCTTTGGCCAGTGCGGGATCTGCGGGTCCAGCGGAGCTCCTCAGGAAACCTGGGTCCACGTAGGTGTGGGACCAGGTTCACAGCAGGGCGACGCCCGTGGGTCTTGCAGGGAGCGGGTCTGCTGGGGAGCGGGCCCCCAGAGCCTACGGGTGCGGGGCATGGGCTGGGCTGGGCTGGGCTGCGCAGGCCCAGGGTCTGTGGGAGCACCCAGGAGAAAACCGTGTTCAGGCTGGAGGCAATGCTGGAGAGGACGGCCGGGGTACAGAGCAAGGAGGCGGCCTTGGAAGAGGAGGCGGTGCTGAAGGTGGAAGACATCATGGCTGAGGTGGAGGTGGTGGTTGAGGTGGAGCCCGACGTGGGGTGGCAGAAGGAGGGCCAGCGGGCACAGCCTGGCCCTGGACCGAGCACACCGGGGCCGTCAATGGACTCGCTGGAGGTCCTTCACTTGGAGCTGGGCTCCGTGAATGCCCCAGGCCACAGAGCATCTCCGCCTTGTGAGCCAGAGCCATATCCTTGCGGCTGCCGATTTGGGATGGCGGGCAGCAGGGGATAGTCATCGGGCCTCGGGGGGTATGGGGGCTGTTTGGGGGGAGGAGCCAGGTGGGAGGCACGTGGGGTCAGCCAGGAGGCAGGGGATGGGGGACAGCGTGGGAGCCGAGGCCACGTTCCCGCAGCTGTGAGGGCAGCTCGCTTGTAGCAGCCCTGGGAGCACGTGGTAGGGAAGGGGAGCCAGGGCTAGCACTGACAAGGGAGAATCGCGGCGCCAAGGTCCCTTTGCGCACAGCCCAAATTCGAAGGACGCGTTTCCCTGGGAACGTCCCTGGAGGACGGGGAATCTGTATGCCATTACCAGCCATTGAACCACCCCTGCTCTCGGTGCCTGTTTCCAGCAGGCTCACCCCAGAAACACAAGGTGCTTAAGACGGGTTCGCGGCGCATGGGGCTGCCGACCACCTGACGGCGGGCACCAGCTCCGCAGATGCGCATTCATCCAACTGCAGGCGCTGCACTCAAAGGCGTGTAGGCCCTGAGCCTGTATAACTTCCTCTGGACCCACGCAATTCCCTTGGAGAGCGCCAGGCACGACCCTGCTGTGGCTTCTAACTACAAGGCTTCCCTCAGGTGGACAGGCCCACCCCTCAGGGAGACTAGGATAAGAGGACACCACACACCCGGACATCAGCGGAGCATGTCCAGCACCCAGCACACAAAGGCCTCCTGCATCTCAGAAACTCAGAGAAGCAGCCGCCTCACACCACCCCCGGTCCCTCCCGTCCCTCAGCTGCAACCACCTGCCCACTTTTTCTGCCTCCCGTCTCTGGTCAGCCCAGGCCGTCTTGGCCGGGGTCCACCCACTCCAAAAACCACCACAGTTGTGGCGTTGCCTCCTCGCCAGACAGAGATAGAGGGCCAACAATGAAGGGTGACTGGCCAAATGTCTGGGAGATGGCCCTGTTCCACATTGTCTGTGTTCTTGCGAAATTGCAAGGCGTCACGAGGCTTGCCCACCCAATCCTCTGGAGAGTTCTTGCGCAGAGGTAGATTGTTTGGCACACGAGATGTCGGCGTGGGTCGGAAAGCATGCGGAAGTCCTGCTTTGCTACGTGATGGATTTGCAGGTCAGGCTGGGGAGCCTGGGTCTGTGGGAGGAGTCCAGTGTCTGAGTCAGTTTGAGGTCCCCCTGGGGACCAGGGTTGTCTCAGTGGGAGAGCTGGGAAGGGGAAACTCATGGTTCACTACAGCTAGTAGGCCACCTCAGCCCAGCTAGTTGAGATGGTCCCATTGAATCCATCCTCTTTCTCCTTGATCCGGCAGGTGGAGGAACTCAGCCATCCCGGTTACCGGTGGCAGGATGATTTCCTTTCATCCCAACCTTTATTTCCACAGTGAAATCATCATGAAGGAGCACTGTGTTGGCATCCTCGGTAAGGAATGCCTCCCAGCATGGTAGGGGAGCTGGTGTGTGGGAGGGTGGGACTGGCATGAACCTTCCTGACTCCTCTCCCTGCAGGCTACAGGGTGTCTCATTCCACTGCAGTCCAGCGGTTCTGGGATCACGAAGGTCAAGCCTCCAGCTGCAGGCAGTACACCTCCTACCTGAGCTCATTCAGCTGTTTGGCTGAACATGACTGCCCGGGTTTTGGCAGGATTGCTGAGGTGGGGTTCGCCATGGGGCATCATGGGAAAGGACCTAGCTGGTCATTCCTTGGTCTCTGGGGAATTGGCTTTGAACTGTCACCTGAACTGTCCTGGACCCACTTCTGCAGTCCCCTAGATCATCAGCCAGGGCCTATGGCTCAATCCATTGCAGTTCTATCCCATGGAGAGAGGGTCAGCCCTAGAGGCGGAACAGAGAGGAGGCCAGGCGAGCAGCCTAGGGCTGGGAAGGGCTGGGAACTGAGAGGCCTTTTGACCTGGATCTGGGCCCCACATGGAGAACCCAAGGATCCGGGAGGAGACTGCAGTGAGCAATCCCAGGCAATCCGTGGGTTGGGGGAGAGAGGCCCATCAGGGACATGTAACACCCACATTTCAGGATCGGGGCACCTTAAGCCACTATGATGCATATGTGGCTAAAGTCAGTGGGTGACAAGCAGGGCTTAAGGGATAGCTGTCTCATCATTACTCGCCAGCTCCCTGCCCTGCGGTAAGACCTGCTACCACCTGGGGCTCATTTTGAGATCAACCAGGGCCCCCTTTTTCTCCATGAGGATGTCCACCTGAGGCCCACCTAGGTCTGTGTCCTTTCACAGTGTTTCTCCCAGGCCAGTCATGTTTTGTTTCCATGACCCCGGCTGCCTTGACATGTGTAATCCTCTCTGCCATCCTCACTCCCGCTGCCCTGCCTTCCCATATAAGTTAGTCCACCTCACACGGAATCTGGAGGACCACACTGGGCTCCAGTGTGAGGCAATGTTTTATTTTCTTCAGGTACATGTATTTTAGGGCTACCTCCAGGGCTGGGAATGTGAAGAGATTGCCAAATGGCTGGGGACCTTCAGTGTGTGTCCAGGGAGGGAACCCGGCTGGGAATTAAGGCCCACCTGAGTAATGGTATGGACATCCAGTGTCAGTTATCTTGATAAAGGCCTGCTTTCTTACATCACCTACTATTAATATAAAAGTTAATTCCTTAGAATATTGAAAAAACAAATCTATGTATGAAGAAATATAATTTGTTCATAATTGTATGGAAAAAACTGCCGACTGATCCATTTTCCATTACAATTCTTATGGGAGACTTGAAGTGTTCAGCAAGTTTTAAGATGCATTTCTATTCGTCTACTCCTGCCAGTTTTTATGATCATTTTTGTAATACAAGGACATGGCCTCTGGAAAGTTTTTGAGGGACTTTCAGCTTCTTTTAGGGTAGATACTTGTAAATTTTGAATTGTTTTCCCCTGCGGTTCTTTTGAGGTTACTCTTCGTACTTTCTTTGGGGGGTGTTAAATTTGTTTTCTTGTTTCGCCCTTGTGGAACTTTCGTTTTCAAGGAATTGTGTGTGTGTGTGTGTGTGTGTGTGTGTGTGTGTGTGTGTTAGATATGGGAGTTAGCCTGTGAGCATGTTTTCGAATACGGATTTTTTTTACTTATCAATTTTGGGGGTGTGTGTGTGTGTGTGTGTGTGTGTGTGTGTGTGTTTGTTTCTTTTCAGTTGGAGTCTCACTGTGTCATCCAGGCTGCAGTCAAGTGGCAAACTCTCAGATCACTGCAACCTCTCCCTCCAGCTTCAAAGGATTCCTCTGCCTGCTGATGCTGTTTTTCCCCCACATGAGGAGAACATGCAGACAGTTATAAAAAATTCTGTGCCTGGGTAGGTATGAAAATATAATTTCAATGAATGGTAAATTTCACAAATACAGTTTCACATTTGTATTTTGCAACATTTTGAAAATTTTAGTTGCTGACACATGAAATTCTGTGTTGACTTTCATGTTAAATGTACACTTTTGAATCAATTTCAACAGTGACAACTAGCGAAGGCCAAGCGTTAGTTCAGGAAGCTGAAAGCAGTCGTTCTGTAAAAAAAAACGATATTTATTGAAGGTATATTTAGAGAGATTTTAGAAGGCTTCAGTCAATATTTTTGTTTCTGTTGCTCTGGTGTTTTATCATACAGGGACCAGACTGTAGCATCAGTAGCTATAGTTACAAGGCTACCAAAGACTCAGTGCTATAGAAATTATTATTGTGGAAATTGGCAGCCTGGCTGTCTGTTTGAGACTAGAGGACTTAGGAGTTTCCACCCAAAGTACAAGGGCCTGGTTTAGTGGGTGGCCTTCTTTTGCTGAAGTAGATAAGATCCAGGAGAAGGGTGGATTCACTGTAGTAGCCAGGGCTTTGAGACTGGTAAAGCTTATTTGTCTCCTAGTGCCATTGCCAGATATTGGTCTGTGCATAAAGGCACTTCCCCGACTCGCTGACTCCTGTAAATTCAAATGTAGAATTTAGATTTAAATCCCTATTCCAACTTCTTAAACTTAGATCTAATAGGTGGGTAATAAAATATGTATTCAGAAGAAAGGGAGACGTCAGGTAGGTATATAAGCAAATCATCCTGGTCAAATACCTTCAAAAATATTACTACAAAAAATTACTGAAGATTAAACCTTAAAAAAGTTATTTTAATTGGAGAAACAGAAAAAGGTTGGAGTCATTTTAAACCCTGAGGTGTAAAGGTACTGTTATTAGATTACAGGAATTATATACAATGAATAATTTGTGGGAAGAGCAGCATACTATCTCTTTAGTATGGCTAGAGATTCATAAGCCGTGTAAGAAAACTCAGAGATTGAGAAGAAAATGTTTTCAGGGATTTTGTTCTGTTATGAAAGACTTTTAAAATGGTTTCCTACTGATCAATGATTCACTTATATTTATCACTGAGGCATATGCTATATACCCTTCTATATAGGGATGAAGTTATAGTTTCTATCATGTAGATACAAAAACATGTGACTCTGTACCACATTTGCATTAGAGCCTTTGGCATGATTAATGAAGCAAACGGTGGAACTGTCTACGTCAGGTTACAGGTGGGCACAGCTGGAAGCTTCCGTCCCTTGCACTTTAACATTTCTGCATTCTCATCTGTCTCTCCTGGAAAGAAAACGGACTATAACTATCCTAAAGGACATATGTTACATGAAGACACTAAGTATTGAGATAAGACCATGAGTTGTCTTATCAGTGTCTTGGCATTACATTTATATGTATAACTTATACAAAAAATCCAGTTTATTTTATCACGATTACATATTACATCCCACATTTATGTATTTTATTATCTTTCCAGTGACTGTTTTGTTTTGTTTTGTTTTGTTTTGTTTTGAAATCTCGTTCCACTCTGTCACTCAGTCTGGAATGCAGTGGCCTGATCTCAGCTCACTGCAACCTCCATCTCTTGGGTTCAAGGATTTTAAAAATTAGTAAAGAATTTTCAATTGAGTTAGCAGAAGTAAAAATAAACTTAAGTGGAAATAGAACAACAAAATTGTAAACACTATTTCTCAGCAATTCATAGATTATCATACTAGGAATTGAAATGTACTTAGAACTCAATGATACCGCCAATATTAAAGATTAAATCTGTGAGTAGCAAGAAAAGTGATATTACAATAGGAGTTTACAGACAAATATTTCTCTAATAACTTGAAAATTAATGTACTAGATATTTCAATAAAGAATTAGAAAAGAAACAACAGAATCAATTCTGAAAAACTAAAGTGTGGGAATAATGATGTAGACAAAATTAGTAAAACATACAAAGCTAACCTTTGCTTGTTGGAGAAATATAATAAATGATGCAACCGTCAGTCAAGTTTAGAAAAAAAGGGAGAAAACATAGATAAAACTAAGAATTTAAAAGGTACACAACCATAGATACAGCATAGATTAAGAAGCTAATAAGGAAATATCGTTAACACCTTAACCTACAAATTTGAAAACTTAGATCAAATAGACAGATATTTATAATCTGTCTCTATATATAGACATATATATCGCTTTCTATATATATTTTCATATTTATACATAATTTTTATATTTGTATCTTACATTTATATATATAATATATAAACATAAGCTATGTATATAGCTTAGTAAAATTGATACAAGAAGACATATATAATCTGTATAGTCTCATAAATGTCCAAGGAAATAAAGGATTCTTCCTAGAGATAAAACGCTAGGCTCAGATTTTTTTCCCCAGGCAGAGCATTTCAATATATATGAAGAATTCTATAGAATAAAAAAGGGAAAATCCTAAACTCATTGTGTGAAGCAAGCAGAACTTTGACGCCAACAAGACATAAACTGAGTGTAGAAAAAGATATGAAAATTAAGGCCATTCTCATTCCTGAAGCAAATCGTAAAATCCCAAATGTAACAAGATTTATGTGGATTCTTTGAGGGTTAGAAGGAAATTTCCTTCTGCCAGATCCTGCTACTCTGGGACAACCCACACACAAATTTATGTTTTGAGATTTTCTGTAATACCCATGCAATATGGAACTGGCTTGACAATCTGTGTGATAGCCAGCCTGTGGCCATGACTTCTCAGGGACACAAATCTTTTCTGTTTGCCTCCTTGTTCTGCTCAGCTCCAAGAGAACTTTGACCAAAGTTCCTTGAGCTTGGAAATAGGAATGGGTTTGCTTCTGTTTCACCCTTACTGTGAAGATACAGTCCGGTGGAATCCAGATCCACTGGGAGAGAGTCGGCTATTAAACTCTTTTCATGAGTAGTCCCTAGGCCTTGACTGGAGTCTTTCTTGAGATATGAGGCTAATAGTTCCTTCTTGGTCCACCACTTTTTGATATAATTAATGCTTCTTCTATTGGGAATTTTTAGTTGTTTGGGAAGTGACATGGTTTGGTGTGTCTCCATTCAAATCTCAGCTTCAATTGTATCTCCCAGAATTCCCTCGTGTTGCGGGTGGGACCCAGGGGGAGGTAATTGAATCATGGGGGTCGGTCTTTCTCATGCTATTCTTGTGACAGTGAAGAAGTCTCACGGGATCTGATGGGTTTTTCAGGGGTTTCTGCCTCAGGTTCTTCCTCATTCTCTCTTGGCATTGCCATGTAAGAAGTGCCTTTATTCGTATACCATGATTCTGAGGCCTCCACAGCCATGTGGAACTGTCAGTCCAATTAAACCTCCTTTTATTCCCAGTTTCAGGTATGTCTTCTTCAGCAGCGTGAAAATGAACTAAGACAGGAGGTTTGGTCCAAATAACCTTGGCTTCCATGACAGAAGATAGAAGTTGCTGAAATGTTTAATCTTTTCTGTGGCAACCTTTTGCAGTGGGTCTTATTTTTCTCATTTTTTTTTCTTGTTCTCTTCACCTTTGTTTCTCACAGGGTACTCTCGCTCTGTAGACCAGGCTGGAGCGCAGTGGCAGGATCTCAGCTCAACACAACCTCCGCCTCCCAGGTTCAGCCTCTGCAGTAGCTGGGATTACAAGCATGCATCACCACGCTCAGCTAATGTTTTGTATTTTTAGCAGAAGCCAGGCTTCACCATGTTGGCCAGGCTGCTCTCCTACTACAGATCTCAGGTGACCCGCCCGACTCAGCTTCCCAAAATCCAAAGTGCTGGGAATACAGGTGTGAGCCACCGAGCCCAGCCAACTCCAGTACTTTTTACCTAAGCCAGTGGACGAGTGGAGTTGCCTTTATTTTTTTTTTTTCTTTTTTCAGTCATGGTCTCGCTGTGTCATCCAGGCTGGAGTGCAGTAGTCTGATCTTGGCTTACTATACAATCTCTGCCACCCATGTTCAGGTGGTTCTCCTGCCTCAGCCTCCCAAGTAGCTGGGACCACAGGAAAGTGCCACTAGGTCTGGCTAATTTTTGTATTTTTGGTAGAGACAGCTTTTTGCCATGTTGCCCATGCTGGTCTCCAACTCCTGACCTCAAGTGACCCACCAACCTCGGCCTCCCAAAATGTAGAAATTACAACAAGAGCCACGAAGCCTGGCCTGGAGTTGTGGCTTTTTGACATAAGAAATCTGTGGAGGGAAAAGCTTGGTTTGTGGGAGCACCCGAGCTCAGTTTGGCTCAAAGGTTTGGGATACGTATTATTGAGTGGCAGTGATGGTATGTTGTTAATGTACAATATGTTCCTGTATATAGCATATGTCTATGCTCATCAGATATTTTCAGGTAAAAAAAGATAGTCTTTCCAGTAGTTTGAGCCATTATAGCAATTTCCACCAGGGGATTTCAAAGTCCAATTCCAGTTGTGGGCAACAGTGATTAACATAATGGTAATTAATGAGAAGAGATTTTGAGACGTCCAGCCACGTTTCCATGTCAGTGCCTTGTTTGCAGTATTATGAAGAAAGCGTGCATTGGACTAGATACTAAGAAAAACATTGAATTATTTTTCTTGCCTCTATAACATCAAAGGACAATTAGAGATATAGAAACTATGGAACATTTCACAGCATGGCTTGACATTTCACTGAACGTTTATCCTTTTAACCATGTACAAAGTTTGTTACCTATGCAAAGGTAGGACTGCAAAAGGAAGACAGAGGTGGAGTCAGAGGTCACAATCCACAGCAAGGTGACACTCTTGTTGATCGCACCTTGAAAGCCAAATTAGAGCGAGAATTAACTTTCCGGTTGCCGTAAGAGAACAAGGAGAATGAAGCTACCAGCAGTTAACAGTATTGGATTAATTGAAATGAAGGTGGACAGAGTTTTTTGGCTTTCCATCAAATTGAGTAAAGAAAAGGTAACCGCTTATCTAATTTCACACACATACAATTATGGATTAATTAAAAGATTACACAACCCATATATTATGGGTTTCTCATATAAGTGTATATATACATGGGCAAACTCACAGTGTGCCAGTATGTGTCTATATCCAAATATATACAAATCCATGTCCAACAGTTAGCAAGTGAGAAATTCTCTTCCATTTCACCATTCCCTTTCCTAGAATTTTTTCATAAATATAATTTTTCCATATATTTGAAGCCTACTCTCTGGAGGCATGTAATGCATGCATGCAGTAAACCTGTGCGATATCACAATGTTGGTGTCAGAGAAAACTATAACACCGATGTTATAAAAGATTAATTGTGAGGAGAAAGTTATGCTTCGCATTACTACAAATACACAAGTATGATTTCATCCAAAGCTGAAATCAGTCAATATAATTTGTTTTTAATGTTTTATTTAAAATCCTTAATTTCAACAGGATTACTCAAGAAAAATAACGTTATTGGTATTAAATAATGTTGACGTATTCCCTTTAATTGTTGATTATTTAAAATGTCAGTAAAATAGTAAATGGCACTGTACAATGTAGTTTCATGAAGCATTCTTTATAGTTTTCATAAAATTGATAGTCTCCACGGAATATTTTAAGACTGAGGAAGTTCCATATATCATTTGATTGTACTTTCACTTTATTACTTGCTTGCATGTCATAACTGATGGAAATAAAACTATGTATATTTACAAATATGAAAAACATGGATTTTTGTTTACGTTTTCTAGTGAGACACAGTTACCAATAATTTTATCTATATAGGAAAATTTTTACAAACCCAAAGTTCTAATGTTTCTTTTCTTTGAAGTTTCGTATTTCAGTCTAGGTATGTAATGGAATTGGCTGTGATCATTCTTTGATTTCACTGTTATTTGTGAGTTTCTGATATGCTTTTAGGAATGAATAGAGTTTAACGCTTGCTTTCTTCTTCTTCCTCTACCTTTGGACCTGTATATGCGATGTCTGCAGTAATGTGCAGTGCTATCTGACATACGGTTGCTGAAAGATACAAGCATATATAGAATTCTTCGTTTCAGTGAATCTTTAGGAACAGACAAGTAACCTGAGAGATAATTACGGTATGAATGTAAGCAAGCAGTTTATCATAGAGGTACAATAAGGGTGAAAATAAATTTAAAAATACATGCCTCATCCAAAACATGAGGTAGTAAAAATGAAAAATTTAAGTTGGCATAAAGAACACTTTAAAAGTTCTGATTCTTTCTGGTGAGAGCAAGGAGCTCAGAAACCATGAGAAAGTCCTTCAAAGCTGCATGTTGGATTTGCAGGTCAGGATGGAAAGCCTGGGTCTGGGGGAGGGCGCTAAGGTCCTGGTCAGGTTGAGGTCCTTCTGGGGCTCAGGTGTGTCTCAGCGGGAAAGCTGGGAAGGGGAAACGCATGCTTCACCCCGGCTAGAATGCCACCTCAGCCCACCTAGATGAAATTGCCCCTTCACAGCCCTGTTTCTCCTTCTTGGACAGGCAGGTGGAGGAACTCGGCCACCCTGAATACAAGGGGTAGGAAGAAGTTTGCCTTTCATCACAACATTTACTTCGGAAACAAAGTGATGACTAAGGAGTATTGCATTGGCATCCTCCCTGAGGAGTAGAGGGGGTAGTACCTCGGGAGCTGGGCCTGGCGTGCGCCTTCCTGACTCGTCTCCCTCCAGGATACAGGGTGACTGGCTCCACTGCAGTCCAGTGGTTCTAGGGTCATGCAGGTGAAAGCCCGAGTTTCCCGCAGGTCACTGCCTGAGCTTCTTCAGCTGGTTGTCTGACTGTGAGGGCCCAGGTTACGGCACGATTGCTGAGGTGGGGCAGCTATGGGGCATCATGGCAAAGGACCTTCTTCGACATTCCTTGGCATCGGAGGAATTGGCTTTGAACCAGAACCTGACCTGTCACGACCAATTTGCCCAGTCCACCAGATCATCAGCCAGGGCCTGTGGCTCTATATTCTGCAGCACTACCCAAGGGAGTTAGGCCCTCAGAGAGGGAACAGAGAAGAGGCCAGGGAAGCAGCCCAGGGCTGGGGGTTGACAGGCCTGTGGGTCCTGGAGTTAGGACACACATAGAGAAGCCAAGGCTCAGGGAGGAGACTGCAGTAAGGAAACTCAGGCCATCATGGGCTGGTGGAGAAATGCCCATCAGGGAACTGTGGTACCCACATTTCACGATGGGGGAACCGTAATCTGCTTAATAGGCATAAGTAGCTAAGGTCAATGGGTGGGAAGCCAGGGTCAAGAGATAGCTGCCTCATCATCCCTTGCTAGCTACTTCCCTGTCCTGAGGCTTGCTTCTACCTGGGGTTCAGTTTGGGCTCAACCAGGGATCTCTCACCCTCCACACAGATGCCCACCTGAGGCCTCTCTAGGTCTGCGTCCTCCCAGAATGACTCTCCCAGGCCTGCTAAGTACCGTTTGGATGACACCACGCTCCACTGACATGCTTGGTTCCCTCCGCCATCCTCATTCACCCAGCAACTCCCCACCCCAAAAAAGGCAGGCCACCGCACAGGGAATCTGGAGGACCACACAGGGCTCACAGGGGAGGAAATGTGAAGAGATGGCAAAACAGAACAGGACATTCCGTGTGTTTCCAGAAGGCAATCTGGCTGGATATTAAGGCCCACCTCAGTATTGGTGAGGACACCCAGTGTCTCTTGGCCCTGAGCTTGTGCACACAAACACGCACATTGTCTAAACGGCATTGACATCACTACTACCTGAGTCATCCTCAGATTCTATACAACCCCTGTAAAAATATCAATGACACATTCTTCTTAGAAAAACAATCTGGGAATCCCAAATTTGCTATGAAATGGCAGAAGATCCTGAAAACCCAGAGCAATCCAGTAAAAAGCACAAAGCTGGAGCCACCACACTACCTAACTTCATGATATACTACTACAAAACTTTTTGTACCAAAATACAATAGCACTGGCAGAAAAGCAGAGACTAGAGCTTAGGAAAAACAACAGGAGCCCAGAACTAAGTCACTGCATTTGCAGCTCACAGCCTTTTCCCAAAGAAGCAAGAACGCCCAATGCAAAATCAAGTATCTTCTATAAACTAGGTTGGGGAAATCTGAATAGCCACACAAAGGATTTTACAAGTGGATTATTTATCACCAAACTCCAGTGTCAGATGTGAAACGATAAAAATAGCAGAAGAGATCACAAGGAAGAAGCTCCATGGCGTCCGTGTGTGCAATGATGGTCTCAAAGTGACTGCAAGAACACAGTAAACACCATCAAAAATAGAGAATGGAATCATATCAAACTAAAGTGCTTCACCACACCATAGAAAACTCAACATACAGAAGGGGCATCCTACAGGATGGGAGCAATGATTGGATCACCATACATCTGTTCATGGGGGAATAGTCACAGTACATAAGGAACTCCCAACAACTCAATAGCATGAAAACAAATGGGCGAAGGCTGCGAAGACTCATTTGTGAAACTGAGACATACAGTTGCCCAGAAGACACACTAAAAATTCCTCATTATCCCCAATCCATCACGAAAATGCAAATCAAAAACACAATGAGATTTCTTCTCACTTCAGTCAGAATGCATATTATCCGAAAGACAAACAAACAAAAAAAAAAAAGAAAGAAAAGAAAACCCTAATCTCTGGTGAGGAGGCAGAGAAAACGAATTCCCTGCTCACTTTTGGGGAGAATGTAAATTAGTGCTGGCATTAAAGAAGCTTTATGGCTCTTATTTAAGTATAAACAGCCTTCAGAAATCTACAAGTAGAACCACCCACTATATGATCCAGCAAATCAGAATACCCGGGCACGCCCGCCAGTACACAGATCAGTATGTTGAAGCGGTGCGCGCACCCATGCAATTATTGCTGCACTCATTACATTTTTGCTGTAGCCAAAATGCGGAAGCAACCTGAGTGTCCCTCCATTGATAAGTGGATTAAAAAATGGGGCAAAAACGCATATGCGCAACGGAAATATGCGCTGCAATAAGAAATCAGGAAATCCTGCCAGTTGTGAGAATGTGTGGGAATCTGCTGAATGTGTGCATGCCATTCTGTTAAGTGACATAAGCCAGGTATCAGAAAGGAAAATAGCACATGATCTCATTCTTATATGAAATCAAAAAAGCGGACTTCACAGAAGTAGTGACTCCAATGACTGCGGTGAAGAGGGTGCACTGACGAGATGCTGGATGAAGAACTCATACTTCTAGTTATAAAGGAGGAATAGGTTAAAAATATTTTCTTCAGCATGCTCACTATAACTAGTGGTAACATATTCTTTCTCTAAAAATATTCGAATACAGTGCAGGTCAAGTTTTTTCACAACAAAAATGACAACTATGTGAGGTCACACATATGTTGATTGGCTGGATGTATCCAATGCATAATGTATATGACCTGTTGAACATCACGCCTTAAGTTGTAAATATGTATCATTTCATATGACATTTTTTAAACAAACATACAATTTTTAAAATGCCTTAACAAAATAAATGCAAATAAAATATTTTATTATAAAGCAGTGCTTTTCTTTTCTAGCAAAGTCTTTTTCATGACACAGGAAAGAATGCAAGCCGTTTCGTAACTTGAGAAATAAATACATATGTGTACATGTATATATATACGTATATACATGTATATACGTATATAAATGTGCATATATACGTATATACATGTATATACGTATATATGTGTGTACATAGGTATTCTTATATAGGTGTATATATATATGAAAATCCCAATGAATGCTGATGATGAGTTGAAAGATAGAAATTCCAGGCACAGAGACTATAGTCCATGAATTGAAACCTTCAGTGCATGTTTCAAAACAAGACGTGAGGAGGAGGAAGAAAAAAGCAAAAAACACAAAGCCATGGCAGGGCCATGGGTCACACCTGTCATCCCAGCACTTTGATAAGCTGAGGTGGGAGGATTGCCTGCACTCAGGAGTTCCAGATGAGCCTGGGGCAACATGGACCCACATTCAAAAAGTAAGTATTTAGTTAATTAATACATAGCTTGGAGGGGTGGCATGCACCTGTACTGCCAGGTGTGTGAGAGTCTGAGTTGACAGGATCACATGGGTGTGTGGTGCCTGGGCTGCAGTGGGCTGAGATCGTGGGGCTGCTGTCCAACCTAGAAGACAGAGTAAGACCCATTCTCGGAAAACAAACAAAAAAACAGTCACATTAGGTAAATTAAAACTATGTAGTGTGAGGAGAATCAAAATAAACGAAACATCATTAGAGCCTACGCGATGTGATGAAGGAAACCAGCTTTCACATAATAACAGCCCCGGCTGGGGAGAACAATGAGAAAGGGCAGAGAGAACCCTGTAAATAATACCACGCCAAATTCCCCAAATGAGTTAAAACACATAAAAGTACGAAGAGTGCTTCTTTTCAATTCAATGCCCTTGAATTCAGAATTAGAAAGTAAACCCAGATAGAGAATAGAAAGATAGACGATACAGATGGAGAGAGTGTGGTGGGGAAGCAAGGGAAGGATGAAAGGGGTGTAAAGGAAGGAAAAGAAAAAAGGAAGGGAGAGAGAGTGACAGATGTTCAAAGACACAGATACAAAGTCTACAATGGTTGTAGAGATAGGCATGTGCAAATTGTCGCAGGGAGTGTGGAAAAATATCGGAACCACGGAGACACAGGTGGAGTCAGAGAAAATATACAAACCCGCACAGAGAAATAAACATACGCAACCACAAACACACACGTGCTACTTTAAACACGAAAAGACACCAAGTCCCTGTCGGTACAAATCACAGATGTGCTTCCGAGTTACTGAGGCACGGTGCAAATTTGTCAGTGCCCTTAGCATCTGTGGCCCACGTGCACGGATATTCAGTGGAAGAAGCATTACACAGCCTGTATAATTCAGCACGATCTGTGATAATACCAGAAGAAGGGATCTCATGTGAAATCACTAGACTGAATTGCACGTAGGATTCAAGGAAGAAGCCCAGTCTGCTGCATTCACTCGGTGGGGTGGCAATATGGCTGAGCCACCAACCCGTGGCACGCCCATCCATCGTAGACAGTTCCTGGTTTGCTACCTGCCTTGGAAAAAGCTCCTCCCCTACCACCACTTTAAAACAGGCTAGCTCCAAAACTAGCCCTGGCATCTATTTACGGTCATTTTCTTATCTATTTACCTCCTAGAAAAATCATTGCAAGACCCTTTCCTCAACATTTTCCTATGCCTTAAATTTGGGGCAACACGTTTTAAGACGACCTCGTTATAGGCAAGTCCCCAGACGTTTCCTAATCTGAGTTGCCCAGAGTGCACACACCAATCTGTTGCCCCATTGCCGCTATAGGGATACCGTACTGGACCACAGTGTCTTTGACATGCACACAGTAGGATACAGGGCAGCTTGAGGGGGCCAAAGGGTTCCGACTGTTTTCAGAATAATTTGCTTAGAACACCTGTTTCTCCTGTGTTTGTGGGTCAGGGGGACGGTAGTCAGAGGAGGACAAGACTCCCGCTCCAGAGCTTCAGAGGTCTGCATAGGAGCAGGGACAAAACCGGGCGATAGATTTTCAAAGCTCAACTGCTTTGACACCGAGCAGGAGGGGTAGAATGCATATTGCAGGCACCACAACAGATTCAGGAACTTTGACTGTCAAACCCTCTTCCCTGAAACAACATAGCTCTTCTCACAGAAGCTGTGCTGACCAGAGTCTATACGGGACAGCAATGTTAGCACTCTAGTAGCGTGTGGTCAACATGGATGCTCGTGTTGGAACTGTTTCATCTGGGAACAGGAAAGAAAGTTCTGCCTCCGACACTGAAATCCTCCTGCCCCATCCTTGACAGAGGCAACCCCTTGTCTTGTGCAGACACACGTGTTCCTGGGAAGCAGCCTCCCACTCGCGAATGAAAGCTGTATGTTTTGTCCTCCTGTGTGAGGCTTGCAAAACATATTCCGCAACTATATTCGCTTTACGTTCTAAACCTTAGGCAAACTATGCTGAAGAGGCCACAGAAAATTTAGGGGCCCTGGGCTCCAGATACAATCTGCAGTGCCAATCACGAGGGAGAATAGAGCCTCACTAGACTTTGCAAGAGCACAAAATGCACTCGTACTGTTGTTAGCTACATACGTTATTGGCTCCTCACCTAACACAGAATCTTGGAGAAAAGCTTAAAACAACTAAAGATGTAAACATCAACAAGAGTGTCCATATCCTGGGTCATCAAGTGACAAGAGAGTCCATGGATGGATTCTCCAACAATCTTATATTCCACTAATCCACCCCCTTTCCCCTCACTTCTGTAAGTTTCTGTTTTCCCTTAGTCATCTATGCCAAAAGCGTATCCTGAATGCCTTCCCACATGCCTCTGTCACCTTTCCCACAGTCCCTCCATACACCTTACATGCCCATTTCTTCTCACGTTGATGTTTCAGAAGTCCTGAGAGGCTGATTGTCCCAGAAAAGGATCATGCATTCACCTTTAAAAGAACATGTGGATTCAACACGAAAGCGAACTTTAAGATTTCCATCATCCTGTGCTTAGCTACTGTGTATGATGATACCCAAAATGAAGGATTTTGGAGGTCCCAGCAAACTGGGCCCTGGAAACCCAGTAACCCCTTTCCTTGAACTATCTCTGCTTCCACAGGACGAAGTCAGCCTCCAACTAAGCTGTCTTTTGCTTTTACCTCTCCCACTCTGTCCTGTAGGAAGAATCCCAACACATCCCACACCCATTCACTCTACAACTTTAGAGGCCCAGCTCCAACGCAGACTGGTTATTTCCATGAAGAGAATAAAGCACGTGGATTGATCAATTCATTATGACACCCGAATAAAGTGGATAAACATACACACACACACACACACACAAACTCAAAGACACACACACACACACACAGACACAGAGTCACACATCCTTGAGAATGTTTATTTTTCATTCCATACAATCCACATTTACCCCCTCTTCCTGAATTTTTGTGACTCGATCTCTTTTTCCTTTAGTTCCTGTGCATAAGACCATGCTGAGTACTGCCGTCCTGCATATGGCTGTAACTTTTTAGGAGTTCTGCTGTATTAGGTAAAATCTGATGCTCCATCATATTCAACTCAACAACTGGGAGTCCCCTAGAGAAACACAAACTCATGTTAAAACGCATTTTCTCTGAGCCATACTTTGAAATGTTTCAATTGTGGGGCCCGCTGAGAAAAGGATATCCCTTCCCCATTTGTGATCCCTTAAACTTCCTCCTACCACGTGTTACAAACTGTTCTGCGCAATCCCTGCCCCATTCCCAGTATTGTCTGTGAGGGGAGTCAGCTAACAAGATGCACTGGGCCCTAAAAGCACACACAAGTCTGATGGGGCAACAGCTTAAGGAAATCCATCAATCTAAACAGTCCTTTGTGGTTTGGGGCAAGGATGACCAGGACGCACATTCAGGGAGCCCAATCTCATGGGGTTGGTGGGATGACTGCCGGTGGGGTTGACAGCCGTGGAATCAAGTGCCACAGACTGAACTGAATGATTTTCAGCTTTACTTCTCATTGATTCTGGAAATGGACGATTCTTCACTGGGCTTAAGACTCCACAGCTATCACCCGCTTTGCAGTGCAGTCTCTAACGTGCCTTTTCAGCCCAATGCCATGAACGTCCTGGATTCTGTCACTCTCTGTCTTCCTCTCAAGGAATTTCTACATGTACGAAAGGAGCCTCAATTTCTACATTTCTGAAATGAGCACCCAGGCTCCCTGAATAGGCAGGTGTGTCAACCCCCTTATACTGGGCATCAAACAGCTCCAGTGCCAACTAACGGCTCACCTGACGTCTCTGTTCCCTCTTCAGGTGGCTTCATCCTCTTGTAGTATTGCAGGGGATTGCGCCACAGGTCCTTACATAGGATCTGTCAGGGGACTCAATCGGGAAAGGCCTCATCAGGGCTCAGAAAGGTGACCCAAGCAGCTGGGAACACACGGGGTCATTCCTCATGTTTCCCAGTGAGGACTCACCTCAGCAATCTTGTTAGATCCTGCGAAGTTGTGGTCAGAGAACCAGTTGAAGAAGTTAAGGCTGCTGTTGTGGTGTCTGCGGCGATAGGCCTCCACTTCATAATCCGGATACCACTCAATTGGAGTGGAATGAGAAGCCCTGTATTCTACAGAGACAGGAGTTTTTGTGGGAAGGGGGCTGGATCCCGTTGGCAATGATCCACCCACCATCTTCCTTCCACTACCCATCCTGGGAGCCACCTGTCACCTGTGATGTTCACCAGATATTCCTTGGTAATCACTTTATTCTGGAAGTAGGGGTTACTCCGAAAGAACAACATGATCTTGCAGAGATGAACACGATGCTTCTCTTCTTCCACCTGTCAGGACAAGGTGGAGAAAGCTTAGATAGGTTTTCGGGTGAGGTGCTCACTCTTGCTTACAGGAATGAATTATTTCCCTTACCCTCCCCCGCTAAACCCTCTAGCCCCAGTCTTCCTGGCCTCACCTCCAGGCTGACCATGTAGCTCAGCATGTCTTCATCTTCGTCAGTGATCAGGGCTGACATCTGGGGGTGGTTTGCAATCTGATTTAGGTCAAAGAGACTTTACACACGATGGAAGGGAAAGCGAGGAGCAACAGGGAAGAAGGCCTAAGAGCACCCAGAGGCTGGGGTAGGGGATTTCTCAGATCTGCTTCCATGTATGATCTCCTTTCGCCTCCCCCTCCCCGTAAACTAAGGCCTCCTGTGTTCACAGAGGGTGTATGATTCTGAGGCTGACTGCACTGACATGGGGAGGCGCGATTTGCAGAGACTTGCTGGTGTCTGAGGAGTGGCAGAATCTGCTTATAGCCGAAGACGCCCAGTCCCAGATCGGACTAGCAAGGGGCAGCAATCACACTCCCTTAAAAATAGCTTCATTCACTGAAAAACCTCTTCCGCTCTGAACTCGCTTCTGCTCTTCAAAAAGATGCCCCAAACGTCTGCTGCTCGGCATCACCAAGGGTTTCTCTGCCGCATGCAGGACAATAGTACCCACGCCTGCTCCGGCTTTCCACAGCCACACTGGTCCGTGGCAACTCCCCTTTGTTCCCCAAAGAGTCACATCGACGCCGAGCTGCCCATCGGTCACTTACACTTCCCCGAGAGCACCTCTCCACTAGAAAGGCCGAAGAAACACTGAGAAGGATACAACATTGGCCCAGAAGCCAGGGACGCTCTGGATGACGGCGCCTCTGCGGTCTAGGTGGGGCTTGCGCCTCCGCTCCATCTTTTCCCGCTGCCGAGAAAAGGCCTTCCTGGCTTGGGCATTAACCGGCTCCAGCTCCACCTGAACGGCCAGCAGCTCCTCCAGTGCAGACTCTGGGGTCATGGGCCCAGGGCCAGGCACAGCCTGCTGTGCCCGCTGGGCCTCCTCCCGCCGCTCCACGAGGCCCTCCTCCTCCGCCACCACCTCCACCTCCGCCATTATGTCATCCAACAGCAGCACCGCCTCCTCCCCCAAAGCCGCCTGCTCACTCTCCACCCCGGCCGCCCCCTCCTGTACAGCCTCCATCCTGAAGGCGGTGCCCTCCTTGGCACTCGCACACACCAAGGCCTGTGCTGCCCGACCCACGCCACAGAAACCCTGCCGCAGCCTCTCTGGCACCCGGTAGGTCAGCGAGCCCTCAGGGCGCATGCGCCGGGCTTCCAGGCGCCCCCTAAGGGACTGCGCGCGAAGGGCCGGGGGGCCGCACCCAGGCCGACTTCCTCCCGTCGTGGCCAGTCAATGGGAGGGCGGTGGGCGTCTCCCTGGGCGGCACAGCCACTGGCGGGCCTGCATCTCCAGCCCCCCCAACCCCCGCCTTCCCTGCCCAAGCCTCCTCCGAGAAGCCCTTGGAGCTTGTGCCGGGTAGCTAGGCATCCGGGCACACGCGGGCTGCGTGGCCTTTGGAACTGTGGGCATGGCAGCCCTGTGCCCTGACATCCTCAGTGTGGCAAGCCATGAACATCTCTATGTGTCATGAACACAGGAAACATCTCTCTTCGTTAGGCAGGCCAGGTAGATGGTACGGAGGTAATACAGCAGATGCAGAGAACTCTCTCTGGTTGCTGGGGCTAGGGCGGCAGGGGTGTCCTGGGGGAAGTGATCGGGGCGGGCACGTGGGAGGAAAGTCGCCTGCCGGTGCTGAGGTGGAATTGATCTGCTGTAGAGGCCAGAGCCCCGGCACACACTCTCACAGGTCGAGGCAAATAGAGGCTCCGAGTACCATGCTTCCTCCCTGAGGATGCTGTACTCCAAGGAGCATTCCAAAGGGCCTCTTGTCCTATGCCCTGGGCACACCAGAGGCCAGCCGCCAGGGTTGGCCATTGTCGGCCTGCACGCACGCTGTTGTGCGCTGCCTTGACGACCCAGAGGCTCCCGCACCCGCAGCAGCGGTTGCGGTGCCTGTTGGTGGGGCTCTGCAAGCCCAGGGCCGGGGCCTCTGGCTCCCGAGCTCCTGTGCGCAGTTGAGCCTGCTGGGGACCGGAGCCCTTTGGCCAGTGCGGGATCTGCGGGTCCAGCGGAGCTCCTCAGGAAACCTGGGTCCACGTAGGTGTGGGACCAGGTTCACAGCAGGGCGACGCCCGTGGGTCTTGCAGGGAGCGGGTCTGCTGGGGAGCGGGCCCCCAGAGCCTACGGGTGCGGGGCATGGGCTGGGCTGGGCTGGGCTGCGCAGGCCCAGGGTCTGTGGGAGCACCCAGGAGAAAACCGTGTTCAGGCTGGAGGCAATGCTGGAGAGGACGGCCGGGGTACAGAGCAAGGAGGCGGCCTTGGAAGAGGAGGCGGTGCTGAAGGTGGAAGACATCATGGCTGAGGTGGAGGTGGTGGTTGAGGTGGAGCCCGACGTGGGGTGGCAGAAGGAGGGCCAGCGGGCACAGCCTGGCCCTGGACCGAGCACACCGGGGCCGTCAATGGACTCACTGGAGGTCCTTCACTTGGAGCTGGGCTCCGTGAATGCCCCAGGCCACAGAGCATCTCCGCCTTGTGAGCCAGAGCCATATCCTTGCGGCTGCCGATTTGGGATGGCGGGCAGCAGGGGATAGTCATCGGGCCTCGGGGGGTATGGGGGCTGTTTGCGGGGAGGAGCCAGGTGGGAGGCACGTGGGGTCAGCCAGGAGGCAGGGGATGGGGGACAGCGTGGGAGCCGAGGCCACGTTCCCGCAGCTGTGAGGGCAGCTCGCTTGTAGCAGCCCTGGGAGCACGTGGTAGGGAAGGGGAGCCAGGGCCAGCACTGACAAGGGAGAATCGCGGCGCCAAGGTCCCTTTGCGCACAGCCCAAATTCGAAGGACGCGTTTCCCTGGGAACGTCCCTGGAGGACGGGGAATCTGTATGCCATTACCAGCCATTGAACCACCCCTGCTCTCGGTGCCTGTTTCCAGCAGGCTCACCCCAGAAACACAAGGTGCTTAAGACGGGTTCGCGGCGCATGGGGCTGCCGACCACCTGACGGCGGGCACCAGCTCCGCAGATGCGCATTCATCCAACTGCAGGCGCTGCACTCAAAGGCGTGTAGGCCCTGAGCCTGTATAACTTCCTCTGGACCCACGCAATTCCCTTGGAGAGCGCCAGGCACGACCCTGCTGTGGCTTCTAACTACAAGGCTTCCCTCAGGTGGACAGGCCCACCCCTCAGGGAGACTAGGATAAGAGGACACCACACACCCGGACATCAGCGGAGCATGTCCAGCACCCAGCACACAAAGGCCTCCTGCATCTCAGAAACTCAGAGAAGCAGCCGCCTCACACCACCCCCGGTCCCTCCCGTCCCTCAGCTGCAACCACCTGCCCACTTTTTCTGCCTCCCGTCTCTGGTCAGCCCAGGCCGTCTTGGCCGGGGTCCACCCACTCCAAAAACCACCACAGTTGTGGCGTTGCCTCCTCGCCAGACAGAGATAGAGGGCCAACAATGAAGGGTGACTGGCCAAATGTCTGGGAGATGGCCCTGTTCCACATTGTCTGTGTTCTTGCGAAATTGCAAGGCGTCACGAGGCTTGCCCACCCAATCCTCTGGAGAGTTCTTGCGCAGAGGTAGATTGTTTGGCACACGAGATGTCGGCGTGGGTCGGAAAGCATGCGGAAGTCCTGCTTTGCTACGTGATGGATTTGCAGGTCAGGCTGGGGAGCCTGGGTCTGTGGGAGGAGTCCAGTGTCTGAGTCAGTTTGAGGTCCCCCTGGGGACCAGGGTTGTCTCAGTGGGAGAGCTGGGAAGGGGAAACTCATGGTTCACTACAGCTAGTAGGCCACCTCAGCCCGGCTAGTTGAGATGGTCCCATTGAATCCATCCTCTTTCTCCTTGATCCGGCAGGTGGAGGAACTCAGCCATCCCGGTTACCGGTGGCAGGATGATTTCCTTTCATCCCAACCTTTATTTCCACAGTGAAATCATCATGAAGGAGCACTGTGTTGGCATCCTCGGTAAGGAATGCCTCCCAGCATGGTAGGGGAGCTGGTGTGTGGGAGGGTGGGACTGGCATGAACCTTCCTGACTCCTCTCCCTGCAGGCTACAGGGTGTCTCATTCCACTGCAGTCCAGCGGTTCTGGGATCACGAAGGTCAAGCCTCCAGCTGCAGGCAGTACACCTCCTACCTGAGCTCATTCAGCTGTTTGGCTGAACATGACTGCCCGGGTTTTGGCAGGATTGCTGAGGTGGGGTTCGCCATGGGGCATCATGGGAAAGGACCTAGCTGGTCATTCCTTGGTCTCTGGGGAATTGGCTTTGAACTGTCACCTGAACTGTCCTGGACCCACTTCTGCAGTCCCCTAGATCATCAGCCAGGGCCTATGGCTCAATCCATTGCAGTTCTATCCCATGGAGAGAGGGTCAGCCCTAGAGGCGGAACAGAGAGGAGGCCAGGCGAGCAGCCTAGGGCTGGGAAGGGCTGGGAACTGAGAGGCCTTTTGACCTGGATCTGGGCCCCACATGGAGAACCCAAGGATCCGGGAGGAGACTGCAGTGAGCAATCCCAGGCAATCCGTGGGTTGGGGGAGAGAGGCCCATCAGGGACATGTAACACCCACATTTCAGGATCGGGGCACCTTAAGCCACTATGATGCATATGTGGCTAAAGTCAGTGGGTGACAAGCAGGGCTTAAGGGATAGCTGTCTCATCATTACTCGCCAGCTCCCTGCCCTGCGGTAAGACCTGCTACCACCTGGGGCTCATTTTGAGATCAACCAGGGCCCCCTTTTTCTCCATGAGGATGTCCACCTGAGGCCCACCTAGGTCTGTGTCCTTTCACAGTGTTTCTCCCAGGCCAGTCATGTTTTGTTTCCATGACCCCGGCTGCCTTGACATGTGTAATCCTCTCTGCCATCCTCACTCCCGCTGCCCTGCCTTCCCATATAAGTTAGTCCACCTCACACGGAATCTGGAGGACCACACTGGGCTCCAGTGTGAGGCAATGTTTTATTTTCTTCAGGTACATGTATTTTAGGGCTACCTCCAGGGCTGGGAATGTGAAGAGATTGCCAAATGGCTGGGGACCTTCAGTGTGTGTCCAGGGAGGGAACCCGGCTGGGAATTAAGGCCCACCTGAGTAATGGTATGGACATCCAGTGTCAGTTATCTTGATAAAGGCCTGCTTTCTTACATCACCTACTATTAATATAAAAGTTAATTCCTTAGAATATTGAAAAAACAAATCTATGTATGAAGAAATATAATTTGTTCATAATTGTATGGAAAAAACTGCCGACTGATCCATTTTCCATTACAATTCTTATGGGAGACTTGAAGTGTTCAGCAAGTTTTAAGATGCATTTCTATTCGTCTACTCCTGCCAGTTTTTATGATCATTTTTGTAATACAAGGACATGGCCTCTGGAAAGTTTTTGAGGGACTTTCAGCTTCTTTTAGGGTAGATACTTGTAAATTTTGAATTGTTTTCCCCTGCGGTTCTTTTGAGGTTACTCTTCGTACTTTCTTTGGGGGGTGTTAAATTTGTTTTCTTGTTTCGCCCTTGTGGAACTTTCGTTTTCAAGGAATTGTGTGTGTGTGTGTGTGTGTGTGTGTGTGTGTGTGTGTGTGTTAGATATGGGAGTTAGCCTGTGAGCATGTTTTCGAATACGGATTTTTTTTTTACTTATCAATTTTGGGGGTGTGTGTGTGTGTGTGTGTGTGTGTGTGTGTGTGTTTGTTTCTTTTCAGTTGGAGTCTCACTGTGTCATCCAGGCTGCAGTCAAGTGGCAAACTCTCAGATCACTGCAACCTCTCCCTCCAGCTTCAAAGGATTCCTCTGCCTGCTGATGCTGCTTTTCCCCCACATGAGGAGAACATGCAGACAGTTATAAAAAATTCTGTGCCTGGGTAGGTATGAAAATATAATTTCAATGAATGGTAAATTTCACAAATACAGTTTCACATTTGTATTTTGCAACATTTTGAAAATTTTAGTTGCTGACACATGAAATTCTGTGTTGACTTTCATGTTAAAGGTACACTTTTGAATCAATTTCAACAGTGACAACTAGCGAAGGCCAAGCGTTAGTTCAGGAAGCTGAAAGCAGTCGTTCTGTAAAAAAAACCATATTTATTGAAGGTATATTTAGAGAGATTTTAGAAGGCTTCAGTCAATATTTTTGTTTCTGTTGCTCTGGTGTTTTATCATACAGGGACCAGACTGTAGCATCAGTAGCTATAGTTACAAGGCTACCAAAGACTCAGTGCTATAGAAATTATTATTGTGGAAATTGGCAGCCTGGCTGTCTGTTTGAGGAGACTAGAGGACTTAGGAGTTTCCACCCAAAGTACAAGGGCCTGGTTTAGTGGGTGGCCTTCTTTTGCTGAAGTAGATAAGATCCAGGAGAAGGGTGGATTCACTGTAGTAGCCAGGGCTTTGAGACTGGTAAAGCTTATTTGTCTCCTAGTGCCATTGCCAGATATTGGTCTGTGCATAAAGGCACTTCCCCGACTCGCTGACTCCTGTAAATTCAAATGTAGAATTTAGATTTAAATCCCTATTCCAACTTCTTAAACTTAGATCTAATAGGTGGGTAATAAAATATGTATTCAGAAGAAAGGGAGACGTCAGGTAGGTATATAAGCAAATCATCCTGGTCAAATACCTTCAAAAATATTACTACAAAAAATTACTGAAGATTAAACCTTAAAAAAGTTATTTTAATTGGAGAAACAGAAAAAGGTTGGAGTCATTTTAAACCCTGAGGTGTAAAGGTACTGTTATTAGATTACAGGAATTATATACAATGAATAATTTGTGGGAAGAGCAGCATACTATCTCTTTAGTATGGCTAGAGATTCATAAGCCGTGTAAGAAAACTCAGAGATTGAGAAGAAAATGTTTTCAGGGATTTTGTTCTGTTATGAAAGACTTTTAAAATGGTTTCCTACTGATCAATGATTCACTTATATTTATCACTGAGGCATATGCTATATACCCTTCTATATAGGGATGAAGTTATAGTTTCTATCATGCAGATACAAAAACATGTGACTCTGTACCACATTTGCATTAGAGCCTTTGGCATGATTAATGAAGCAAACGGTGGAACTGTCTACGTCAGGTTACAGGTGGGCACAGCTGGAAGCTTCCGTCCCTTGCACTTTAACATTTCTGCATTCTCATCTGTCTCTCCTGGAAAGAAAACGGACTATAACTATCCTAAAGGACATATGTTACATGAAGACACTAAGTATTGAGATAAGACCATGAGTTGTCTTATCAGTGTCTTGGCATTACATTTATATGTATAACTTATACAAAAAATCCAGTTTATTTTATCACGATTACATATTACATCCCACATTTATGTATTTTATTATCTTTCCAGTGACTGTTTTGTTTTGTTTTGTTTTGTTTTGTTTTGAAATCTCGTTCCACTCTGTCACTCAGTCTGGAATGCAGTGGCCTGATCTCAGCTCACTGCAACCTCCATCTCTTGGGTTCAAGGATTTTAAAAATTAGTAAAGAATTTTCAATTGAGTTAGCAGAAGTAAAAATAAACTTAAGTGGAAATAGAACAACAAAATTGTAAACACTATTTCTCAGCAATTCATAGATTATCATACTAGGAATTGAAATGTACTTAGAACTCAATGATACCGCCAATATTGAAGATTAAATCTGTGAGTAGCAAGAAAAGTGATATTACAATAGGAGTTTACAGACAAATATTTCTCTAATAACTTGAAAATTAATGTACTAGATATTTCAATAAAGAATTAGAAAAGAAACAACAGAATCAATTCTGAAAAACTAAAGTGTGGGAATAATGATGTAGACAAAATTAGTAAAACATACAAAGCTAACCTTTGCTTGTTGGAGAAATATAATAAATGATGCAACCGTCAGTCAAGTTTAGAAAAAAAGGGAGAAAACATAGATAAAACTAAGAATTTAAAAGGTACACAACCATAGATACAGCATAGATTAAGAAGCTAATAAGGAAATATCGTTAACACCTTAACCTACAAATTTGAAAACTTAGATCAAATAGACAGATATTTATAATCTGTCTATATATATAGACATATATATCGCTTTCTATATATATTTTCATATTTATACATAATTTTTATATTTGTATCTTACATTTATATATATAATATATAAACATAAGCTATGTATATAGCTTAGTAAAATTGATACAAGAAGACATATATAATCTGTATAGTCTCATAAATGTTCAAGGAAATAAAGGATTCTTCCTAGAGATAAAACGCTAGGCTCAGATTTTTTTCCCCAGGCAGAGCATTTCAATATATATGAAGAATTCTATAGAATAAAAAAGGGAAAATCCTAAACTCATTGTGTGAAGCAAGCAGAACTTTGACGCCAACAAGCCATAAACTGAGTGTAGAAAAAGATATGAAAATTAAGGCCATTCTCATTCCTGAAGCAAATCGTAAAATCCCAAATGTAACAAGATTTATGTGGATTCTTTGAGGGTTAGAAGGAAATTTCCTTCTGCCAGATCCTGCTACTCTGGGACAACCCACACACAAATTTATGTTTTGAGATTTTCTGTAATACCCATGCAATATGGAACTGGCTTGACAATCTGTGTGATAGCCAGCCTGTGGCCATGACTTCTCAGGGACACAAATCTTTTCTGTTTGCCTCCTTGTTCTGCTCAGCTCCAAGAGAACTTTGACCAAAGTTCCTTGAGCTTGGAAATAGGAATGGGTTTGCTTCTGTTTCACCCTTACTGTGAAGATACAGTCCGGTGGAATCCAGATCCACTGGGAGAGAGTCGGCTATTAAACTCTTTTCATGAGTAGTCCCTAGGCCTTGACTGGAGTCTTTCTTGAGATATGAGGCTAATAGTTCCTTCTTGGTCCACCACTTTTTGATATAATTAATGCTTCTTCTATTGGGAATTTTTAATTGTTTGGGAAGTGACATGGTTTGGTGTGTCTCCATTCAAATCTCAGCTTCAATTGTATCTCCCAGAATTCCCTCGTGTTGCGGGTGGGACCCAGGGGGAGGTAATTGAATCATGGGGGTCGGTCTTTCTCATGCTATTCTTGTGACAGTGAAGAAGTCTCACGGGATCTGATGGGTTTTTCAGGGGTTTCTGCCTCAGGTTCTTCCTCATTCTCTCTTGGCATTGCCATGTAAGAAGTGCCTTTATTCGTATACCATGATTCTGAGGCCTCCACAGCCATGTGGAACTGTCAGTCCAATTAAACCTCCTTTTATTCCCAGTTTCAGGTATGTCTTCTTCAGCAGCGTGAAAATGAACTAAGACAGGAGGTTTGGTCCAAATAACCTTGGCTTCCATGACAGAAGATAGAAGTTGCTGAAATGTTTAATCTTTTCTGTGGCAACCTTTTGCAGTGGGTCTTATTTTTCTCATTTTTTTTTTCTTGTTCTCTTCACCTTTGTTTCTCACAGGGTACTCTCGCTCTGTAGACCAGGCTGGAGCGCAGTGGCAGGATCTCAGCTCAACACATCCTCCGCCTCCCAGGTTCAGCCTCTGCAGTAGCTGGGATTACAAGCATGCATCACCACGCTCAGCTAATGTTTTGTATTTTTAGTAGAAGCCAGGCTTCACCATGTTGGCCAGGCTGCTCTCCTACTACAGATCTCAGGTGACCCGCCCGACTCAGCTTCCCAAAATCCAAAGTGCTGGGAATACAGGTGTGAGCCACCGAGCCCAGCCAACTCCAGTACTTTTTACCTAAGCCAGTGGACGAGTGGAGTTGCCTTTATTTTTTTTTTTTTCTTTTTCCTCATGGTCTCGCTGTGTCATCCAGGCTGGAGTGCAGTAGTCTGATCTTGGCTTACTATACAATCTCTGCCACCCATGTTCAGGTGGTTCTCCTGCCTCAGCCTCCCAAGTAGCTGGGACCACAGGAAAGTGCCACTAGGTCTGGCTAATTTTTGTATTTTTGGTAGAGACAGCTTTTTGCCATGTTGCCCATGCTGGTCTCCAACTCCTGACCTCAAGTGACCCACCAACCTCGGCCTCCCAAAATGTAGAAATTACAACAAGAGCCACGAAGCCTGGCCTGGAGTTGTGGCTTTTTGACATAAGAAATCTGTGGAGGGAAAAGCTTGGTTTGTGGGAGCACCCGAGCTCAGTTTGGCTCAAAGGTTTGGGATACCTATTATTGAGTGGCAGTGATGGTATGTTGTTAATGTACAATATCTTCCTGTATATAGCATACGTCTATGCTCATCAGATATTTTCAGGTAAAAAAAAGATAGTCTTTCCAGTAGTTTGAGCCATTATAGCAATTTCCACCAGGGGATTTCAAAGTCCAATTCCAGTTGTGGGCAACAGTGATTAACATAATGGTAATTAATGAGAAGAGATTTTGAGACGTCCAGCCACGTTTCCATGTCAGTGCCTTGTTTGCAGTATTATGAAGAAAGAGTGCATTGGACTAGATACTAAGAAAAACATTGAATTATTTTTCTTGCCTCTATAACATCAAAGGACAATTAGAGATATAGAAACTATGGAACATTTCACAGCATGGCTTGACATTTCACTGAACTTTTATCCTTTTAACCATGTACAAAGTTTGTTACCTATGCAAAGGTAGGACTGCAAAAGGAAGACAGAGGTGGAGTCAGAGGTCACAATCCACAGCAAGGTGACACTCTTGTTGATCGCACCTTGAAAGCCAAATTAGAGCGAGAATTAACTTTCCGGTTGCCGTAAGAGAACAAGGAGAATGAAGCTACCAGCAGTTAACAGTATTGGATTAATTGAAATGAAGGTGGACAGAGTTTTTTGGCTTTCCATCAAATTGAGTAAAGAAAAGGTAACCGCTTATCTAATTTCACACACATACAATTATGGATTAATTAAAAGATTACACAACCCATATATTATGGGTTTCTCATATAAGTGTATATATACATGGGCAAACTCACAGTGTGCCAGTATGTGTCTATATCCAAATATATACAAATCCATGTCCAACAGTTAGCAAGTGAGAAATTCTCTTCCATTTCACCATTCCCTTTCCTAGAATTTTTTCATAAATATAATTTTTCCATATATTTGAAGCCTACTCTCTGGAGGCATGTAATGCATGCATGCAGTAAACCTGTGCGATATCACAATGTTGGTGTCAGAGAAAACTATAACACCGATGTTATAAAAGATTAATTGTGAGGAGAAAGTTATGCTTCGCATTACTACAAATACACAAGTATGATTTCATCCAAAGCTGAAATCAGTCAATATAATTTGTTTTTAATGTTTTATTTAAAATCCTTAATTTCAACAGGATTACTCAAGAAAAATAACGTTATTGGTATTAAATAATGTTGACGTATTCCCTTTAATTGTTGATTATTTAAAATGTCAGTAAAATAGTAAATGGCACTGTACAATGTAGTTTCATGAAGCATTCTTTATAGTTTTCATAAAATTGATAGTCTCCATGGAATATTTTAAGACTGAGGAAGTTCCATATATCATTTGATTGTACTTTCACTTTATTACTTGCTTGCATGTCATAACTGATGGAAATAAAACTATGTATATTTACAAATATGAAAAACATGGATTTTTGTTTACGTTTTCTAGTGAGACACAGTTACCAACAATTTTATCTATATAGGAAAATTTTTACAAACCCAAAGTTCTAATGTTTCTTTTCTTTGAAGTTTCGTATTTCAGTCTAGGTATGTAATGGAATTGGCTGTGATCATTCTTTGATTTCACTGTTATTTGTGAGTTTCTGATATGCTTTTAGGAATGAATAGAGTTTAACGCTTGCTTTCTTCTTCTTCCTCTACCTTTGGACCTGTATATGCGATGTCTGCAGTAATGTGCAGTGCTATCTGACATACGGTTGCTGAAAGATACAAGCATATATAGAATTCTTCGTTTCAGTGAATCTTTAGGAACAGACAAGTAACCTGAGAGATAATTACGGTATGAATGTAAGCAAGCAGTTTATCATAGAGGTACAATAAGGGTGAAAATAAATTTAAAAATACATGCCTCATCCAAAACATGAGGTAGTAAAAATGAAAAATTTAAGTTGGCATAAAGAACACTTTAAAAGTTCTGATTCTTTCTGGTGAGAGCAAGGAGCTCAGAAACCATGAGAAAGTCCTTCAAAGCTGCATGTTGGATTTGCAGGTCAGGATGGAAAGCCTGGGTCTGGGGGAGGGTGCTAAGGTCCTGGTCAGGTTGAGGTCCTTCTGGGGCTCAGGTGTGTCTCAGCGGGAAAGCTGGGAAGGGGAAACGCATGCTTCACCCCGGCTAGAGTGCCACCTCAGCCCACCTAGATGAAATTGCCCCTTCACAGCCCTGTTTCTCCTTCTTGGACAGGCAGGTGGAGGAACTCGGCCACCCTGAATACAAGGGGTAGGAAGAAGTTTGCCTTTCATCACAACATTTACTTCGGAAACAAAGTGATGACTAAGGAGTATTGCGTTGGCATCCTCCCTGAGGAGTAGAGGGGGTAGTACCTCGGGAGCTGGGCCTGGCGTGCGCCTTCCTGACTCGTCTCCCTCCAGGATACAGGGCGACTGGCTCCACTGCAGTCCAGTGGTTCTAGGGTCATGCAGGTGAAAGCCCGAGTTTCCCGCAGGTCACTGCCTGAGCTTCTTCAGCTGGTTGTCTGACTGTGAGGGCCCAGGTTACGGCACGATTGCTGAGGTGGGACAGCTATGGGACATCATGGCAAAGGACCTTCTTCGACATTCCTTGGCATCGGAGGAATTGGCTTTGAACCAGAACCTGACCTGTCACGACCAATTTGCCCAGTCCACCAGATCATCAGCCAGGGCCTGTGGCTCTATATTCTGCAGCACTACCCAAGGGAGTTAGGCCCTCAGAGAGGGAACAGAGAAGAGGCCAGGGAAGCAGCCCAGGGCTGGGGGTTGACAGGCCTGTGGGTCCTGGAGTTAGGACACACATAGAGAAGCCAAGGCTCAGGGAGGAGACTGCAGTAAGGAAACTCAGGCCATCATGGGCTGGTGGAGAAATGCCCATCAGGGAACTGTGGTACCCACATTTCACGATGGGGGAACCGTAATCTGCTTAATAGGCATAAGTAGCTAAGGTCAATGGGTGGGAAGCCAGGGTCAAGAGATAGCTGCCTCATCATCCCTTGCTAGCTACTTCCCTGTCCTGAGGCTTGCTTCTACCTGGGGTTCAGTTTGGGCTCAACCAGGGATCTCTCACCCTCCACACAGATGCCCACCTGAGGCCTCTCTAGGTCTGCGTCCTCCCAGAATGACTCTCCCAGGCCTGCTAAGTACCGTTTGGATGACACCACGCTCCACTGACATGCTTGGTTCCCTCCGCCATCCTCATTCACCCAGCAACTCCCCACCCCAAAAAAGGCAGGCCACCGCACAGGGAATCTGGAGGACCACACAGGGCTCACAGGGGAGGAAATGTGAAGAGATGGCAAAACAGAACAGGACATTCCGTGTGTTTCCAGAAGGCAATCTGGCTGGATATTAAGGCCCACCTCAGTATTGGTGAGGACACCCAGTGTCTCTTGGCCCTGAGCATGTGCACACAAACACGCACATTGTCTAAACGGCATTGACATCACTACTACCTGAGTCATCCTCAGATTCTATACAACCCCTGTAAAAGTATCAATGACACATTCTTCTTAGAAAAACAATCTGGGAATCCCAAATTTGCTATGAAATGGCAGAAGATCCTGAAAACCCAGAGCAATCCAGTAAAAAGCACAAAGCTGGAGCCACCCCACTACCTAACTTCATGATATACTACTACAAAACTTTTTGTACCAAAATACAATAGCGCTGGCAGAAAAGCAGAGACTAGAGCTTAGGAAAAACAACAGGAGCCCAGAACTAAGTCACTGCATTTGCAGCTCACAGCCTTTTCCCAAAGAAGCAAGAACGCCCAATGCAAAATCAAGTATCTTCTATAAACTAGGTTGGGGAAATCTGAATAGCCACACAAAGGATTTTACAAGTGGATTATTTATCACCAAACTCCAGTGTCAGATGTGAAACGATAAAAATAGCAGAAGAGATCACAAGGAAGCAGCTCCATGGCGTCCGTGTGTGCAATGATGGTCTCAAAGTGACTGCAAGAACACAGTAAACACCATCAAAAATAGAGAATGGAATCATATCAAACTAAAGTGCTTCACCACACCATAGAAAACTCAACATACAGAAGGGGCATCCTACAGGATGGGAGCAATGATTGGATCACCATACATCTGTTCATGGGGGAATAGTCACAGTACATAAGGAACTCCCAACAACTCAATAGCATGAAAACAAATGGGCGAAGGCTGCGAAGACTCATTTGTGAAACTGAGACATACAGTTGCCCAGAAGACACACTAAAAATTCCTCATTATCCCCAATCCATCACGAAAATGCAAATCAAAAACACAATGAGATTTCTTCTCACTTCAGTCAGAATGCATATTATCCGAAAGACAAACAAACAAAAAAAAAAAAAGAAAGAAAAGAAAACCCTAATCTCTGGTGAGGAGGCAGAGAAAACGAATTCCCTGCTCACTTTTGGGGAGAATGTAAATTAGTGCTGGCATTAAAGAAGCTTTATGGCTCTTATTTAAGTATAAACAGCCTTCAGAAATCTACAAGTAGAACCACCCACTATATGATCCAGCAAATCAGAATACCCGGGCACGCCCGCCAGTACACAGATCAGTATGTTGAAGCGGTGCGCGCACCCATGCAATTATTGCTGCACTCATTACATTTTTGCTGTAGCCAAAATGCGGAAGCAACCTGAGTGTCCCTCCATTGATAAGTGGATTAAAAAATGGGGCAAAAACGCATATGCGCAACGGAAATATGCGCTGCAATAAGAAATCAGGAAATCCTGCCAGTTGTGAGAATGTGTGGGAATCTGCTGAATGTGTGCATGCCATTCTGTTAAGTGACATAAGCCAGGTATCAGAAAGGAAAATAGCACATGATCTCATTCTTATATGAAATCAAAAAAGCGGACTTCACAGAAGTAGTGACTCCAATGACTGCGGTGAAGAGGGTGCACTGACGAGATGCTGGATGAAGAACTCATACTTCTAGTTATAAAGGAGGAATAGGTTAAAATATTTTCTTCAGCATGCTCACTATAACTAGTGGTAACATATTCTTTCTCTAAAAATATTCGAATACAGTGCAGGTCAAGTTTTTTCACAACAAAAATGACAACTATGTGAGGTCACACATATGTTGATTGGCTGGATGTATCCAATGCATAATGTATATGACCTGTTGAACATCACGCCTTAAGTTGTAAATATGTATCATTTCATATGACATTTTTTAAACAAACATACAATTTTTAAAATGCCTTAACAAAATAAATGCAAATAAAATATTTTATTATAAAGCAGTGCTTTTCTTTTCTAGCAAAGTCTTTTTCATGACACAGGAAAGAATGCAAGCCGTTTCGTAACTTGAGAAATAAATACATATGTGTACATGTATATATATACGTATATACATGTATATACGTATATAAATGTGCATATATACGTATATACATGTATATACGTATATATGTGTGTACATAGGTATTCTTATATAGGTGTATATATATATGAAAATCCCAATGAATGCTGATGATGAGTTGAAAGATAGAAATTCCAGGCACAGAGACTATAGTCCATGAATTGAAACCTTCAGTGCATGTTTCAAAACAAGACGTGAGGAGGAGGAAGAAAAAAGCAAAAAACACAAAGCCATGGCAGGGCCATGGGTCACACCTGTCATCCCAGCACTTTGATAAGCTGAGGTGGGAGGATTGCCTGCACTCAGGAGTTCCAGATGAGCCTGGGGCAACATGGACCCACATTCAAAAAGTAAGTATTTAGTTAATTAATACATAGCTTGGAGGGGTGGCATGCACCTGTACTGCCAGGTGTGTGAGAGTCTGAGTTGACAGGATCACATGGGTGTGTGGTGCCTGGGCTGCAGTGGGCTGAGATCGTGGGGCTGCTGTCCAACCTAGAAGACAGAGTAAGACCCATTCTCGGAAAACAAACAAAAAAACAGTCACATTAGGTAAATTAAAACTATGTAGTGTGAGGAGAATCAAAATAAACGAAACATCATTAGAGCCTACGCGATGTGATGAAGGAAACCAGCTTTCACATAATAACAGCCCCGGCTGGGGAGAACAATGAGAAAGGGCAGAGAGAACCCTGTAAATAATACCACGCCAAATTCCCCAAATGAGTTAAAACACATAAAAGTACGAAGAGTGCTTCTTTTCAATTCAATGCCCTTGAATTCAGAATTAGAAAGTAAACCCAGATAGAGAATAGAAAGATAGACGATACAGATGGAGAGAGTGTGGTGGGGAAGCAAGGGAAGGATGAAAGGGGTGTAAAGGAAGGAAAAGAAAAAAGGAAGGGAGAGAGAGTGACAGATGTTCAAAGACACAGATACAAAGTCTACAATGGTTGTAGAGATAGGCATGTGCAAATTGTCGCAGGGAGTGTGGAAAAATATCGGAACCACGGAGACACAGGTGGAGTCAGAGAAAATATACAAACCCGCACAGAGAAATAAACATACGCAACCACAAACACACACGTGCTACTTTAAACACGAAAAGACACCAAGTCCCTGTCGGTACAAATCACAGATGTGCTTCCGAGTTACTGAGGCACGGTGCAAATTTGTCAGTGCCCTTAGCATCTGTGGCCCACGTGCACGGATATTCAGTGGAAGAAGCATTACACAGCCTGTATAATTCAGCACGATCTGTGATAATACCAGAAGAAGGGATCTCATGTGAAATCACTAGACTGAATTGCACGTAGGATTCAAGGAAGAAGCCCAGTCTGCTGCATTCAGTCGGTGGGGTGGCAATATGGCTGAGCCACCAACCCGTGGCACGCCCATCCATCGTAGACAGTTCCTGGTTTGCTACCTGCCTTGGAAAAAGCTCCTCCCCTACCACCACTTTAAAACAGGCTAGCTCCAAAACTAGCCCTGGCATCTATTTACGGTCATTTTCTTATCTATTTACCTCCTAGAAAAATCATTGCAAGACCCTTTCCTCAACATTTTCCTATGCCTTAAATTTGGGGCAACACGTTTTAAGACGACCTCGTTATAGGCAAGTCCCCAGACGTTTCCTAATCTGAGTTGCCCAGAGTGCACACACCAATCTGTTGCCCCATTGCCGCTATAGGGATACCGTACTGGACCACAGTGTCTTTGACATGCACACAGTAGGATACAGGGCAGCTTGAGGGGGCCAAAGGGTTCCGACTGTTTTCAGAATAATTTGCTTAGAACACCTGTTTCTCCTGTGTTTGTGGGTCAGGGGGACGGTAGTCAGAGGAGGACAAGACTCCCGCTCCAGAGCTTCAGAGGTCTGCATAGGAGCAGGGACAAAACCGGGCGATAGATTTTCAAAGCTCAACTGCTTTGACACCGAGCAGGAGGGGTAGAATGCATATTGCAGGCACCACAACAGATTCAGGAACTTTGACTGTCAAACCCTCTTCCCTGAAACAACATAGCTCTTCTCACAGAAGCTGTGCTGACCAGAGTCTATACGGGACAGCAATGTTAGCACTCTAGTAGCGTGTGGTCAACATGGATGCTCGTGTTGGAACTGTTTCATCTGGGAACAGGAAAGAAAGTTCTGCCTCCGACACTGAAATCCTCCTGCCCCATCCTTGACAGAGGCAACCCCTTGTCTTGTGCAGACACACGTGTTCCTGGGAAGCAGCCTCCCACTCGCGAATGAAAGCTGTATGTTTTGTCCTCCTGTGTGAGGCTTGCAAAACATATTCCGCAACTATATTCGCTTTACGTTCTAAACCTTAGGCAAACTATGCTGAAGAGGCCACAGAAAATTTAGGGGCCCTGGGCTCCAGATACAATCTGCAGTGCCAATCACGAGGGAGAATAGAGCCTCACTAGACTTTGCAAGAGCACAAAATGCACTCGTACTGTTGTTAGCTACATACGTTATTGGCTCCTCACCTAACACAGAATCTTGGAGAAAAGCTTAAAACAACTAAAGATGTAAACATCAACAAGAGTGTCCATATCCTGGGTCATCAAGTGACAAGAGAGTCCATGGATGGATTCTCCAACAATCTTATATTCCACTAATCCACCCCCTTTCCCCTCACTTCTGTAAGTTTCTGTTTTCCCTTAGTCATCTATGCCAAAAGCGTATCCTGAATGCCTTCCCACATGCCTCTGTCACCTTTCCCACAGTCCCTCCATACACCTTACATG
This sequence comes from Homo sapiens, assembly GCF_000001405.40. Taxonomy (NCBI): domain Eukaryota; kingdom Metazoa; phylum Chordata; class Mammalia; order Primates; family Hominidae; genus Homo; species Homo sapiens. Next base: position 329,838 of record NW_025791821.1, on the reverse strand, counting down.
CCCATTTCTTCTCACGTTGATGTTTCAGAAGTCCTGAGAGGCTGATTGTCCCAGAAAAGGATCATGCATTCACCTTTAAAAGAACATGTGGATTCAACACGAAAGCGAACTTTAAGATTTCCATCATCCTGTGCTTAGCTACTGTGTATGATGATACCCAAAATGAAGGATTTTGGAGGTCCCAGCAAACTGGGCCCTGGAAACCCAGTAACCCCTTTCCTTGAACTATCTCTGCTTCCACAGGACGAAGTCAGCCTCCAACTAAGCTGTCTTTTGCTTTTACCTCTCCCACTCTGTCCTGTAGGAAGAATCCCAACACATCCCACACCCATTCACTCTACAACTTTAGAGGCCCAGCTCCAACGCAGACTGGTTATTTCCATGAAGAGAATAAAGCACGTGGATTGATCAATTCATTATGACACCCGAATAAAGTGGATAAACATACACACACACACACACACACAAACACAAAGACACACACACACACACACAGACACAGAGTCACACATCCTTGAGAATGTTTATTTTTCATTCCATACAATCCACATTTACCCCCTCTTCCTGAATTTTTGTGACTCGATCTCTTTTTCCTTTAGTTCCTGTGCATAAGACCATGCTGAGTACTGCCGTCCTGCATATGGCTGTAACTTTTTAGGAGTTCTGCTGTATTAGGTAAAATCTGATGCTCCATCATATTCAACTCAACAACTGGGAGTCCCCTAGAGAAACACAAACTCATGTTAAAACGCATTTTCTCTGAGCCATACTTTGAAATGTTTCAATTGTGGGGCCCGCTGAGAAAAGGATATCCCTTCCCCATTTGTGATCCCTTAAACTTCCTCCTACCACGTGTTACAAACTGTTCTGCGCAATCCCTGCCCCATTCCCAGTATTGTCTGTGAGGGGAGTCAGCTAACAAGATGCACTGGGCCCTAAAAGCACACACAAGTCTGATGGGGCAACAGCTTAAGGAAATCCATCAATCTAAACAGTCCTTTGTGGTTTGGGGCAAGGATGACCAGGACGCACATTCAGGGAGCCCAATCTCATGGGGTTGGTGGGATGACTGCCGGTGGGGTTGACAGCCGTGGAATCAAGTGCCACAGACTGAACTGAATGATTTTCAGCTTTACTTCTCATTGATTCTGGAAATGGACGATTCTTCACTGGGCTTAAGACTCCACAGCTATCACCCGCTTTGCAGTGCAGTCTCTAACGTGCCTTTTCAGCCCAATGCCATGAACGTCCTGGATTCTGTCACTCTCTGTCTTCCTCTCAAGGAATTTCTACATGTACGAAAGGAGCCTCAATTTCTACATTTCTGAAATGAGCACCCAGGCTCCCTGAATAGGCAGGTGTGTCAACCCCCTTATACTGGGCATCAAACAGCTCCAGTGCCAACTAACGGCTCACCTGACGTCTCTGTTCCCTCTTCAGGTGGCTTCATCCTCTTGTAGTATTGCAGGGGATTGCGCCACAGGTCCTTACATAGGATCTGTCAGGGGACTCAATCGGGAAAGGCCTCATCAGGGCTCAGAAAGGTGACCCAAGCAGCTGGGAACACACGGGGTCATTCCTCATGTTTCCCAGTGAGGACTCACCTCAGCAATCTTGTTAGATCCTGCGAAGTTGTGGTCAGAGAACCAGTTGAAGAAGTTAAGGCTGCTGTTGTGGTGTCTGCGGCGATAGGCCTCCACTTCATAATCCGGATACCACTCAATTGGAGTGGAATGAGAAGCCCTGTATTCTACAGAGACAGGAGTTTTTGTGGGAAGGGGGCTGGATCCCGTTGGCAATGATCCACCCACCATCTTCCTTCCACTACCCATCCTGGGAGCCACCTGTCACCTGTGATGTTCACCAGATATTCCTTGGTAATCACTTTATTCTGGAAGTAGGGGTTACTCCGAAAGAACAACATGATCTTGCAGAGATGAACACGATGCTTCTCTTCTTCCACCTGTCAGGACAAGGTGGAGAAAGCTTAGATAGGTTTTCGGGTGAGGTGCTCACTCTTGCTTACAGGAATGAATTATTTCCCTTACCCTCCCCCGCTAAACCCTCTAGCCCCAGTCTTCCTGGCCTCACCTCCAGGCTGACCATGTAGCTCAGCATGTCTTCATCTTCGTCAGTGATCAGGGCTGACATCTGGGGGTGGTTTGCAATCTGATTTAGGTCAAAGAGACTTTACACACGATGGAAGGGAAAGCGAGGAGCAACAGGGAAGAAGGCCTAAGAGCACCCAGAGGCTGGGGTAGGGGATTTCTCAGATCTGCTTCCATGTATGATCTCCTTTCGCCTCCCCGTCCCCGTAAACTAAGGCCTCCTGTGTTCACAGAGGGTGTATGATTCTGAGGCTGACTGCACTGACATGGGGAGGCGCGATTTGCAGAGACTTGCTGGTGTCTGAGGAGTGGCAGAATCTGCTTATAGCCGAAGACGCCCAGTCCCAGATCGGACTAGCAAGGGGCAGCAATCACACTCCCTTAAAAATAGCTTCATTCACTGAAAAACCTCTTCCGCTCTGAACTCGCTTCTGCTCTTCAAAAAGATGCCCCAAACGTCTGCTGCTCGGCATCACCAAGGGTTTCTCTGCCGCATGCAGGACAATAGTACCCACGCCTGCTCCGGCTTTCCACAGCCACACTGGTCCGTGGCAACTCCCCTTTGTTCCCCAAAGAGTCACATCGACGCCGAGCTGCCCATCGGTCACTTACACTTCCCCGAGAGCACCTCTCCACTAGAAAGGCCGAAGAAACACTGAGAAGGATACAACATTGGCCCAGAAGCCAGGGACGCTCTGGATGACGGCGCCTCTGCGGTCTAGGTGGGGCTTGCGCCTCCGCTCCATCTTTTCCCGCTGCCGAGAAAAGGCCTTCCTGGCTTGGGCATTAACCGGCTCCAGCTCCACCTGAACGGCCAGCAGCTCCTCCAGTGCAGACTCTGGGGTCATGGGCCCAGGGCCAGGCACAGCCTGCTGTGCCCGCTGGGCCTCCTCCCGCCGCTCCACGAGGCCCTCCTCCTCCGCCACCACCTCCACCTCCGCCATTATGTCATCCAACAGCAGCACCGCCTCCTCCCCCAAAGCCGCCTGCTCACTCTCCACCCCGGCCGCCCCCTCCTGTACAGCCTCCATCCTGAAGGCGGTGCCCTCCTTGGCACTCGCACACACCAAGGCCTGTGCTGCCCGACCCACGCCACAGAAACCCTGCCGCAGCCTCTCTGGCACCCGGTAGGTCAGCGAGCCCTCAGGGCGCATGCGCCGGGCTTCCAGGCGCCCCCTAAGGGACTGCGCGCGAAGGGCCGGGGGGCCGCACCCAGGCCGACTTCCTCCCGTCGTGGCCAGTCAATGGGAGGGCGGTGGGCGTCTCCCTGGGCGGCACAGCCACTGGCGGGCCTGCATCTCCAGCCCCCCCAACCCCCGCCTTCCCTGCCCAAGCCTCCTCCGAGAAGCCCTTGGAGCTTGTGCCGGGTAGCTAGGCATCCGGGCACACGCGGGCTGCGTGGCCTTTGGAACTGTGGGCATGGCAGCCCTGTGCCCTGACATCCTCAGTGTGGCAAGCCATGAACATCTCTATGTGTCATGAACACAGGAAACATCTCTCTTCGTTAGGCAGGCCAGGTAGATGGTACGGAGGTAATACAGCAGATGCAGAGAACTCTCTCTGGTTGCTGGGGCTAGGGCGGCAGGGGTGTCCTGGGGGAAGTGATCGGGGCGGGCACGTGGGAGGAAAGTCGCCTGCCGGTGCTGAGGTGGAATTGATCTGCTGTAGAGGCCAGAGCCCCGGCACACACTCTCACAGGTCGAGGCAAATAGAGGCTCCGAGTACCATGCTTCCTCCCTGAGGATGCTGTACTCCAAGGAGCATTCCAAAGGGCCTCTTGTCCTATGCCCTGGGCACACCAGAGGCCAGCCGCCAGGGTTGGCCATTGTCGGCCTGCACACACGCTGTTGTGCGCTGCCTTGACGACCCAGAGGCTCCCGCACCCGCAGCAGCGGTTGCGGTGCCTGTTGGTGGGGCTCTGCAAGCCCAGGGCCGGGGCCTCTGGCTCCCGAGCTCCTGTGCGCAGTTGAGCCTGCTGGGGACCGGAGCCCTTTGGCCAGTGCGGGATCTGCGGGTCCAGCGGAGCTCCTCAGGAAACCTGGGTCCACGTAGGTGTGGGACCAGGTTCACAGCAGGGCGACGCCCGTGGGTCTTGCAGGGAGCGGGTCTGCTGGGGAGCGGGCCCCCAGAGCCTACGGGTGCGGGGCATGGGCTGGGCTGGGCTGGGCTGCGCAGGCCCAGGGTCTGTGGGAGCACCCAGGAGAAAACCGTGTTCAGGCTGGAGGCAATGCTGGAGAGGACGGCCGGGGTACAGAGCAAGGAGGCGGCCTTGGAAGAGGAGGCGGTGCTGAAGGTGGAAGACATCATGGCTGAGGTGGAGGTGGTGGTTGAGGTGGAGCCCGACGTGGGGTGGCAGAAGGAGGGCCAGCGGGCACAGCCTGGCCCTGGACCGAGCACACCGGGGCCGTCAATGGACTCACTGGAGGTCCTTCACTTGGAGCTGGGCTCCGTGAATGCCCCAGGCCACAGAGCATCTCCGCCTTGTGAGCCAGAGCCATATCCTTGCGGCTGCCGATTTGGGATGGCGGGCAGCAGGGGATAGTCATCGGGCCTCGGGGGGTATGGGGGCTGTTTGCGGGGAGGAGCCAGGTGGGAGGCACGTGGGGTCAGCCAGGAGGCAGGGGATGGGGGACAGCGTGGGAGCCGAGGCCACGTTCCCGCAGCTGTGAGGGCAGCTCGCTTGTAGCAGCCCTGGGAGCACGTGGTAGGGAAGGGGAGCCAGGGCCAGCACTGACAAGGGAGAATCGCGGCGCCAAGGTCCCTTTGCGCACAGCCCAAATTCGAAGGACGCGTTTCCCTGGGAACGTCCCTGGAGGACGGGGAATCTGTATGCCATTACCAGCCATTGAACCACCCCTGCTCTCGGTGCCTGTTTCCAGCAGGCTCACCCCAGAAACACAAGGTGCTTAAGACGGGTTCGCGGCGCATGGGGCTGCCGACCACCTGACGGCGGGCACCAGCTCCGCAGATGCGCATTCATCCAACTGCAGGCGCTGCACTCAAAGGCGTGTAGGCCCTGAGCCTGTATAACTTCCTCTGGACCCACGCAATTCCCTTGGAGAGCGCCAGGCACGACCCTGCTGTGGCTTCTAACTACAAGGCTTCCCTCAGGTGGACAGGCCCACCCCTCAGGGAGACTAGGATAAGAGGACACCACACACCCGGACATCAGCGGAGCATGTCCAGCACCCAGCACACAAAGGCCTCCTGCATCTCAGAAACTCAGAGAAGCAGCCGCCTCACACCACCCCCGGTCCCTCCCGTCCCTCAGCTGCAACCACCTGCCCACTTTTTCTGCCTCCCGTCTCTGGTCAGCCCAGGCCGTCTTGGCCGGGGTCCACCCACTCCAAAAACCACCACAGTTGTGGCGTTGCCTCCTCGCCAGACAGAGATAGAGGGCCAACAATGAAGGGTGACTGGCCAAATGTCTGGGAGATGGCCCTGTTCCACATTGTCTGTGTTCTTGCGAAATTGCAAGGCGTCACGAGGCTTGCCCACCCAATCCTCTGGAGAGTTCTTGCGCAGAGGTAGATTGTTTGGCACACGAGATGTCGGCGTGGGTCGGAAAGCATGCGGAAGTCCTGCTTTGCTACGTGATGGATTTGCAGGTCAGGCTGGGGAGCCTGGGTCTGTGGGAGGAGTCCAGTGTCTGAGTCAGTTTGAGGTCCCCCTGGGGACCAGGGTTGTCTCAGTGGGAGAGCTGGGAAGGGGAAACTCATGGTTCACTACAGCTAGTAGGCCACCTCAGCCCAGCTAGTTGAGATGGTCCCATTGAATCCATCCTCTTTCTCCTTGATCCGGCAGGTGGAGGAACTCAGCCATCCCGGTTACCGGTGGCAGGATGATTTCCTTTCATCCCAACCTTTATTTCCACAGTGAAATCATCATGAAGGAGCACTGTGTTGGCATCCTCGGTAAGGAATGCCTCCCAGCATGGTAGGGGAGCTGGTGTGTGGGAGGGTGGGACTGGCATGAACCTTCCTGACTCCTCTCCCTGCAGGCTACAGGGTGTCTCATTCCACTGCAGTCCAGCGGTTCTGGGATCACGAAGGTCAAGCCTCCAGCTGCAGGCAGTACACCTCCTACCTGAGCTCATTCAGCTGTTTGGCTGAACATGACTGCCCGGGTTTTGGCAGGATTGCTGAGGTGGGGTTCGCCGTGGGGCATCATGGGAAAGGACCTAGCTGGTCATTCCTTGGTCTCTGGGGAATTGGCTTTGAACTGTCACCTGAACTGTCCTGGACCCACTTCTGCAGTCCCCTAGATCATCAGCCAGGGCCTATGGCTCAATCCATTGCAGTTCTATCCCATGGAGAGAGGGTCAGCCCTAGAGGCGGAACAGAGAGGAGGCCAGGCGAGCAGCCTAGGGCTGGGAAGGGCTGGGAACTGAGAGGCCTTTTGACCTGGATCTGGGCCCCACATGGAGAACCCAAGGATCCGGGAGGAGACTGCAGTGAGCAATCCCAGGCAATCCGTGGGTTGGGGGAGAGAGGCCCATCAGGGACATGTAACACCCACATTTCAGGATCGGGGCACCTTAAGCCACTATGATGCATATGTGGCTAAAGTCAGTGGGTGACAAGCAGGGCTTAAGGGATAGCTGTCTCATCATTACTCGCCAGCTCCCTGCCCTGCGGTAAGACCTGCTACCACCTGGGGCTCATTTTGAGATCAACCAGGGCCCCCTTTTTCTCCATGAGGATGTCCACCTGAGGCCCACCTAGGTCTGTGTCCTTTCACAGTGTTTCTCCCAGGCCAGTCATGTTTTGTTTCCATGACCCCGGCTGCCTTGACATGTGTAATCCTCTCTGCCATCCTCACTCCCGCTGCCCTGCCTTCCCATATAAGTTAGTCCACCTCACACGGAATCTGGAGGACCACACTGGGCTCCAGTGTGAGGCAATGTTTTATTTTCTTCAGGTACATGTATTTTAGGGCTACCTCCAGGGCTGGGAATGTGAAGAGATTGCCAAATGGCTGGGGACCTTCAGTGTGTGTCCAGGGAGGGAACCCGGCTGGGAATTAAGGCCCACCTGAGTAATGGTATGGACATCCAGTGTCAGTTATCTTGATAAAGGCCTGCTTTCTTACATCACCTACTATTAATATAAAAGTTAATTCCTTAGAATATTGAAAAAACAAATCTATGTATGAAGAAATATAATTTGTTCATAATTGTATGGAAAAAGCTGCCGACCGATCCATTTTCCATTACAATTCTTATGGGAGACTTGAAGGGTTTAGCAAGTTTTAAGATGCATTTCTATTCGTCTACTCCTGCCAGTTTTTATGATCATTTTTGTAATACAAGGACATGGCCTCTGGAAAGTTTTTGAGGGACTTTCAGCTTCTTTTAGGGTAGATACTTGTAAATTTTGAATTGTTTTCCCCTGCGGTTCTTTTGAGGTTACTCTTTGTACTTTCTTTGGGGGGTGTTAAATTTGTTTTCTTGTTTTGCCCTTGTGGAACTTTCGTTTTCAAGGAATTGTGTGTGTGTGTGTGTGTGTGTGTGTGTGTGTGTGTGTGTTAGATATGGGAGTTAGCCTGTGAGCATGTTTTCGAATATGGATTTTTTTTTTACTTATCAATTTTGGGGGTGTGTGTGTGTGTGTGTGTGTGTGTGTGTGTGTGTTTGTTTCTTTTCAGTTGGAGTCTCACTGTGTCATCCAGGCTGCAGTCAAGTGGCAAACTCTCAGATCACTGCAACCTCTCCCTCCAGCTTCAAAGGATTCCTCTGCCTGCTGATGCTGCTTTTCCCCCACATGAGGAGAACATGCAGACAGTTATAAAAAATTCTGTGCCTGGGTAGGTATGAAAATATAATTTCAATGAATGGTAAATTTCACAAATACAGTTTCACATTTGTATTTTGCAACATTTTGAAAATTTTAGTTGCTGACACATGAAATTCTGTGTTGACTTTCATGTTAAATGTACACTTTTGAATCAATTTCAACAGTGACAACTAGCGAAGGCCAAGCGTTAGTTCAGGAAGCTGAAAGCAGTCGTTCTGTAAAAAAAACCATATTTATTGAAGGTATATTTAGAGAGATTTTAGAAGGCTTCAGTCAATATTTTTGTTTCTGTTGCTCTGGTGTTTTATCATACAGGGACCAGACTGTAGCATCAGTAGCTATAGTTACAAGGCTACCAAAGACTCAGTGCTATAGAAATTATTATTGTGGAAATTGGCAGCCTGGCTGTCTGTTTGAGGAGACTAGAGGACTTAGGAGTTTCCACCCAAAGTACAAGGGCCTGGTTTAGTGGGTGGCCTTCTTTTGCTGAAGTAGATAAGATCCAGGAGAAGGGTGGATTCACTGTAGTAGCCAGGGCTTTGAGACTGGTAAAGCTTATTTGTCTCCTAGTGCCATTGCCAGATATTGGTCTGTGCATAAAGGCACTTCCCGGACTCGCTGACTCCTGTAAATTCAAATGTAGAATTTAGATTTAAATCCCTATTCCAACTTCTTAAACTTAGATCTAATAGGTGGGTAATAAAATATGTATTCAGAAGAAAGGGAGACGTCAGGTAGGTATATAAGCAAATCATCCTGGTCAAATACCTTCAAAAATATTACTACAAAAAATTACTGAAGATTAAACCTTAAAAAAGTTATTTTAATTGGAGAAACAGAAAAAGGTTGGAGTCATTTTAAACCCTGAGGTGTAAAGGTACTGTTATTAGATTACAGGAATTATATACAATGAATAATTTGTGGGAAGAGCAGCATACTATCTCTTTAGTATGGCTAGAGATTCATAAGCCGTGTAAGAAAACTCAGAGATTGAGAAGAAAATGTTTTCAGGGATTTTGTTCTGTTATGAAAGACTTTTAAAATGGTTTCCTACTGATCAATGATTCACTTATATTTATCACTGAGGCATATGCTATATACCCTTCTATATAGGGATGAAGTTATAGTTTCTATCATGTAGATACAAAAACATGTGACTCTGTACCACATTTGCATTAGAGCCTTTGGCATGATTAATGAAGCAAACGGTGGAACTGTCTACGTCAGGTTACAGGTGGGCACAGCTGGAAGCTTCCGTCCCTTGCACTTTAACATTTCTGCATTCTCATCTGTCTCTCCTGGAAAGAAAACGGACTATAACTATCCTAAAGGACATATGTTACATGAAGACACTAAGTATTGAGATAAGACCATGAGTTGTCTTATCAGTGTCTTGGCATTACATTTATATGTATAACTTATACAAAAAATCCAGTTTATTTTATCACGATTACATATTACATCCCACATTTATGTATTTTATTATCTTTCCAGTGACTGTTTTGTTTTGTTTTGTTTTGTTTTGTTTTGAAATCTCGTTCCACTCTGTCACTCAGTCTGGAATGCAGTGGCCTGATCTCAGCTCACTGCAACCTCCATCTCTTGGGTTCAAGGATTTTAAAAATTAGTAAAGAATTTTCAATTGAGTTAGCAGAAGTAAAAATAAACTTAAGTGGAAATAGAACAACAAAATTGTAAACACTATTTCTCAGCAATTCATAGATTATCATACTAGGAATTGAAATGTACTTAGAACTCAATGATACCGCCAATATTAAAGATTAAATCTGTGAGTAGCAAGAAAAGTGATATTACAATAGGAGTTTACAGACAAATATTTCTCTAATAACTTGAAAATTAATGTACTAGATATTTCAATAAAGAATTAGAAAAGAAACAACAGAATCAATTCTGAAAAACTAAAGTGTGGGAATAATGATGTAGACAAAATTAGTAAAACATACAAAGCTAACCTTTGCTTGTTGGAGAAATATAATAAATGATGCAACCGTCAGTCAAGTTTAGAAAAAAAGGGAGAAAACATAGATAAAACTAAGAATTTAAAAGGTACACAACCATAGATACAGCATAGATTAAGAAGCTAATAAGGAAATATCGTTAACACCTTAACCTACAAATTTGAAAACTTAGATCAAATAGACAGATATTTATAATCTGTCTATATATATAGACATATATATCGCTTTCTATATATATTTTCATATTTATACATAATTTTTATATTTGTATCTTACATTTATATATATAATATATAAACATAAGCTATGTATATAGCTTAGTAAAATTGATACAAGAAGACATATATAATCTGTATAGTCTCATAAATGTTCAAGGAAATAAAGGATTCTTCCTAGAGATAAAACGCTAGGCTCAGATTTTTTTCCCCAGGCAGAGCATTTCAATATATATGAAGAATTCTATAGAATAAAAAAGGGAAAATCCTAAACTCATTGTGTGAAGCAAGCAGAACTTTGACGCCAACAAGCCATAAACTGAGTGTAGAAAAAGATATGAAAATTAAGGCCATTCTCATTCCTGAAGCAAATCGTAAAATCCCAAATGTAACAAGATTTATGTGGATTCTTTGAGGGTTAGAAGGAAATTTCCTTCTGCCAGATCCTGCTACTCTGGGACAACCCACACACAAATTTATGTTTTGAGATTTTCTGTAATACCCATGCAATATGGAACTGGCTTGACAATCTGTGTGATAGCCAGCCTGTGGCCATGACTTCTCAGGGACACAAATCTTTTCTGTTTGCCTCCTTGTTCTGCTCAGCTCCAAGAGAACTTTGACCAAAGTTCCTTGAGCTTGGAAATAGGAATGGGTTTGCTTCTGTTTCACCCTTACTGTGAAGATACAGTCCGGTGGAATCCAGATCCACTGGGAGAGAGTCGGCTATTAAACTCTTTTCATGAGTAGTCCCTAGGCCTTGACTGGAGTCTTTCTTGAGATATGAGGCTAATAGTTCCTTCTTGGTCCACCACTTTTTGATATAATTAATGCTTCTTCTATTGGGAATTTTTAATTGTTTGGGAAGTGACATGGTTTGGTGTGTCTCCATTCAAATCTCAGCTTCAATTGTATCTCCCAGAATTCCCTCGTGTTGCGGGTGGGACCCAGGGGGAGGTAATTGAATCATGGGGGTCGGTCTTTCTCATGCTATTCTTGTGACAGTGAAGAAGTCTCACGGGATCTGATGGGTTTTTCAGGGGTTTCTGCCTCAGGTTCTTCCTCATTCTCTCTTGGCATTGCCATGTAAGAAGTGCCTTTATTCGTATACCATGATTCTGAGGCCTCCACAGCCATGTGGAACTGTCAGTCCAATTAAACCTCCTTTTATTCCCAGTTTCAGGTATCTCTTCTTCAGCAGCGTGAAAATGAACTAAGACAGGAGGTTTGGTCCAAATAACCTTGGCTTCCATGATAGAAGATAGAAGTTGCTGAAATGTTTAATCTTTTCTGTGGCAACCTTTTGCAGTGGGTCTTATTTTTCTCATTTTTTTTTCTTGTTCTCTTCACCTTTGTTTCTCACAGGGTACTCTCGCTCTGTAGACCAGGCTGGAGCGCAGTGGCAGGATCTCAGCTCAACACATCCTCCGCCTCCCAGGTTCAGCCTCTGCAGTAGCTGGGATTACAAGCATGCATCACCACGCTCAGCTAATGTTTTGTATTTTTAGTAGAAGCCAGGCTTCACCATGTTGGCCAGGCTGCTCTCCTACTACAGATCTCAGGTGACCCGCCCGACTCAGCTTCCCAAAATCCAAAGTGCTGGGAATACAGGTGTGAGCCACCGAGCCCAGCCAACTCCAGTATTTTTTACCTAAGCCAGTGGACGAGTGGAGTTGCCTTTATTTTTTTTTTCATGGTCTCGCTGTGTCATCCAGGCTGGAGTGCAGTAGTCTGATCTCGGCTTACTATACAATCTCTGCCACCCATGTTCAGGTGGTTCTCCTACCTCAGCCTCCCAAGTAGCTGGGACCACAGGAAAGTGCCACTAGGTCTGGCTAATTTTTGTATTTTTGGTAGAGACAGCTTTTTGCCATGTTGCCCATGCTAGTCTCCAACTCCTGACCTCAAGTGACCCACCAACCTCGGCCTCCCAAAATGTAGAAATTACAACAAGAGCCACGAAGCCTGGCCTGGAGTTGTGGCTTTTTGACATAAGAAATCTGTGGAGGGAAAAGCTTGGTTTGTGGGAGCACCTGAGCTCAGTTTGGCTCAAAGGTTTGGGATACCTATTATTGAGTGGCAGTGATGGTATGTTGTTAATGTACAATATCTTCCTGTATATAGCATACGTCTATGCTCATCAGATATTTTCAGGTAAAAAAAAGATAGTCTTTCCAGTAGTTTGAGCCATTATAGCAATTTCCACCAGGGGATTTCAAAGTCCAATTCCAGTTGTGGGCAACAGTGATTAACATAATGGTAATTAATGAGAAGAGATTTTGAGACGTCCAGCCACGTTTCCATGTCAGTGCCTTGTTTGCAGTATTATGAAGAAAGAGTGCATTGGACTAGATACTAAGAAAAACATTGAATTATTTTTCTTGCCTCTATAACATCAAAGGACAATTAGAGATATAGAAACTATGGAACATTTCACAGCATGGCTTGACATTTCACTGAACTTTTATCCTTTTAACCATGTACAAAGTTTGTTACCTATGCAAAGGTAGGACTGCAAAAGGAAGACAGAGGTGGAGTCAGAGGTCACAATCCACAGCAAGGTGACACTCTTGTTGATCGCACCTTGAAAGCCAAATTAGAGCGAGAATTAACTTTCCGGTTGCCGTAAGAGAACAAGGAGAATGAAGCTACCAGCAGTTAACAGTATTGGATTAATTGAAATGAAGGTGGACAGAGTTTTTTGGCTTTCCATCAAATTGAGTAAAGAAAAGGTAACCGCTTATCTAATTTCACACACATACAATTATGGATTAATTAAAAGATTACACAACCCATATATTATGGGTTTCTCATTTAAGTGTATATATACATGGGCAAACTCACAGTGTGCCAGTATGTGTCTATATCCAAATATATACAAATCCATGTCCAACAGTTAGCAAGTGAGAAATTCTCTTCCATTTCACCATTCCCTTTCCTAGAATTTTTTCATAAATATAATTTTTCCATATATTTGAAGCCTACTCTCTGGAGGCATGTAATGCATGCATGCAGTAAACCTGTGCGATATCACAATGTTGGTGTCAGAGAAAACTATAACACCGATGTTATAAAAGATTAATTGTGAGGAGAAAGTTATGCTTCGCATTACTACAAATACACAAGTATGATTTCATCCAAAGCTGAAATCAGTCAATATAATTTGTTTTTAATGTTTTATTTAAAATCCTTAATTTCAACAGGATTACTCAAGAAAAATAACGTTATTGGTATTAAATAATGTTGATGTATTCCCTTTAATTGTTGATTATTTAAAATGTCAGTAAAATAGTAAATGGCACTGTACAATGTAGTTTCATGAAGCATTCTTTATAGTTTTCATAAAATTGATAGTCTCCATGGAATATTTTAAGACTGAGGAAGTTCCATATATCATTTGATTGTACTTTCACTTTATTACTTGCTTGCATGTCATAACTGATGGAAATAAAACTATGTATATTTACAAATATGAAAAACATGGACTTTTGTTTACGTTTTCTAGTGAGACACAGTTACCAATAATTTTATCTATATAGGAAAATTTTTACAAACCCAAAGTTCTAATGTTTCTTTTCTTTGAAGTTTCGTATTTCAGTCTAGGTATGTAATGGAATTGGCTGTGATCATTCTTTGATTTCACTGTTATTTGTGAGTTTCTGATATGCTTTTAGGAATGTATAGAGCTTAACGCTTGCTTTCTTCTTCTTCCTCTACCTTTGGACCTGTATATGCGATGTCTGCAGTAATGTGCAGTGCTATCTGACATACGGTTGCTGAAAGATACAAGCATATATAGAATTCTTCGTTTCAGTGAATCTTTAGGAACAGACAAGTAACCTGAGAGATAATTACGGTATGAATGTAAGCAAGCAGTTTATCATAGAGGTACAATAAGGGTGAAAATAAATTTAAAAATACATGCCTCATCCAAAACATGAGGTAGTAAAAATGAAAAATTTAAGTTGGCATAAAGAACACTTTAAAAGTTCTGATTCTTTCTGGTGAGAGCAAGGAGCTCAGAAACCATGAGAAAGTCCTTCAAAGCTGCATGTTGGATTTGCAGGTCAGGATGGAAAGCCTGGGTCTGGGGGAGGGTGCTAAGGTCCTGGTCAGGTTGAGGTCCTTCTGGGGCTCAGGTGTGTCTCAGCGGGAAAGCTGGGAAGGGGAAACGCATGCTTCACCCCGGCTAGAATGCCACCTCAGCCCACCTAGATGAAATTGCCCCTTCACAGCCCTGTTTCTCCTTCTTGGACAGGCAGGTGGAGGAACTCGGCCACCCTGAATACAAGGGGTAGGAAGAAGTTTGCCTTTCATCACAACATTTACTTCGGAAACAAAGTGATGACTAAGGAGTATTGCGTTGGCATCCTCCCTGAGGAGTAGAGGGGGTAGTACCTCGGGAGCTGGGCCTGGCGTGCGCCTTCCTGACTCGTCTCCCTCCAGGATACAGGGCGACTGGCTCCACTGCAGTCCAGTGGTTCTAGGGTCATGCAGGTGAAAGCCCGAGTTTCCCGCAGGTCACTGCCTGAGCTTCTTCAGCTGGTTGTCTGACTGTGAGGGCCCAGGTTACGGCACGATTGCTGAGGTGGGGCAGCTATGGGGCATCATGGCAAAGGACCTTCTTCGACATTCCTTGGCATCGGAGGAATTGGCTTTGAACCAGAACCTGACCTGTCACGACCAATTTGCCCAGTCCACCAGATCATCAGCCAGGGCCTGTGGCTCTATATTCTGCAGCACTACCCAAGGGAGTTAGGCCCTCAGAGAGGGAACAGAGAAGAGGCCAGGGAAGCAGCCCAGGGCTGGGGGTTGACAGGCCTGTGGGTCCTGGAGTTAGGACACACATAGAGAAGCCAAGGCTCAGGGAGGAGACTGCAGTAAGGAAACTCAGGCCATCATGGGCTGGTGGAGAAATGCCCATCAGGGAACTGTGGTACCCACATTTCACGATGGGGGAACCGTAATCTGCTTAATAGGCACAAGTAGCTAAGGTCAATGGGTGGGAAGCCAGGGTCAAGAGATAGCTGCCTCATCATCCCTTGCTAGCTACTTCCCTGTCCTGAGGCTTGCTTCTACCTGGGGTTCAGTTTGGGCTCAACCAGGGATCTCTCACCCTCCACACAGATGCCCACCTGAGGCCTCTCTAGGTCTGCGTCCTCCCAGAATGACTCTCCCAGGCCTGCTAAGTACCGTTTGGATGACACCACGCTCCACTGACATACTTGGTTCCCTCCGCCATCCTCATTCACCCAGCAACTCCCCACCCCAAAAAAGGCAGGCCACCGCACAGGGAATCTGGAGGACCACACAGGGCTCACAGGGGAGGAAATGTGAAGAGATGGCAAAACAGAACAGGACATTCCGTGTGTTTCCAGAAGGCAATCTGGCTGGATATTAAGGCCCACCTCAGTATTGGTGAGGACACCCAGTGTCTCTTGGCCCTGAGCTTGTGCACACAAACACGCACATTGTCTAAACGGCATTGACATCACTACTACCTGAGTCATCCTCAGATTCTATACAACCCCTGTAAAAATATCAATGACACATTCTTCTTAGAAAAACAATCTGGGAATCCCAAATTTGCTATGAAATGGCAGAAGATCCTGAAAACCCAGAGCAATCCAGTAAAAAGCACAAAGCTGGAGCCACCACACTACCTAACTTCATGATATACTACTACAAAACTTTTTGTACCAAAATACAATAGCACTGGCAGAAAAGCAGAGACTAGAGCTTAGGAAAAACAACAGGAGCCCAGAACTAAGTCACTGCATTTGCAGCTCACAGCCTTTTCCCAAAGAAGCAAGAACGCCCAATGCAAAATCAAGTATCTTCTATAAACTAGGTTGGGGAAATCTGAATAGCCACACAAAGGATTTTACAAGTGGATTATTTATCACCAAACTCCAGTGTCAGATGTGAAACGATAAAAATAGCAGAAGAGATCACAAGGAAGAAGCTCCATGGCGTCCATGTGTGCAATGATGGTCTCAAAGTGACTGCAAGAACACAGTAAACACTATCAAAAATAGAGAATGGAATCATATCAAACTAAAGTGCTTCACCACACCATAGAAAACTCAACATACAGAAGGGGCATCCTACAGGATGGGAGCAATGATTGGATCACCATACATCTGTTCATGGGGGAATAGTCACAGTACATAAGGAACTCCCAACAACTCAATAGCATGAAAACAAATGGGCGAAGGCTGCGAAGACTCATTTGTGAAACTGAGACATACAGTTGCCCAGAAGACACACTAAAAATTCCTCATTATCCCCAATCCATCACGAAAATGCAAATCAAAAACACAATGAGATTTCTTCTCACTTCAGTCAGAATGCATATTATCCGAAAGACAAACAAACAAAAAAAAAAAAGAAAGAAAAGAAAACCCTAATCTCTGGTGAGGAGGCAGAGAAAACGAATTCCCTGCTCACTTTTGGGGAGAATGTAAATTAGTGCTGGCATTAAAGAAGCTTTATGGCTCTTATTTAAGTATAAACAGCCTTCAGAAATCTACAAGTAGAACCACCCACTATATGATCCAGCAAATCAGAATACCCGGGCACGCCCGCCAGTACACAGATCAGTATGTTGAAGCGGTGCGCGCACCCATGCAATTATTGCTGCACTCATTACATTTTTGCTGTAGCCAAAATGCGGAAGCAACCTGAGAGTCCCTCCATTGATAAGTGGATTAAAAAATGGGGCAAAAACGCATATGCGCAACGGAAATATGCGCTGCAATAAGAAATCAGGAAATCCTGCCAGTTGTGAGAATGTGTGGGAATCTGCTGAATGTGTGCATGCCATTCTGTTAAGTGACATAAGCCAGGTATCAGAAAGGAAAGTAGCACATGATCTCATTCTTATATGAAATCAAAAAAGCGGACTTCACAGAAGTAGTGACTCCAATGACTGCGGTGAAGAGGGTGCACTGACGAGATGCTGGATGAAGAACTCATACTTCTAGTTATAAAGGAGGAATAGGTTAAAAATATTTTCTTCAGCATGCTCACTATAACTAGTGGTAACATATTCTTTCTCTAAAAATATTCGAATACAGTGCAGGTCAAGTTTTTTCACAACAAAAATGACAACTATGTGAGGTCACACATATGTTGATTGGCTGGATGTATCCAATGCATAATGTATATGACCTGTTGAACATCACGCCTTAAGTTGTAAATATGTATCATTTCATATGACATTTTTTAAACAAACATACAATTTTTAAAATGCCTTAACAAAATAAATGCAAATAAAATATTTTATTATAAAGCAGTGCTTTTCTTTTCTAGCAAAGTCTTTTTCATGACACAGGAAAGAATGCAAGCCGTTTCGTAACTTGAGAAATAAATACATATGTGTACATGTATATATATACGTATATACATGTATATACGTATATAAATGTGCATATATACGTATATACATGTATATACGTATATATGTGTGTACATAGGTATTCTTATATAGGTATATATATATATGAAAATCCCAATGAATGCTGATGATGAGTTGAAAGATAGAAATTCCAGGCACAGAGGCTATAGTCCATGAATTGAAACCTTCAGTGCATGTTTCAAAACAAGACGTGAGGAGGAGGAAGAAAAAAGCAAAAAACACAAAGCCATGGCAGGGCCATGGGTCACACCTGTCATCCCAGCACTTTGATAAGCTGAGGTGGGAGGATTGCCTGCACTCAGGAGTTCCAGATGAGCCTGGGGCAACATGGACCCACATTCAAAAAGTAAGTATTTAGTTAATTAATACATAGCTTGGAGGGGTGGCATGCACCTGTACTGCCAGGTGTGTGAGAGTCTGAGTTGACAGGATCACATGGGTGTGTGGTGCCTGGGCTGCAGTGGGCTGAGATCGTGGGGCTGCTGTCCAACCTAGAAGACAGAGTAAGACCCATTCTCGGAAAACAAACAAAAAAACAGTCACATTAGGTAAATTAAAACTATGTAGTGTGAGGAGAATCAAAATAAACGAAACATCATTAGAGCCTACGCGATGTGATGAAGGAAACCAGCTTTCACATAATAACAGCCCCGGCTGGGGAGAACAATGAGAAAGGGCAGAGAGAACCCTGTAAATAATACCACGCCAAATTCCCCAAATGAGTTAAAACACATAAAAGTACGAAGAGTGCTTCTTTTCAATTCAATGCCCTTGAATTCAGAATTAGAAAGTAAACCCAGATAGAGAATAGAAACATAGACGATACAGATGGAGAGAGTGTGGTGGGGAAGCAAGGGAAGGATGAAAGGAGGGGTGTAAAGGAAGGAAAAGAAAAAAGGAAGGGAGAGAGAGTGACAGATGTTCAAAGACACAGATACAAAGTCTACAATGGTTGTAGAGATAGGCATGTGCAAATTGCCGCAGGGAGTGTGGAAAAATATCGGAACCACGGAGACATAGGTGGAGTCAGAGAAAATATACAAACCCGCACAGAGAAATAAACATACGCAACCACAAACACACACGTGCTACTTTAAACACGAAAAGACACCAAGTCCCTGTCGGTACAAATCACAGATGTGCTTCCGAGTTACTGAGGCACGGTGCAAATTTGTCAGTGCCCTTAGCATCTGTGGCCCACGTGCACGGATATTCAGTGGAAGAAGCATTACACAGCCTGTATAATTCAGCACGATCTGTGATAATACCAGAAGAAGGGATCTCATGTGAAATCACTAGACTGAATTGCACGTAGGATTCAAGCAAGAAGCCCAGTCTGCTGCATCGACTCCGTGGGGTGGCAATATGGCTGAGCCACCAACCCATGGCACGCCCATCCATCGTAGACAGCTCCTGGTTTGCTACCTGCCTTGGAAAAACCTCCTCCCCTACCACCACTTTAAAAAAGGCTAGCTCCAAAACTAGCCCTGGCATCTATTTACGGTCATTTTCTTATCTATTTACCTCCTAGAAAAATCATTGCAAGACCCTTTCCTCAACATTTTCCTATGCCTTAAATTTGGGGCAACACGTTTTAAGACGACCTCGTTATAGGCAAGTCCCCAGACGTTTCCTAATCTGAGTTGCCCAGAGTGCACACACCAATCTGTTGCCCCATTGCCGCTATAGGGATACCGTACTGGACCACAGTGTCTTTGACATGCACACAGTAGGATAGAGGGCAGCTTGAGGGGGCCAAAGTGTTCCGACTGTTTTCAGAATAATTTGCTTAGAACACCTGTTTCTCCTGTGTTTGTGGGTCAGGGGGACGGTAGTCAGAGGAGGACAAGACTCCCGCTCCAGAGCTTCAGAGGTCTGCATAGGAGCAGGGACAAAACCGGGCGATAGATTTTCAAAGCTCAACTGCTTTGACACCGAGCAGGAGGTGTAGAATGCATATTGCAGGCACCACAACAGATTCAGGAACTTTGACTGTCAAACCCTCTTCCCTGAAACAACATAGCTCTTCTCACAGAAGCTGTGCTGACTGGAGTCTATACGGGACAGCAATGTTAGCACTCTAGTAGCGTGTGGTCAACATGGATGCTCGTGTTGGAACTGTTTCATCTGGGAACAGGAAAGAAAGTTCTGCCTCCGACACTGAAATCCTCCTGCCCCATCCTTGACAGAGGCAACCCCTTGTCTTGTGCAGACACACGTGTTCCTGGGAAGCAGCCTCCCACTCGCGAATGAAAGCTGTATGTTTTGTCCTCCTGTGTGAGGCTTGCAAAACATATTCCGCAACTATATTCACTTTACGTTCTAAACCTTAGGCAAACTATGCTGAAGAGGCCACAGAAAATTTAGGGGCCCTGGGTCCAGATACAATCTGCAGTGCCAATCACGAGGGAGAATAGAGCCTCACTAGACTTTGCAAGAGCACAAAATGCACTCGTACTGTTGTTAGCTACATACGTTATTGGCTCCTCACCTAACACAGAATCTTGGAGAAAAGCTTAAAACAACTAAAGATGTAAACATCAACAAGAGTGTCCATATCCTGGGTCATCAAGTGACAAGAGAGTCCATGGATGGATTCTCCAACAATCTTATATTCCACTAATCCACCCCCTTTCCCCTCACTTCTGTAAGTTTCTGTTTTCCCTTAGTCATGTCTGCCAAAAGCGTATCCTGAATGCCTTCCCACATGCCTCTGTCACCTTTCCCACAGTCCCTCCATACACCTTACATGCCCATTTCTTCTCACGTTGATGTTTCAGAAGTCCTGAGAGGCTGATTGTCCCAGAAAAGGATCATGCATTCACCTTTAAAAGAACATGTGGATTCAACACGAAAGCGAACTTTAAGATTTCCATCATCCTGTGCTTAGCTACTGTGTATGATGATACCCAAAATGAAGGATTTTGGAGGTCCCAGCAAACTGGGCCCTGGAAACCCAGTAACCCCTTTCCTTGAACTATCTCTGCTTCCATAGGACGAAGTCAGCCTCCAACTAAGCTGTCTTTTGCTTTTACCTCTCCCACTCTGTCCTGTAGGAAGAATCCCAACACATCCCACACCCATTCACTCTACAACTTTAGAGGCCCAGCTCCAACGCAGACTGGTTATTTCCATGAAGAGAATAAAGCACGTGGATTGATCAATTCATTATGACACCCGAATAAAGTGGATAAACATACACACACAGACACACACAAACACAAAGACACACACACACACACAGACACAGAGTCACACATCCTTGAGAATGTTTATTTTTCATTCCATACAATCCACATTTACCCCCTCTTCCTGAATTTTTGTGACTCGATCTCTTTTTCCTTTAGTTCCTGTGCATAAGACCATGCTGAGTACTGCCGTCCTGCATATGGCTGTAACTTTTTAGGAGTTCTGCTGTATTAGGTAAAATCTGATGCTCCATCATATTCAACTCAACAACTGGGAGTCCCCTAGAGAAACACAAACTCATGTTAAAACGCATTTTCTCTGAGCCATACTTTGAAATGTTTCAATTGTGGGGCCCGCTGAGAAAAGGATATCCCTTCCCCATTTGTGATCCCTTAAACTTCCTCCTACCACGTGTTACAAACTGTTCTGCGCAATCCCTGCCCCATTCCCAGTATTGTCTGTGAGGGGAGTCAGCTAACAAGATGCACTGGACCCTAAAAGCACACACAAGTCTGATGGGGCAACAGCTTAAGGAAATCCATCAATCTAAACAGTCCTTTGTGGTTTGGGGCAAGGATGACCAGGACGCACATTCAGGGAGCCCAATCTCATGGGGTTGGCGGGATGACTGCCGGTGGGGTTGACAGCCGTGGAATCAAGTGCCACAGACTGAACTGAATGATTTTCAGCTTTACTTCTCATTGATTCTGGAAATGGACGATTCTTCACTGGGCTTAAGACTCCACAGCTATCACCCGCTTTGCAGTGCAGTCTCTAACGTGCCTTTTCAGCCCAATGCCATGAACGTCCTGGATTCTGTCACTCTCTGTCTTCCTCTCAAGGAATTTCTACATGTACGAAAGGAGCCTCAATTTCTACATTTCTGAAATGAGCACCCAGGCTCCCTGAATAGGCAGGTGTGTCAACCCCCTTATACTGGGCATCAAACAGCTCCAGTGCCAACTAACGGCTCACCTGACGTCTCTGTTCCCTCTTCAGGTGGCTTCATCCTCTTGTAGTATTGCAGGGGATTGCGCCACAGGTCCTTACATAGGATCTGTCAGGGGACTCAATCGGGAAAGGCCTCATCAGGGCTCAGAAAGGTGACCCAAGCAGCTGGGAACACATGGGGTCATTCCTCATGTTTCCCAGTGAGGACTCACCTCAGCAATCTTGTTAGATCCTGCGAAGTTGTGGTCAGAGAACCAGTTGAAGAAGTTAAGGCTGCTGTTGTGGTGTCTGCGGCGATAGGCCTCCACTTCATAATCCGGATACCACTCAATTGGAGTGGAATGAGAAGCCCTGTATTCTACAGAGACAGGAGTTTTTGTGGGAAGGGGGCTGGATCCCGTTGGCAATGATCCACCCACCATCTTCCTTCCACTACCCATCCTGGGAGCCACCTGTCACCTGTGATGTTCACCAGATATTCCTTGGTAATCACTTTATTCTGGAAGTAGGGGTTACTCCGAAAGAACAACATGATCTTGCAGAGATGAACAGGATGCTTCTCTTCTTCCACCTGTCAGGACAAGGTGGAGAAAGCTTAGATAGGTTTTCGGGTGAGGTGCTCACTCTTGCTTACAGGAATGAATTATTTCCCTTACCCTCCCCCGCTAAACCCTCTAGCCCCAGTCTTCCTGGCCTCACCTCCAGGCTGACCATGTAGCTCAGCATGTCTTCATCTTCGTCAGTGATCAGGGCTGACATCTGGGGGTGGTTTGCAATCTGATTTAGGTCAAAGAGACTTTACACACGATGGAAGGGAAAGCGAGGAGCAACAGGGAAGAAGGCCTAAGAGCACCCAGAGGCTGGGGTAGGGGATTTCTCAGATCTGCTTCCATGTATGATCTCCTTTCGCCTCCCCCTCCCCGTAAACTAAGGCCTCCTGTGTTCACAGAGGGTGTATGATTCTGAGGCTGACTGCACTGACATGGGGAGGCGCGATTTGCAGAGACTTGCTGGTGTCTGAGGAGTGGCAGAATCTGCTTATAGCCGAAGACGCCCAGTCCCAGATCGGACTAGCAAGGGGCAGCAATCACACTCCCTTAAAAATAGCTTTATTCACTGAAAAACCTCTTCCGCTCTGAACTCGCTTCTGCTCTTCAAAAAGATGCCCCAAACGTCTGCTGCTCGGCATCACCAAGGGTTTCTCTGCCGCATGCAGGACAATAGTACCCACGCCTGCTCCGGCTTTCCACAGCCACACTGGTCCGTGGCAACTCCCCTTTGTTCCCCAAAGAGTCACATCGACGCCGAGCTGCCCATCGGTCACTTACACTTCCCCGAGAGCACCTCTCCACTAGAAAGGCCGAAGAAACACTGAGAAGGATACAACATTGGCCCAGAAGCCAGGGACGCTCTGGATGACGGCGCCTCTGCGGTCTAGGTGGGGCTTGCGCCTCCGCTCCATCTTTTCCCGCTGCCGAGAAAAGGCCTTCCTGGCTTGGGCATTAACCGGCTCCAGCTCCACCTGAACGGCCAGCAGCTCCTCCAGTGCAGACTCTGGGGTCATGGGCCCAGGGCCAGGCACAGCCTGCTGTGCCCGCTGGGCCTCCTCCCGCCGCTCCACGAGGCCCTCCTCCTCCGCCACCACCTCCACCTCCGCCATTATGTCATCCAACAGCAGCACCGCCTCCTCCCCCAAAGCCGCCTGCTCACTCTCCACCCCGGCCGCCCCCTCCTGCACAGCCTCCATCCTGAAGGCGGTGCCCTCCTTGGCACTCGCACACACCAAGGCCTGTGCTGCCCGACCCACGCCACAGAAACCCTGCCGCAGCCTCTCTGGCACCCGGTAGGTCAGCGAGCCCTCAGGGCGCATGCGCCGGGCTTCCAGGCGCCCCCTAAGGGACTGCGCGCGAAGGGCCGGGGGGCCGCACCCAGGCCGACTTCCTCCCGTCGTGGCCAGTCAATGGGAGGGCGGTGGGCGTCTCCCTGGGCGGCACAGCCACTGGCGGGCCTGCATCTCCAGCCCCCCCAACCCCCGCCTTCCCTGCCCAAGCCTCCTCCGAGAAGCCCTTGGAGCTTGTGCCGGGTAGCTAGGCATCCGGGCACACGCGGGCTGCGTGGCCTTTGGAATTGTGGGCATGGCAGCCCTGTGCCCTGACATCCTCAGTGTGGCAAGCCATGAACATCTCTATGTGTCATGAACACAGGAAACATCTCTCTTCGTTAGGCAGGCCAGGTAGATGGTACGGAGGTAATACAGAAGATGCAGAGAACTCTCTCTGGTTGCTGGGGCTAGGGCGGCAGGGGTGTCCTGGGGGAAGTGATCGGGGCGGGCACGTGGGAGGAAAGTCGCCTGCCGGTGCTGAGGTGGAATTGATCTGCTGTAGAGGCCAGAGCCCCGGCACACACTCTCACAGGTCGAGGCAAATAGAGGCTCCGAGTACCATGCTTCCTCCCTGAGGATGCTGTACTCCAAGGAGCATTCCAAAGGGCCTCTTGTCCTATGCCCTGGGCACACCAGAGGCCAGCCGCCAGGGTTGGCCATTGTCGGCCTGCGCGCACGCTGTTGTGCGCTGCCTTGACGACCCAGAGGCTCCCGCACCCGCAGCAGCGGTTGCGGTGCCTGTTGGTGGGGCTCTGCAAGCCCAGGGCCGGGGCCTCTGGCTCCCGAGCTCCTGTGCGCAGTTGAGCCTGCTGGGGACCGGAGCCCTTTGGCCAGTGCGGGATCTGCGGGTCCAGCGGAGCTCCTCAGGAAACCTGGGTCCACGTAGGTGTGGGACCAGGTTCACAGCAGGGCGACGCCCGTGGGTCTTGCAGGGAGCGGGTCTGCTGGGGAGCGGGCCCCCAGAGCCTACGGGTGCGGGGCATGGGCTGGGCTGGGCTGGGCTGCGCAGGCCCAGGGTCTGTGGGAGCACCCAGGAGAAAACCGTGTTCAGGCTGGAGGCAATGCTGGAGAGGACGGCCGGGGTACAGAGCAAGGAGGCGGCCTTGGAAGAGGAGGCGGTGCTGAAGGTGGAAGACATCATGGCTGAGGTGGAGGTGGTGGTTGAGGTGGAGCCCGACGTGGGGTGGCAGAAGGAGGGCCAGCGGGCACAGCCTGGCCCTGGACCGAGCACACCGGGGCCGTCAATGGACTCGCTGGAGGTCCTTCACTTGGAGCTGGGCTCCGTGAATGCCCCAGGCCACAGAGCATCTCCGCCTTGTGAGCCAGAGCCATATCCTTGCGGCTGCCGATTTGGGATGGCGGGCAGCAGGGGATAGTCATCGGGCCTCGGGGGGTATGGGGGCTGTTTGCGGGGAGGAGCCAGGTGGGAGGCACGTGGGGTCAGCCAGGAGGCAGGGGATGGGGGACAGCGTGGGAGCCGAGGCCACGTTCCCGCAGCTGTGAGGGCAGCTCGCTTGTAGCAGCCCTGGGAGCACGTGGTAGGGAAGGGGAGCCAGGGCCAGCACTGACAAGGGAGAATCGCGGCGCCAAGGTCCCTTTGCGCACAGCCCAAATTCGAAGGACGCGTTTCCCTGGGAACGTCCCTGGAGGACGGGGAATCTGTATGCCATTACCAGCCATTGAACCACCCCTGCTCTCGGTGCCTGTTTCCAGCAGGCTCACCCCAGAAACGCAAGGTGCTTAAGACGGGTTCGCGGCGCATGGGGCTGCCGACCACCTGACGGCGGGCACCAGCTCCGCAGATGCGCATTCATCCAACTGCAGGCGCTGCACTCAAAGGCGTGTAGGCCCTGAGCCTGTATAACTTCCTCTGGACCCACGCAATTCCCTTGGAGAGCGCCAGGCACGACCCTGCTGTGGCTTCTAACTACAAGGCTTCCCTCAGGTGGACAGGCCCACCCCTCAGGGAGACTAGGATAAGAGGACACCACACACCCGGACATCAGCGGAGCATGTCCAGCACCCAGCACACAAAGGCCTCCTGCATCTCAGAAACTCAGAGAAGCAGCCGCCTCACACCACCCCCGGCCCCTCCCGTCCCTCAGCTGCAACCACCTGCCCACTTTTTCTGCCTCCCGTCTCTGGTCAGCCCAGGCCGTCTTGGCCGGGGTCCACCCACTCCAAAAACCACCACAGTTGTGGCGTTGCCTCCTCGCCAGACAGAGATAGAGGGCCAACAATGAAGGGTGACTGGCCAAATGTCTGGGAGATGGCCCTGTTCCACATTGTCTGTGTTCTTGCGAAATTGCAAGGCGTCACGAGGCTTGCCCACCCAATCCTCTGGAGAGTTCTTGCGCAGAGGTAGATTGTTTGGCACACGAGATGTCGGCGTGGGTCGGAAAGCATGCGGAAGTCCTGCTTTGCTACGTGATGGATTTGCAGGTCAGGCTGGGGAGCCTGGGTCTGTGGGAGGAGTCCAGTGTCTGAGTCAGTTTGAGGTCCCCCTGGGGACCAGGGTTGTCTCAGTGGGAGAGCTGGGAAGGGGAAACTCATGGTTCACTACAGCTAGTAGGCCACCTCAGCCCGGCTAGTTGAGATGGTCCCATTGAATCCATCCTCTTTCTCCTTGATCCGGCAGGTGGAGGAACTCAGCCATCCCGGTTACCGGTGGCAGGATGATTTCCTTTCATCCCAACCTTTATTTCCACAGTGAAATCATCATGAAGGAGCACTGTGTTGGCATCCTCGGTAAGGAATGCCTCCCAGCATGGTAGGGGAGCTGGTGTGTGGGAGGGTGGGACTGGCATGAACCTTCCTGACTCCTCTCCCTGCAGGCTACAGGGTGTCTCATTCCACTGCAGTCCAGCGGTTCTGGGATCACGAAGGTCAAGCCTCCAGCTGCAGGCAGTACACCTCCTACCTGAGCTCATTCAGCTGTTTGGCTGAACATGACTGCCCGGGTTTTGGCAGGATTGCTGAGGTGGGGTTCGCCGTGGGGCATCATGGGAAAGGACCTAGCTGGTCATTCCTTGGTCTCTGGGGAATTGGCTTTGAACTGTCACCTGAACTGTCCTGGACCCACTTCTGCAGTCACCTAGATCATCAGCCAGGGCCTATGGCTCAATCCATTGCAGTTCTATCCCATGGAGAGAGGGTCAGCCCTAGAGGCGGAACAGAGAGGAGGCCAGGCGAGCAGCCTAGGGCTGGGAAGGGCTGGGAACTGAGAGGCCTTTTGACCTGGATCTGGGCCCCACATGGAGAACCCAAGGATCCGGGAGGAGACTGCAGTGAGCAATCCCAGGCAATCCGTGGGTTGGGGGAGAGAGGCCCATCAGGGACATGTAACACCCACATTTCAGGATCGGGGCACCTTAAGCCACTATGATGCATATGTGGCTAAAGTCAGTGGGTGACAAGCAGGGCTTAAGGGATAGCTGTCTCATCATTACTCGCCAGCTCCCTGCCCTGCGGTAAGACCTGCTACCACCTGGGGCTCATTTTGAGATCAACCAGGGCCCCCTTTTTCTCCACGAGGATGTCCACCTGAGGCCCACCTAGGTGTATGTCCTTTCACAGTGTTTCTCCCAGGCCAGTCATGTTTTGTTTCCATGACCCCGGCTGCCTTGACATGTGTAATCCTCTCTGCCATCCTCACTCCCGCTGCCCTGCCTTCCCATATAAGTTAGTCCACCTCACACGGAATCTGGAGGACCACACTGGGCTCCAGTGTGAGGCAATGTTTTATTTTCTTCAGGTACATGTATTTTAGGGCTACCTCCAGGGCTGGGAATGTGAAGAGATTGCCAAATGGCTGGGGACCTTCAGTGTGTGTCCAGGGAGGGAACCCGGCTGGGAATTAAGGCCCACCTGAGTAATGGTATGGACATCCAGTGTCAGTTATCTTGATAAAGGCCTGCTTTCTTACATCACCTACTATTAATATAAAAGTTAATTCCTTAGAATATTGAAAAAACAAATCTATGTATGAAGAAATATAATTTGTTCATAATTGTATGGAAAAAGCTGCCGACCGATCCATTTTCCATTACAATTCTTATGGGAGACTTGAAGGGTTTAGCAAGTTTTAAGATGCATTTCTATTCGTCTACTCCTGCCAGTTTTTATGATCATTTTTGTAATACAAGGACATGGCCTCTGGAAAGTTTTTGAGGGACTTTCAGCTTCTTTTAGGGTAGATACTTGTAAATTTTGAATTGTTTTCCCCTGCAGTTCTTTTGAGGTTACTCTTTGTACTTTCTTTGGGGGGTGTTAAATTTGTTTTCTTCTTTTGCCCTTGTGGAACTTTCGTTTTCAAGGAATTGTGTGTGTGTGTGTGTGTGTGTGTGTGTTAGATATGGGAGTTAGCCTGTGAGCATGTTTTCGAATATGGATTTTTTTTTTACTTATGAATTTTGGGGGTGTGTGTTTGTGTGTGTGTGTGTGTGTGTTTGTTTCTTTTCAGTTGGAGTCTCACTGTGTCATCCAGGCTGCAGTCAAGTGGCAAACTCTCAGATCACTGCAACCTCTCCCTCCAGCTTCAAAGGATTCCTCTGCCTGCTGATGCTGCTTTTCCCCCACATGAGGAGAACATGCAGACAGTTATAAAAAATTCTGTGCCTGGGTAGGTATGAAAATATAATTTCAATGAATGGTAAATTTCACAAATACAGTTTCACATTTGTATTTTGCAACATTTTGAAAATTTTAGTTGCTGACACATGAAATTCTGTGTTGACTTTCATGTTAAAGGTACACTTTTGAATCAATTTCAACAGTGACAACTAGCGAAGGCCAAGCGTTAGTTCAGGAAGCTGAAAGCAGTCGTTCTGTAAAAAAAACCATATTTATTGAAGGTATATTTAGAGAGATTTTAGAAGGCTTCAGTCAATATTTTTGTTTCTGTTGCTCTGGTGTTTTATCATACAGGGACCAGACTGTAGCATCAGTAGCTATAGTTACAAGGCTACCAAAGGCTCAGTGCTATAGAAATTATTATTGTGGAAATTGGCAGCCTGGCTGTCTGTTTGAGGAGACTAGAGGACTTAGGAGTTTCCACCCAAAGTACAAGGGCCTGGTTTAGTGGGTGGCCTTCTTTTGCTGAAGTAGATAAGATCCAGGAGAAGGGTGGATTCACTGTAGTAGCCAGGGCTTTGAGACTGGTAAAGCTTATTTGTCTCCTAGTGCCATTGCCAGATATTGGTCTGTGCATAAAGGCACTTCCCGGACTCGCTGACTCCTGTAAATTCAAATGTAGAATTTAGATTTAAATCCCTATTCCAACTTCTTAAACTTAGATCTAATAGGTGGGTAATAAAATATGTATTCAGAAGAAAGGGAGACGTCAGGTAGGTATATAAGCAAATCATCCTGGTCAAATACCTTCAAAAATATTACTACAAAAATTACTGAAGATTAAACCTTAAAAAAGTTATTTTAATTGGAGAAACAGAAAAAGGTTGGAGTCATTTTAAACCCTGAGGTGTAAAGGTACTGTTATTAGATTACAGGAATTATATACAATGAATAATTTGTGGGAAGAGCAGCATACTATCTCTTTAGTATGGCTAGAGATTCATAAGCCGTGTAAGAAAACTCAGAGATTGAGAAGAAAATGTTTTCAGGGATTTTGTTCTGTTATGAAAGACTTTTAAAATGGTTTCCTACTGATCAATGATTCACTTATATTTATCACTGAGGCATATGCTATATACCCTTCTATATAGGGATGAAGTTATAGTTTCTATCATGTAGATACAAAAACATGTGACTCTGTACCACATTTGCATTAGAGCCTTTGGCATGATTAATGAAGCAAACGGTGGAACTGTCTACGTCAGGTTACAGGTGGGCACAGCTGGAAGCTTCCGTCCCTTGCACTTTAACATTTCTGCATTCTCATCTGTCTCTCCTGGAAAGAAAACGGACTATAACTATCCTAAAGGACATATGTTACATGAAGACACTAAGTATTGAGATAAGACCATGAGTTGTCTTATCAGTGTCTTGGCATTACATTTATATGTATAACTTATACAAAAAATCCAGTTTATTTTATCACGATTACATATTACATCCCACATTTATGTATTTTATTATCTTTCCAGTGACTGTTTTGTTTTGTTTTGTTTTGTTTTGTTTTGAAATCTCGTTCCACTCTGTCACTCAGTCTGGAATGCAGTGGCCTGATCTCAGCTCACTGCAACCTCCATCTCTTGGGTTCAAGGATTTTAAAAATTAGTAAAGAATTTTCAATTGAGTTAGCAGAAGTAAAAATAAACTTAAGTGGAAATAGAACAACA